>NC_000021.9:12599515-12915808 GCF_000001405.40 Homo sapiens
CAGACAGAAGCATTCTCAGAAACTTGTTCGTGATGTGTGTACTCAACTAAAAGAGTTGAACCTTTCTATTGATAGAGCAGTTTTGAAACACTCTTTTTGTGGATTCTGCAAGTGGATTTTTGGATTGCTTTGAGGATTTCATTGGAAGCGGGAATTCGTATAAACACTAGACAGCAGCATTCCCAGAAATTTCTTTCGGATATTTCCATTCAACTCATAGAGATGAACATGGCCTTTCATAGAGCAGGTTTGAAAAACTCTTTTTGTAGTTTGTGGAAGTGGACATTTCGATCGCCTTGACGCCTACGGTGAAAAAGGAAATATCTTCCCATAAAAAATAGACAGAAGCATTCTCAGAAACTTGTTGGTGATATGTGTCCTCAACTAACAGAGTTGAACTTTGACATTGATAGAGAGCCGTTTTGAAACACTCTTTTTGTGGAAAATGCAAGTGGATATTTGGATAGCTTGGAGGATTTCGTTGGAAGCGGGAATTCAAATAAAAGGTAGACAGCAGGATTCTCAGAAACAAGTTTGTGATGTGTGTACTCAGCTAACAGAGTGGAACCTCTCTTTTGATGCAGCAGTTTGGAAACACTCTTTTTGTAGAAACTGTAAGTGGATATTTGGATAGCTCTAATGATTTCGTTGGAAACGGGAATATCATCATCTAAAATCTAGACAGAAGCCCTCTCAGAAACTACTTTGTGATATCTGCATTCAAGTCACAGAGTTGAACATTCGGTTTCTTAGAGCACGTTTGAAACACTCTTTTTGTAGTGTCTGGAAGTGGACACTTGGAGCGCTTTGATGCCTTTGGTGAAAAAGGGAACGTCTTCCCATAAAAACTAGACAGAAGCATTCTCAGAAACTTGTTTGTGATGTGTGTACCCCGCTAAAGGAGTGAACATTTCTATTGATAGAGCAGTTTTGAAACACTCTTTTTGTGGACAATGCAGGTGGATATTTGGATAGCTTGGAGGATTTCGTTGGAAGCGGGAATTCAAATAAAAGGTAGACAGCAGCATTCTCAGTAAATTTCTTTCTGATGTCTGCATTCAACTCATAGAGTTGAAGATTCCCTTTCATAGAGCAGGTTTGAAACACTCGTTCTGGAGTATCTGGATGTGGACATTTGGAGCGCTTTGATGCCTACGGTGGAAAAGTAAATATCTTCCCATAAAAACGAGACAGAAGGATTCTCAGAAACAAGTTTGTGATGTGTGTACTCAGCTAACAGAGTGGAACCTTTCTTTTTACAGAGCAGCTTTGAAACTCTATTTTTGTGGATTTTGCAAATTGATATTTAGATTGCTTTAGCGATATCGTTGGAAAAGGGAATATCGTCATACAAAATCTAGACAGAAGCATTCTCACAAACTTCTTTGTGATGTGTGTCCTCAACTAACAGAGTTGAACCTTTCTTTTGATGCAGCAGTTTGGAAACACTCTTTTTGTAGCAACTGTAAGTGGATATTTGGATAGCTCTAACGATTTCGTTGGAAACGGGAATATCATCATCTAAAATCTAGACAGAAGCACTATTAGAAACTACTTGGTGATATCTGCATTCAAGTCACAGAGTTGAACATTCCCTTACTTTGAGCACGTTTGAAACACTCTTTTGGAAGAATCTGGAAGTGGACATTTGGAGCGCTTTGATGCCTTTCGTGAAAAGGAAACGTCTTCCAATAAAAGCCAGACAGAAGCATTCTCAGAAACTTGTTTGTGATGTGTGTACTCAACTAAAAGAGTTGAACCTTTCTATTGATAGAGCAGTTTTGAAACACTCTTTTTGTGGATTCTGCAAGTGGATATTTGGATTGCTTTGAGGATTTCGTTGGAAGCGGGAATTCGTATAAAAACTAGACAGCCAGCATTCCCAGCAAATTTCTTTCGGATATTTCCATTCGACTCATAGAGATGAACATGGCCTTTCATAGAGCAGGTTTGAAACACTCTTTTTGTAGTTTGTGGAAGTGGACATTTCGATCGCCTTGACGCCTACGGTGAAAAAGGAAATATCTTCCCATAAAAAATAGACAGAAGCATTCTCAGAAACTTGTTGGTGATATGTGTCCTCAACTAACAGAGTTGAACTTTGCCATTGATAGAGAGCAGTTTTGAAACACTCTTTTTGTGGAATCTGCAAGTGGATATTTGGATAGCTTGGAGGATTTCGTTGGAAGCGGGAATTCAAATAAAAGGTAGACAGCAGCATTCCCAGAAATTTCTTTCTGATGTCTGCATTCAACTCATAGAGTTGAAGATTCCCTTTCATAGAGCAGGTTTGAAACACTCTTTCTGAAGTATCTGGATGTGGACATTTGGAGCGCTTTGATGCCTACGGTGAGAAAGTAAATATCTTCCCATAAAAACGAGACAGAAGGATTCTGAGAAACAAGTTTGTGATGTGTGTACTCAGCTAACAGAGTGGAACCTCTCTTTTGATGCAGCAGTTTGGAAACACTCTTTTTCTAGAAACTGTAAGTGGATATTTGGATAGCTCTAATGATTTCGTTGGAAACGGGAATATCATCATCTAAAATCTAGACAGAAGCCCTCTCAGAAACTACTTTGTGATATCTGCATTCAAGTCACAGATTTGAACATTCGTTTTCTTAGAGCACGTTTGAAACACACTTTTTGTAGTGTCTGGAAGTGGACATTTGTAGCGCTTTGATGCCTTTGGTGAAAAAGGGAATGTCTTCCCATAAAAACTAGACAGAAAGCATTCTCAGCAAACTTGTTTGTGATGTGTGTACCCAGCCAAAGGAGTTGAACATTTCTATTGATAGAGCAGTTTTGAAACACTCTTTTTGTGGAAAATGCAGGTGGATATTTGGATAGCTTGGAGGATTTCGTTGGAAGCGGGAATTCAAATAAAAGGTAGACAGCAGCATTCTCAGAAATTTCTTTCTGATGTCTGCATTCAACTCATAGAGTTGAAGATTCCCTTTCATAGAGCAGGTTTGAAACAGTCTTTCTGGAGTATCTGCATGTGGACATTTGGAGCGCTTTGATGCCTACGGTGAAAAAGTAAATATCTTCCCATAAAAACGAGACAGAAGGATTCTCAGAAACAAGTTTGTGATGTGTATACTCAGCTAACAGAGTGGAACCTTTCTTTTTACAGAGCAGCTTTGAAACTCTATTTTTGTGGATTCTACAAATTGATATTTAGATTGCTTTAACGATATCGTTGGAAAAGGGAATATCGTCATACAAAATCTAGACAGAAGCATTCTCACAAACTTCTTTGTGATGTGTGTCCTCAACTAACAGAGTTGAACCTTTCTTTTGATGCAGCAATTTGGAGGCACCCTTTTGGTAGAAACTGTAACTGGATATTTGGATAGCTCTAACGATTTCGTTGGAAACGGGAATATCATCATCTAAAATGTAGACAGAAGCACTATTAGAAACTACTTGGTGATATCTGCATTCAAGTCACAGAGTTGAACATTCCCTTACTTCGAGCACGTTTGAAACACTCTTTTGGAAGAATCTGGAAGTGGACATTTGGAGCGCTTTGATGCCTTTGGTGAAAAGGAAACGTCTTCCAATAAAAGCCAGACAGAAGCATTCTCAGAAACTTGTTCGTGATGTGTGCACTCAACTAAAAGAGTTGAACCTTTCTATTGATAGAGCAGTTTTGAAACACTCTTTTTGTGGATTCTGCAAGTGGATATTTGGATTGCTTTGAGGATTTCGTTGGAAGCGGGAATTCGTATAAACACTAGACAGCAGCATTCCCAGAAATTTCTTTCGGATATTTCCATTCAACTCATAGAGATGAACATGGCCTTTCATAGAGCAGGTTTGAAACACTCTTTTTGTAGTTTGTGGAAGTGGACATTTCGATCGCCTTGACGCCTACGGTGAAAAAGGAAATATCTTCCCATAAAAAATAGACAGAAGCATTCTCAGAAACTTGTTGGTGATATGTGTCCTCAACTAACAGAGTTGAACTTTGCCATTGATAGAGAGCAGTTTTGAAACACTCTTTTTGTGGAATCTGCAAGTGGATATTTGGATAGCTTGGAGGATTTCGTTGGAAGCGGGAATTCAAATAAAAGGTAGACAGCAGCATTCTCAGAAATTTCTTTCTGATGTCTGCATTCAACTCATAGAGTTGAAGATTCCCTTTCATAGAGCAGGTTTGAAACACTCTTTCTGGAGTATCTGGATGTGGACATTTGGAGCGCTTTGATGCCTACGGTGAAAAAGTAAATATCTTCCCGTAAAAACGAGACAGACGGATTCTGAGAAACAAGTTTGTGATGTGTGTACTCAGCTAACAGAGTGGAACCTCTCTTTTCATGCAGCAGTTTGGAAACACTCTTTTTGTAGAAACTGTAAGTGGATATTTGGATAGCTCTAATGATTTCGTTGGAAACGGGAATATCATCATCTAAAGTCTAGACAGAAGCACTCTCAGAAACTACTTTGTGATATCTGCATTCAAGTCACAGAGTTGAACATTCGCTTTCTTAGAGCACGTTTGAAACACTCTTTTTGTAGTGTCTGGAAGTGGACATTTGGAGCGCTTTGATGCCTTTGGTGAAAAAGGGAATGTCTTCCCATAAAAACTAGACAGAAGCATGCTCAGAAACTTGTTTGTGATGTGTGTACCCAGCCAAAGGAGTTGAACATTTCTATTGATAGAGCAGTTTTGAAACACTCTTGTTGTGGAAAATGCAGGTGGATATTTGGATAGCTTGGAGGATTTCGTTGGAAGCGGGAATTCAAATAAAAGGTAGACAGCAGCATTCTCAGAAATTTCTTTCTGATGTCTGCATTCAACTCATAGAGTTGAAGATTCCCTTTCATAGAGCAGGTTTGAAACACTCGTTCTGGAGTATCTGGATGTGGACATTTGGAGCGCTTTGATGCCTACGGTGGAAAAGTAAATATCTTCCCATAAAAACGAGACAGAAGGATTCTCAGAAACAAGTTTGTGATGTGTGTACTCAGCTAACAGAGTGGAACATTTCTTTTTACAGAGCAGCTTTGAAACTCTATTTTTGTGGATTCTGCAAATTGATATTTAGATTGCTTTAACGATATCGTTGGAAAAGGGAATATCGTCATACAAAATCTAGACAGAAGCATTCTCACAAACTTCTTTGTGATGTGTGTCCTCAACTAACAGAGTTGAACTTTTCTTTTGATGCAGCAGTTTGGAAACACTGTTTTTGTAGAAACTGTAAGTGGATATTTTGATAGCTCTAACGATTTCGTTGGAAACGGGAATATCATCATCTAAAATCTAGACAGAAGCACTATTAGAAACTACTTGGTGATATCTGCATTCAAGTCACAGAGTTGAACATTCCCTTACTTTGAGCACGTTTGAAACACTCTTTTGGAAGAATCTGGAAGTGGACATTTGGAGCGCTTTGATGCCTTTGGTGAAAAGGAAACGTCTTCCAATAAAAGCCAGACAGAAGCATTCTCAGAAACTTGTTTGTGATGTGTGTACTCAACTAAAAGAGTTGAACCTTTCTATTGATAGAGCAGTTTTGAAACACTCTTTTTGTGGATTCTGCAAGAGGATATTTGGATTGCTTTGAGGATTTCGTTGGAAGCGGGAATTCGTATAAAAACTAGACAGCAGCATTCCCAGAAATTTCTTTCGGATATTTCCATTCGACTCATAGAGATGAACATGGCCTTTCATAGAGCAGGTTTGAAACACTCTTTTTGTAGTTTGTGGAAGTGGACATTTCGATCGCCTTGACGCCTACGGTGAAAAAGGAAATATCTTCCCATAAAAAATAGACAGAAGCATTCTCAGAAACTTGTTGGCGATACGTGTCCTCAACTAACAGAGTTGAACTTTGCCATTGATAGAGAGCAGTTTTGAAACACTCTTTTTGTGGAATCTGCAAGTGGATATTTGGATAGCTTGGAGGATTTCGTTGGAAGCGGGAATTCAAATAAAAGGTAGACAGCAGCATTCTCAGAAATTTCTTTCTGATCTCTGCATTCAACTCATAGAGTTGAAGATTCCCTTTCATAGGGCAGGTTTGAAATACTCTTTCTGTAGTATCTGGATGTGGACATTTGGAGCGCTTTGATGCCTACGGTGAAAAAGTAAATATCTTCCCATAAAAACGAGACAGAAGGATTCTGAGAAACAAGTTTGTGATGTGTGTACTCAGCTAACAGAGTGGAACCTCTCTTTTGATGCAGCAGTTTGGAAACACTCTTTTTGTAGAAACTGTAAGTGGATATTTGGATAGCTCTAATGATTTCTTTGGAAACGGGAATATCATCATCTAAAATCTAGACAGAAGCTCACTCAGAAACTACTTTGTGATATCTGCATTCAAGTCACAGAGTTGAACATTCGCTTTCTTAGAGCACGTTTGAAACACTCTTTTTGTAGTGTCTGGAAGTGGACATTTGGAGCGCTTTGATGCCTTTGGTGAAAAAGGGAACGTCTTCCCATAAAAACTAGACAGAAGCATTCTCAGAAACTTGTTTGTGATGTGTGTACCCAGCTAAAGGAGTTGAACATTTCTATTGATAGAGCAGTTTTGAAACACTCTTTTTGTGGAAAATGCAAGTGGATATTTGGATAGCTTGGAGGATTTCGTTGGAAGCGGGAATTCAAATAAAGGTAGACAGCAGCATTCTGAGAAATTAGTTTCTGATGTCTGCATTCAACTCATAGAGTTGAAGATTCCCTTTCATAGAGCAGGTTTGAAACACTGTTTCTGGAGTATCTGGATGTGGACATTTGGAGCGCTTTGATGCCTACGGTGAAAAAGTAAATATCTTCCCATAAGAACGAGACAGAAGGATTCTGAGAAACAAGTTTGTGATGTGTGTACTCAGCTAACAGAGTGGAACCTTTCTTTTTACAGAGCAGCTTTGAAACTCTATTTTTGTGGATTCTGCAAATGGATATTTAGATTGCTTTAATGATACCGCTGGAAAAGGGAATATGGTCATACAAAATCTAGACAGAAGCATTCTCACAAACTTCTTTGTGATGTGTGTCCTCAACTAACAGAGTTGAACCTTTCTTTTGATGCAGCAGTTTGGAAACACTGTTTTTGTAGCAACTGTAATGGATATTTGGATAGCTCTAACGATTTCGTTGGAAACGGGAATATCATCATCTAAAATCTAGACAGAAGCACTATTAGAAACTACTTGGTGATATCTGCATTCAAGTCACAGAGTTGAACATTCCCTTACTTTGAGCACGTTTCAAACACTCTTTTGGAAGAATCTGGAAGTGGACATTTGGAGCGCTTTGATGCCTTTGGTGAAAAGGAAACGTCTTCCAATAAAAGCCAGACAGAAGCATTCTCAGAAACTTGTTTGTGATGTGTGTACTCAACTACAAGAGTTGAACCTTTCTATTGATAGAGCAGTTTTGAAACACTCTTTTGTGGATTCTGCAAGTGGATATTTGGATTGCTTTGAGGATTTCGTTGGAAGCGGGAATTCGTATAAAACTAGACAGCCAGCATTCCCAGAAATTTCTTTCGGATATTTCCATTCAACTCATTGAGATGAACATCGCCTTTCATAGAGCAGGTTTGAAACACTCTTTTTGTAGTTTGTGGAAGTGGACATTTCGATCGCCTTGACGCCTACGGTGAAAAAGGAAATATCTTCCCATAAAAAATAGACAGAGCATTCTCAGAAACTTGTTGGTGATATGTGTCCTCAACTAACAGAGTTGAACTTTGCCATTGATAGAGAGCAGTTTTGAAACACTCTTTTTGTGGAATCTGCAAGTGGATATTTGGATAGCTTGGAGGATTTCGTTGGAAGCGGGAATTCAAATAAAAGGTAGACAGCAGCATTCTCAGAAATTTCTTTCTGATGTCTGCATTCAACTCATAGAGTTGAGCATTCCCTTTCATAGGGCAGGTTTGAAATACTCTTTCTGTAGTATCTGGATGTGGACATTTGGAGCGATTTGAGGCCTACGATGAAAAAGTAAATATCTTCCCATAAAAACGAGACAGAAGGATTCTGAGAAACAAGTTTGTGATGTGTGTACTCAGCTAACAGAGTGGAACCTCTCTTCTGATGCAGCAGTTTGGAAACACTCTTTTTGTAGAAACTGTAAGTGAATATTTGGATAGCTCTAATGATTTCGTTGGAAATGGGAATATCATCAACTAAAATCTAGACAGAAGCCCTCTCAGAAACTACTTTGTGATATCTGTATTCAAGTCACAGAGTTGAACATTCGCTTTCTTAGAGCACGTTGGAAACACTCTTTTTGTAGTGTCTGGAAGTGGACATTTGGAGCGCTTTGATGCCTTTGGTGAAAAAGGGAATGTCTTCCCATAAAAACTAGACAGAAGCATTCTCAGAAACTTGTTTGTGATGTGTGCACCCAGCTAAAGGAGTTGAACATTTATTGATAGAGCAGTTTTGAAGCACTCTTTTTGTGGAAAATGCAAGTGGATATTTGGATAGCTTGGAGGATTTCGTTGGAAGCGGGAGTTCAAATAAAAGGTAGACAGCAGCATTCTCAGAAATTTCTTTCTGATGTCTGCATTCAACTCATAGAGTTGAAGCATTCCCTTTCATAGGAGCAGGTTTGAAACACTCTTTCTGGAGTATCTGGATGTGGACATTTGGAGCGCTTTGATGCCTACGGTGAAAAAGTAAATATCTTCCCATAAAAACGAGACAGAAGGATTCTGAGAAACAAGTTTGTGATGTGTGTACTCAGCTAACAGAGTGGAACCTTTCTTTTTACAGAGCAGCTTTGAAACTCTATTTTTGTGGATTCTGCAAATGGATATTTAGATTGCTTTAACGATATCGTTGGAAAAGGGAATATCGTCATACAAAATCTAGACAGAAGCATTCTCACAAACTTCTTTGTGATGTGTGTCCTCAACTAACAGAGTTGAACCTTTCTTTTGATGCAGCAATTTGGAAACACCCTTTTGGTAGAAACTGTAATTGGATATTTGGATAGCTCTAACGATTTCGTTGGAAACGGGAATATCATCATCTAAAATCTAGACAGAAGCACTATTAGAAACTACTTGGTGATATCTGCATTCAAGACACAGAGTAGAACATTCCCTTACTTTGAGCACGTTTGAAACACTCTTTTGGAAGAATCTGGAAGTGGACATTTGGAGCGCTTTGATGCCTTTGGTGAAAAGGAAACGTCTTCCAATAAAAGCCAGACAGAAGCATTCTCAGAAACTTGTTTGTGATGTGTGTACTCAACTAAAAGAGTTGAACCTTTCTATTGATAGAGCAGTTTTGAAACACTCTTTTTGTGGATTCTGCAAGTGGATATTTGGATTGCTTTGAGGATTTCGTTGGAAGCGGGAATTCGTATAAACACTAGACAGCAGCATTCCCAGAAATTTCTTTCGGATATTTCCATTCAACTCATAGAGATGAACATGGCCTTTCATATTGAAACACACTTTTTGTAGTTTGTGGAAGTGGACATTTCGATCGCCTTGACGCCTACGGTGAAAAAGGAAATATCTTCCCATAAAAAATAGACAGAAGAATTCTCAGAAACTTGTTTGTGATGTGTATCCTCAACTGACAGAGTTGAACCTTGCCATTGATAGAGCAGTTTAGAAACACTCTTTTTGTGGAATCTGCAAGTGGATATTTGGATAGCTTGGAGGATTTCGTTGGAAGCGGGAATTCAAATGAAAGGTAGACAGCAGCATTCTCAGAAATTTCTTTCTGATGTCTGCATTCAACTCATAGCAGTTGAAGATTCCCTTTCATAGAGCAGGTTTGAAACACTCTTTCTGGAGTATCTGGATGTGGACATTTGGAGCGCTTTGATGCCTACGGTGAAAAAGTAAATATCTTCCCATAAAAACGAGACAGAAGGATTCTCAGAAACAAGTTTGTGTTGTGTGTACTCAGCTAACAGAGTGGAACCTTTCTTTTTACAGAGCAGCTTTGAAACTCTATTTTTGTGGATTCTGGAAATTGATATTTAGATTGCTTTAACGATATCGTTGGAAAAGGGAATATCGTCATACAAAATCTGGACAGAAGCCCTCTCAGAAACTACTTTGTGATATCTGCATTCAAGTCACAGAGTTGAACATTCGCTTTCTTAGAGCACGTTGGAAACACTCTTTTTGTAGTGTCTGGAAGTGGACATTTGGAGTGCTTTGATGCCTTTGGTGAAAAAGGGAACGTCTTCCCATAAAAACTAGACAGAAGCATTCTCAGAAACTTGTTTGTGATGTGTGCACCCAGCTAAAGGAGTTGAACATTTATTGATAGAGCAGTTTTGAAGCACTCTTTTTGTGGAAAATGCAAGTGGATATTTGGATAGCTTGGAGGATTTCGTTGGAAGCGGGAATTCAAATAAAAGGTAGACAGCAGGATTCTCAGAAACAAGTTTGTGATGTGTGTACTCAGCTAACAGAGTGGAACCTTTCTTTTTACAGAGCAGCTTTGAAACTCTATTTTTGTGGATTCTGCAAATTGATATTTAGATTGCTTTAACGATATCATTGGAAAAGGGAATATCGTCATACAAAATCTAGACAGAAGCCCTCTCACAAACTACTTTGTGATATCTGCATTCAAGTCACAGAGTTGAACATTCGCTTTCTTAGAGCACGTTGGAAACACTCTTTTTGTAGTGTCTGGAAGTGGACATTTGGAGCGCTTTGATGCCTTTGGTGAAAAAGGGAACGTCTTCCCATAAAAACTAGACAGAAGCATTCTCAGAAACTTGTTTGTGATGTGTGTACCTAGCTAAAGGAGTTGAACATTTCTATTGATAGAGCAGTTTTGAAACACTCTTTTTGTGGAAAATGCAGGTGGATATTTGGATAGGTTGGAAGATTTCGTTGGAAGCGGGAATTCAAATAAATGGTAGACAGCAGGATTCTGAGAAACAAGTTTGTGATATGTGTACTCAGCTAACAGAGTGGAACCTTTCTTTTTACAGAGCAGCTTTGAAACTCTATTTTTGTGGATTCTGCAAATTGATATTTAGATTGCTTTAACGATATCGTTGGAAAAGGGAATATCGTCATACAAAATCTAGACAGAAGCATTCTCACAAACTTCTTTGTGACGTGTGTCCTCATCTAACAGAGTTGAACCTTTCTTTTGATGCAGCAGTTTGGAAACACTGTTTTTGTAGCAACTGTAAGTGGATATTTGGATAGCTCTAACGATTTCGTTGGAAACGGGAATATCATCATCTAAAATCTAGACAGAAGCACTATTAGAAACTACTTGGTGATATCTGCATTCAAGTCACAGAGTTGAACATTCCCTTACTTTGAGCACGTTTCAAACACTCTTTTGGAAGAATCTGGAAGTGGACATTTGGAGCGCTTTGATGCCTTTGGTGAAAAGGAAACGTCTTCCAATAAAAGCCAGACAGAAGCATTCTCAGAAACTTGTTTGTGATGTGTGTACTCAACTAAAAGAGTTGAACCTTTCTATTGATAGAGCAGTTTTGAAACACTCTTTTTGTCGATTCTGCAAGTGGATATTTGGATTGCTTTGAGGATTTCGTTGGAAGCGGCAATTCGTATAAAAACTAGACAGCAGCATTCCCAGAAATTTCTTTCGGATATTTCCATTCAACTCATAGAGATGAACATCGCCTTTCATAGAGCAGGTTTGAAACACTCTTTTTGTAGTTTGTGGAAGTGGACATTTCGATCGCCTTGACGCCTACGGTGAAAAAGGAAATATCTTCCCATAAAAAATAGACAGAAGCATTCTCAGAAACTTGTTGGTGATATGTGTCCTCAACTAACAGAGTTGAACTTTGCCATTGATAGAGAGCAGTTTTGAAACACTCTTTTTGTGGAATCTGCAAGTGGATATTTGGATAGCTTGGAGGATTTCGTTGGAAGCGGGAATTCAAATAAAAGGTAGACAGCAAGCATTCTCAGAAATTTCTTCCTGATGTCTGCATTCAACTCATAGAGTTGAACATTCCCTTTCATAGAGCAGGTTTGAAACACTCTTTCTGGAGTATCTGGATGTGGACATTTGGAGCGCTTTGATGCCTACGGTGAAAAAGTAAATATCTTCCCATAAAAACGAGACAGAAGGATTCTGAGAAACAAGTTTGTGATGTGTGTACTCAGCTAACAGAGTGGAACCTCTCTCTTGATGCAGCAGTTTGGAAACACTCTTTTTGTAGAAACTGTAAGTGGATATTTGGATAGCTCTAATGATTTCGTTGGAAACGGGAATATCATCATCTAAAATCTAGACAGAAGCCCTCTCAGCAAACTACTTTGTGATATCTGCATTCAAGTCAGAGAGTTGAACATTCGCTTTCTTAGAGCACGTTTGAAACACTCTTTTTGTAGTGTCAGGAAGTGGACATTTGGAGCGCTTTGATGCCTTTGGTGAAACAGGGAATGTCTTCCCATAAAAACTAGACAGAAGCATTCTCAGAAACTTGTTTGTGATGTGTGTACCCAGCTAAAGGAGTTGAACGTTTCTATTGATAGAGCAGTTTTGAAACACTCTTTTTGTGGAAAATGCAAGTGGATATTTGGATAGCTTGGAGGATTTCGTTGGAAGCGGGAATTCAAATAAAAGGTAGACAGCAGGATTCTGAGAAACAAGTTTGTGATGTGTGTACTCAGCTAACAGAGTGGAACCTCTCTTTTTACAGAGCAGCTTTGAAACTCTATTTTTGTGGATTCTGCAAATGGATATTTAGATTGCTTTAATGATATCGCTGGAAAAGGGAATATGGTCATACAAAATCTAGACAGAAGCATTCTCACAAACTTCTTTGTGATGTGTGTCCTCAACTAACAGAGTTGAACCTTTCTTTTGATGCAGCAGTTTGGAAACACTCTTTTTGTAGAAACTGTAAGTGGATATTTGGATAGCTCTAACGATTTCGCTGGAAACGGGAATATCGTCATCTAAAATCTAGACAGAAGC
Source organism: Homo sapiens (assembly GCF_000001405.40). NCBI lineage: Eukaryota > Metazoa > Chordata > Mammalia > Primates > Hominidae > Homo > Homo sapiens. The sequence goes on from NC_000021.9 coordinate 12,612,434, forward strand.
ACTATTAGAAACTACTTGGTGATATCTGCATTCAAGTCACAGAGTAGAACATTCCCTTACTTTGAGCACGTTTGAAACACTCTTTTGGAAGAATCTGGAAGTGGACATTTGGAGCGCTTTGATGCCTTTGGTGAAAAGGAAACGTCTTCCAATAAAAGCCAGACAGAAGCATTCTCAGAAACTTGTTTGTGATGTGTGTACCCAGCGAAAGGAGTTGAACATTTCTATTGATAGAGCAGTTTTGAAACACTCTTTTTGTGGAATCTGCAAGTGGATATTTGGATAGCTTGGAGGTTTTCGTTGGAAGCGGGAATTCAAATAAAAGGTAGACAGCATTCTCAGAAACTTGTTTGTGATGTGTGTCCTCAACTGACAGAGTTGTACCTTTCTATTGATAGAGTAGTTTTGAAACACTCTTTTTGTGGAATCTGCAAGTGAATATTTGGATAGCTTGGAGGATTTCGTTGGAAGCGGGAATTCAAATGAAAGGTAGACAGCAGCATTCTCAGAAATTTCTTTCTGATGTCTGCATTCAACTCATAGGAGTTGAAGATTCCCTTTCATAGAGCAGGTTTGAAACACTCTTTCTGGAGTATCTGGATGTGGACATTTGGAGCGCTTTGATGCCTACGGTGAAAAAGTAAATATCTTCCCAGAAAAACGAGACAGAAGGATTCTGAGAAACAAGTTTGTGATGTGTGTACTCACCTAACAGAGTGGAACCTCTCTTTTGATGCAGTAGTTTGGAAACACTCTTTTTGTAGAAACTGTAAGTGGATATTTGGATAGCTCTAATGATTTCGTTGGAAACGGGAATATCATCATCTAAAATCTAGACAGAAGCACTCTCAGAAACTACTTTTTGATATCTGCATTCAAGTCATAGTGTTGAACATTCGCTTTCTTAGAGCACTTTTGAAACACTCTTTTTGTAGTATCTGGAAGTGGACATTTGGAGCTCTTTGATGCCTTTGGTGAAAAAGGAAATGTCTTCCCATAAAATCTAGAAAGAAGCATTCTCAGAAACTTGTTTGTGATGTGTGTACCCAGCCAAAGGAGTTGAACATTTCTATTGATAGAGCAGTTTTGAAACACTCTTGTTGTGGAAAATGCAGGTGGATATTTGGATAGCTTGGAGGATTTCGTTGGAAGCGGGAATTCAAATAAAAAGGTAGACAGCAGCATTCTCAGAAATTTCTTTCTGATGTCTGCATTCAACTCATAGAGTTGAAGATTCCCTTTCATAGGGCAGGTTTGAAACAGTCTTTCTGGAGTATCTGGATGTGGACATTTGGAGCGCTTTGATGCCTACGGTGAAAAAGTAAATATCTTCCCATAAAAACGAGACAGAAGGATTCTCAGAAACAAGTTTGTGATGTGTGTACTCAGCTAACAGAGTGGAACCTTTCTTTTTACAGAGCAGCTTTGAAACTCTATTTCTGTGGATTCTGCAAATTGATATTTAGATTGCTTTAATGATATCGTTGGAAAAGGGAATATCGTCATACAAAATCTAGACAGAAGCATTCTCACAAACTTCTTTGTGATGTGTGTCCTCAACTAACAGAGTTGAACTTTTCTTTTGATGCAGCAGTTTGGAAACACTCTTTTTGTAGAAAGTGTAAGTGGATATTTGGATAGCTCTAACGATTTCGTTGGAAACGGGAATATCATCATCTAAAATCTAGACAGAAGCACTATTAGAAACTACTTGGTGATATCTGCATTCAAGTCACAGAGTTGAACATTCCCTTACTTTGAGCACGTTTGAAACACTCTTTTGGAAGAATCTGGAAGTGGACATTTGGAGCGCTTTGATGCCTTTGGTGAAAAGGAAACGTCTTCCAATAAAAGCCAGACAGAAGCATTCTCAGAAACTTGTTTGTGATGTGTGTACTCAACTAAAAGAGTTGAACCTTTCTATTGATAGAGCAGTTTTGAAACACTCTTTTTGTGGATTCTGCAAGTGGATATTTGGATTGCTTTGAGGATTTCGTTGGAAGCGGGAATTCATATAAAAACTAGACAGCAGCATTCCCAGAAATTTCTTTCGGATATTTCCATTCAACTCATAGAGATGAACATCGCCTTTCATAGAGCAGGTTTGAAACACTCTTTTTGTAGTTTGTGGAAGTGGACATTTCGATCGCCTTGACGCCTACAGTGAAAAAGGAAATATCTTCCCATAAAAAATAGACAGAAGCATTCTCAGAAACTTGTTGGTGATATGTGTCCTCAACTAACAGAGTTGAACTTTGCCATTGATAGAGAGCAGTTTTGAAACACTCTTTTTGTGGAATCTGCAAGTGGATATTTGGATAGCTTGGAGGATTTCGTTGGAAGCGGGAATTCAAATAAAAGGTAGACAGCAGCATTCTCAGAAATTTCTTTCTGATGTCTGCATTCAACTCATAGAGTTGAAGATTCCCTTTCATAGAGCAGGTTTGAAACACTCTTTCTGGAGTATCTAGATGTGGACATTTGGAGCGCTTTGATGCCTACGGTGAAAAAGTAAATATCTTCCCATAAAAACGAGACAGAAGGATTCTGAGAAACAAGTTTGTGATGTGTGTACTCAGCTAACAGAGTGGAACCTCTCTTTGGATGCAGCAGTTTGGAAACACTCTTTTTGTAGAAACTGTAAGTGGATATTTGGATAGCTCTAATGATTTCGTTGGAAACGGGAATATCATCATCTAAAATCTAGACAGAAGCCGTCTCAGAAAGTACTTTGTGATATCTGCATTCAAGTCACAGAGTTGAACATTCGGTTTCTTAGAGCACGTTTGAAACACTCTTTTTGTAGTGTCTGGAAGTGGACATTTGGAGCGCTTTGATGCCTTTGGTGAAAAAGGGAATGTCTTCCCATAAAAACTAGACAGAAGCATTCTCAGAAACTTGTTTGTGATGTGTGTACCCAGCTAAAGGAGTTGAACATTTCTATTGATAGAGCAGTTTTGAAACACTCTTTTTGTGGAAAATGCAAGTGGATATTTGGATAGCTTGGAGGCTTTCGTTGGAAGCGGGATTTCAAATAAAAGGTAGACAACAGCATTTCTCAGAAATTTCTTTCTGATGTCTGCATTCAACTCATAGAGTTGAAGATTCCCTTTCATAGAGCAGGTTTGAAACACTCTTTCTGGAGTATCTGGATGTGGACATTTGGAGCGCTTTGATGCCTACGGTGGAAAAGTAAATATCTTCCCATAAAAACGAGACAGAAGGATTCTGAGAAACAAGTTTGTGATGTGTGTACTCAGCTAACAGAGTGGAACCTTTCTTTTTACAGAGCAGCTTTGAAACTCTATTTTTGTGGATTCTGCAAATGGATATTTAGATTGCTTTAATGATATCGTTGGAAAAGGGAATATCGTCATACAAAATCTAGACAGAAGCATTCTCACAAACTTCTTTGTGATGTGTGTCCTCAACTAACAGAGTTGAACCTTTCTTTTGATGCAGCAGTTTGGAAACACTCTTTTTGTAGAAACTGTAAGTGGATATTTGGATAGCTCTAACGATTTCGTTGGAAACGGGAATATCATCATCTAAAATCTAGATAGAAGCACTATTAGAAACTACTTGGTGATATCTGTATTCAAGTCACAGAGTTGAACATTCCCTTACTTTGAGCACGTTTGAAACACTCTTTTGGAAGAATCTGGAAGTGGACATTTGGAGCGCTTTGATGCCTTTGGTGAAAAGGAAACGTCTTCCAATAAAAGCCAGAGAGAAGCATTCTCAGAAACTTGTTCGTGATGTGTGTACTCAACTAAAAGAGTTGAACCTTTCTATTGATAGAGCAGTTTTGAAACACTCTTTTTGTGGATTCTGCAAGTGGATATTTGGATTGCTTTGAGGATTTCGTTGGAAGCGGGAATTCATATAAAAACTAGACAGCAGCATTCCCAGAAATTTTTTTCGGATATTTCCATTCAACTCATAGAGATGAACATGGCCTTTCATAGAGCAGGTTTGAAACACTCTTTTTGTAGTTTGTGGAAGTGGACATTTCGATCGCCTTGACGCCTACGGTGAAAAAGGAAATATCTTCCCATAAAAAATAGACAGAAGCATTCTCAGAAACTTGTTGGTGATATGTGTCCTCAACTAACAGAGTTGAACTTTGCCATTGATAGAGAGCAGTTTTGAAACACTCTTTCTGTGGAATCTGCAAGTGGATATTTGGATAGCTTGGAGGATTTCGTTGGAAGCGGGAATTCAAATAAAAGGTAGACAGCAGCATTCTCAGAAATTTCTTTCTGATGTCTGCATTCAACTCATAGAGTTGAAGATTCCCTTTCATAGAGCAGGTTTGAAAAACTCTTTCTGTACTATCTGGATGTGGACATTTGGAGCGCTTTGATGCCTACGGTGAAAAAGTAAATATCTTCCCATAAAAACGAGACAGAAGGATTCTGAGAAACAAGTTTGTGATGTGTGTACTCAGCTAACAGAGTGGAACCTCTCTTTTGATGCAGCAGTTTGGAAACACTCTTTTTGTAGAAACTGTAAGTGGATATTTGGATAGCTCTAATGATTTCGTTGGAAACGGGAATATCATCGTCTAAAATCTAGACAGAAGCCCTCTCAGAAACTACTTTGTGATATCTGCATTCAAGTCACAGAGTTGAACATTCGGTTTCTTAGAGCACGTTTGAAACACTCTTTTTGTAGTGTCTGGAAGTGGACATTTGGAGCGCTTTGATGCCTTTGGTGAAAAAGGGAACGTCTTCCCATAAAAACTAGACAGAAGCATTCTCAGAAACTTGTTTGTGATGTGTGTACCCAGCTAAAGGAGTTGAATATTTCTATTGACAGAGCAGTTATGAAACACTTTTTTTGTGGAAAATGCAAGTGGATATTTGGATAGCTTGGAGGATTTCGTTGGAAGCGGGAATTCAAATAAAAGGTAGACAGCAGCATTCTCAGAAATTTCTTTCTGATGTCTGCATTCAACTCATAGAGTTGAAGATTCCCTTTCATAGAGCAGGTTTGAAACACTCGTTCTGGAGTATCTGGATGTGGACCTTTGGAGCGCTTTGATGCCTACGGTGGAAAAGTAAATATCTTCCCATAAAAACGAGACAGAAGGGATTCTCAGAAACAAGTTTGTGATGTGTGTACTCAGCTAACAGAGTGGAACCTTTCTTTTTACAGAGCAGCTTTGAAACTCTATTTTTGTGGATTCTGCAAATTGATATTTAGATTGCTTTAACGATATCGTTGGAAAAGGGAATATCGTCATACAAAATCTAGACAGAAGCATTCTCACAAACTTCTTTGTGATGTGTGTCCTCAACTAACAGAGTTGAACCTTTCTTTTGATGCAGCAATTTGGAAACACCCTTTTGGTAGAAACTGTAACTGGATATTTGGATAGCTCTAACGATTTCCTTGGAAACGGGAATATCATCATCTAAAATCTAGACAGAAGCACTATTAGAAACTACTTGGTGATATCTGCATTCAAGTCACAGAGTTGAACATTCCCTTACTTTGAGCACGTTTCAAACACTCTTTTGGAAGAATCTGGAAGTGGACATTTGGAGCGCTTTGATGCCTTTGGTGAAAAGGAAACGTCTTCCAATAAAAGCCAGACAGAAGCATTCTCAGAAACTTGTTTGTGATGTGTGTACTCAACTAAAAGAGTTGAACCTTTCTATTGATAGAGCAGTTTTGAAACACTCTTTTTGTGGATTCTGCAAGTGGATATTTGGATTGCTTTGAGGATTTCGTTGGAAGCGGGAATTCGTATAAAACTAGACAGCAGCATTCCCAGAAAATTTCTTTCGGATATTTCCATTCGACTCATAGAGATGAACATGGCCTTTCATAGAGCAGGTTTGAAACACTCTTTTTGTAGTTTGTGGAAGTGGACATTTCGATCGCCTTGACGCCTACGGTGAAGAAGGAAATATCTTCCCATAAAAAATAGACAGAAGCATTCTCAGAAACTTGTTTGTGATGTGTGTACCCAGCCAAAGGAGTTGAACATTTCTATTGATAGAGCAGTTTTGAAACACTCTTGTTGTGGAAAACGCAGGTGGATATTTGGATAGCTTGGAGGATTTCGTTGGAAGCGGGAATTCAAATAAAAGGTAGACAGCAGCATTCTCAGAAATTTCTTTGTGATGTTTGCCTTCAACTCATAGAGTTGAACATTCCCTTTCATAGAGCAGGTTTGAAACACTCTTTCTGTACTATCTGGATGTGGACATTGGGATCGCTTTGATGCCTATGGTGAAAAAGGAAATATCTTCCCATAAAAGCTAGACAGAAGGATTCTGAGAAACAAGTTTGTGATGTGTGTACTCAGCTAACAGAGTGGAACCTCTCTTTTGATGCAGCAGTTTGGAAACACTCTTTTTGTAGAAACTGTAAGTGGATATTTGGAAGCTCTAATGATTTTGTTGGAAACGGGAATATCATCATCTAAAATCTAGACAGAAGCCCTCTCAGAAACTACTTTGTGATATCTGCATTCAAGTCACAGAGTTGAACATTCGGTTTCTTAGAGCACGTTTGAAACACTCTTTTTGTAGTGTCTGGAAGTGGACATTTGGAGCGCTTTGGTGCCTTTGGTGAAAAAGGGAATGTCTTCCCATAAAAACTAGACAGAAGCATTCTCAGAAACTTGTTTGTGATGTGTGTACCCAGCTAAAGGAGTTGAACGTTTCTATTGATAGAGCAGTTTTGAAACACTCTTTTTGTGGAAAATGCAAGTGGATGTTTGGATAGCTAGGAGGATTTCGTTGGAAGCGGGAATTCAAATAAAAGGTAGACAGCAGGATGCTGAGAAACAAGTTTGTGATGTGTGTACTCAGCTAACAGAGTGGAACCTTTCTTTTTACAGAGCAGCTTTGAAACTCTATTTTTGTGGATTCTGCAAATGGATATTTAGATTGCTTTAATGATATCGCTGGAAAAGGGAATATGGTCATACAAAATCTAGACAGAAGCATTCTCACAAACTTCTTTGTGATGTGTGTCCTCAACTAACAGAGGTTGAACCTTTCTTTTGATGCAGCAATTTGGAAACACCCTTTTGGTAGAAACTGTAACTGGATATTTGGATAGCTCTAACGATTTCGTTGGAAACGGGAATATCATCATCTAAAATCTAGACAGAAGCACTATTAGAAACTACTTGGTGATATCTGCATTCAAGTCACAGAGTTGAACATTCCCTTACTTTGAGCACGTTTCAAACACTCTTTTGGAAGAATCTGGAAGTGGACATTTGGAGCGCTTTGATGCCTTTGGTGAAAAGGAAACGTCTTCCAATAAAAGCCAGACAGAAAACATTCTCAGAAACTTGTTTGTGATGTGTGTACTCAACTAAAAGAGTTGAACCTTTCTATTGATAGAGCAGTTTTGAAACACTCTTTTTGTGGATTCTGCAAGTGGATATTTGGATTGCTTTGAGGATTTCGTTGGAAGCGGGAATTCATATAAAAACTAGACAGCAGCATTCCCAGAAATTTCTTTCGGATATTTCCATTCAACTCATAGAGATGAACATCGCCTTTCATAGAGCAGGTTTGAAACACTCTTTTTGTAGTTTGTGGAAGTGGACATTTCGATCGCCTTGACGCCTACGGTGAAAAAGGAAATATCTTCCCATAAAAAATAGACAGAAGCATTCTCAGAAACTTGTTGGTGATATGTGTCCTCAACTAACAGAGTTGAACTTTGCCATTGATAGAGAGCAGTTTTGAAACACTCTTTTTGTGGAATCTGCAAGTGGATATTTGGATAGCTTGGAGGATTTCGTTGGAAGCGGGAATTCAAATAAAAGGTAGACAGCAGCATTCTCAGAAATTTCTTTCTGATGTCTGCATTCAACTCATAGAGTTGAACATTCCCTTTCATAGAGCAGGTTTGAAACACTCTTTCTGGAGTATCTGGATGTGGGCATTTGGAGCGCTTTGATGCCTACGGTGAAAAAGTAAATATCTTCCCATAAAAACGAGACAGAAGGATTCTGAGAAACAAGTTTGTGATGTGTGTACTCAGCTAACAGAGTGGAACCTCTCTTTTGATGCAGCAGTTTGGAAACACTCTTTTTGTAGAAACTGTAAGTGGATATTTGGATAGCTCTAATGATTTCGTTGGAAACGGGAATATCATCATCTAAAATCTAGACAGAAGCCCTCTCAGAAACTACTTTGTGATATCTGCATTCAAGTCACAGAGTTGAACATTCGCTTTCTTAGAGCACGTTTGCAACACTCTTTTTGTAGTGTCTGGAAGTGGACATTTGGAGCGCTTTGATGCCTTTGGTGAAAAAGGGAACGTCTTCCCATAAAAACTAGACAGAAGCATTCTCAGAAACTTGTTTGTGATGTGTGTACCCAGCTAAAGGAGTTGAACATTTCTATTGATAGAGCAGTTTTGAAACACTCTTTTTGTGGAAAATGCAGGTGGATATTTGGATAGCTTGGAGGATTTCGTTGGAAGCGGGATTTCAAATAAAAGGTAGACAACAGCATTCTCAGAAATTTCTTTCTGATGTCTGCATTCAACTCATAGAGTTGAAGATTCCCTTTCATAGAGCAGGTTTGAAACACTCTTTCTGGAGTATCTGGATGTGGACATTTGGAGCGCTTTGATGCCTATGGTGAAAAAGTAAATATCTTCCCATAAAAACGAGACAGAAAGGATTCTGAGGAAACAAGTTTGTGATGTGTGTACTCAGCTAACAGAGTGGAACCTTTCTTTTTACAGAGCAGCTTTGAAACTCTATTTTTGTGGATTCTGCAAATTGATATTTAGATTGCTTTAACGATATCGTTGGAAAAGGGAATATCGTCATACAAAATCTAGACAGAAGCATTCTCACAAACTTCTTTGTGATGTGTGTCCTCAACTAACAGAGTTGAACCTTTCTTTTGATGCAGCAATTTGGAAACACCCTTTTGGTAGAAACTGTAACTGGATATTTGGATAGCTCTAACGATTTCGTTGGAAACGGGAATATCATCATCTAAAATGTAGACAGAAGCACTATTAGAAACTACTTGGTGATATCTGCATTCAAGTCAAAGAGTTGAACATTCCCTTACTTTGAGCACGTTTGAAACACTCTTTTGGAAGAATCTGGAAGTGGACATTTGGAGCGCTTTGATGCCTTTGGTGAAAAGGAAACGTCTTCCAATAAAAGCCAGACAGAAGCATTCTGAGAAACTTGTTCGTGATGTGTGTACTCAACTAAAAGAGTTGAACCTTTCTATTGATAGAGCAGTTTTGAAACACTCTTTTTGTGGATTCTGCAAGTGGATATTTGGATTGCTTTGAGGATTTCGTTGGAAGCGGGAATTCGTACAAACACTAGACAACAGCATTCCCAGAAATTTCTTTCGGATATTTCCATTCAACTCATAGAGATGAACATGGCCTTTCATAGAGCAGGTTTGAAACACTCTTTTTGTAGTTTGTGGAAGTGGACATTTCGATCGCCTTGACGCCTACGGTGAAAAAGGAAATATCTTCCCATAAAAAATAGACAGAAGCATTCTCAGAAACTTGTTGGTGATATGTGTCCTCAACTAACAGAGTTGAACTTTGCCATTGATAGAGAGCAGTTTTGAAACACTCTTTTTCCTGAATCTGCAAGTGGATATTTGGATAGTTTGGAGGATTTCGTTGGAAGCGGGAATTCAAATAAAAGGTAGACAGCAGCATTCTCAGAAATTTCTTTCTGATGTCTGCATTCAACTCATAGAGTTGAAGATTCCCTTTCATAGAGCAGGTTTGAAACACTCTTTCTGGAGTATCTGGATGTGGACATTTGGAGCGCTTTGATGCCTACGGTGGAAAAGTAAATATCTTCCCATAAAAACGAGACAGAAGGATTCTGAGAAACAAGTTTGTGATGTGTGTACTCAGCTAACAGAGTGGAACCTCTCTTTTGATGCAGCAGTTTGGAAACACTCTTTTTGTAGAAACTGTAAGTGGATATTTGGATAGCTCTAATGATTTCGTTGGAAACGGGAATATCATCATCTAAAATCTAGCCAGAAGCACTCTCAGAAACTACTTTTTGATATCTGCATTCAAGTCACAGACTTGAACATTCGCTTTCTTAGAGCACTTTTGAAACACTCTTTTTGTAGTATCTGGAAGTGGACATTTGGAGCTCTTTGATGCCTTTGGTGAAAAAGGAAATGTCTTCCCATAAAAACTAGACAGAAGCTTTCTCAGAAACTTGTTTGTGATGTGTGTACCCAGCGAAAGGAGTTGAACATTTCTATTGATAGAGCAGTTTTGAAACACTCTTTTTGTGGAATCTGCAAGTGGATATTTGGATAGCTTGTAGGTTTTCGTTGGAAGCGGGAATTCAAATAAAAGGTAGACAGCAGGATTCTGAGAAATAAGTTTGTGATGTGTGTACTCAGCTAACAGAGTGGAACCTCTCTTTTGATGCAGCAGTTTGGAAACACTCTTTTTGTAGAAACTGTAAGTGGATATTTGGATAGCTCTAATGATTTCGTTGGAAACGGGAATATCATCATCTAAAATCTAGACAGAAGCATTCTCACAAACTTCTTTGTGATGTGTGTCCTCAACTAACAGAGTTGAACCTTTCTTTTGATGCAGCAATTTGGAAACACCCTTTTGGTAGAAACTGTAACTGGATATTTGGATAGCTCTAACGATTTCGTTGGAAAAGGGAATATCATCATCTAAAATGTAGACAGAAGCACTATTAGAAACTACTTGGTGATATCTGCATTCAAGTCACAGAGTTGAACATTCCCTTACTTTGAGCACGTTTCAAACACTCTTTTGGAAGAATCTGGAAGTGGACATTTGGAGCGCTTTGATGCCTTTGGTGAAAAGGAAACGTCTTCCAATAAAAGCCAGACAGAAGCATTCTCAGAAACTTGTTTGTGATGTGTGTACTCAACTAAAAGAGTTGAACCTTTCTATTGACAGAGCAGTTTTGAAACACTCTTTTTGTGGATTCTGCAAGTGGATATTTGGATTGCTTTGAGGATTTCGTTGGAAGCGGGAATTCGTATAAAAACTAGACAGCAGCATTCCCAGAAATTTCTTTCGGATATTTCCATTCACCTCATAGAGATGAACATGGCCTTTCAGAGAGCAGGTTTGAAACACTCTTTTTGTAGTTTGTGGAAGTGGACATTTCGATCGCCTTGACGCCTACGGTGAAAAAGGAAATATCTTCCCATAAAAAATAGACAGAAGCATTCTCAGAAACTTGTTGGTGATATGTGTCCTCAACTAACAGAGTTGAACTTTGCCATTGATAGAGAGCAGTTTTGAAACACTCTTTTTGTGGAATCTGCAAGTGGATATTTGGATAGCTTGGAGGATTTCGTTGGAAGCGGGAATTCAAATAAAAGGTAGACAGCAGCATTCTCAGAAATTTCTTTCTGATGTCTGCATTCAACTCATAGAGTTGAAGATTCCCTTTCATAGAGCAGGTTTGAAACACTCTTTCTGGAGTATCTGGATGTGGACATTTGGAGCGCTTTGATGCCTACGGTGAAAAAGTAAATATCTTCCCATAAGAACGAGACAGAAGGATTCTGAGAAACAAGTTTGTGATGTGTGTACTCAGCTAACAGAGTGGAACCTCTCTTTTGATGCAGCAGTTTGGAAACACTCTTTTTGTAGAAACTGTAAGTGGATATTTGGATAGCTCTAATGATTTCGTTGGAAACGGGAATATCATCATCTAAAATCTAGACAGAAGCACTCTCAGAAACTACTTTTTGATATCTGCATTCAAGTCACAGAGTTGAACATTCGCTTTCTTAGAGCACTTTTGAAACACTCTTTTTGTAGTATCTGGAAGTGGACATTTGGAGCTCCTTGATGCCTTTGGTGAAAAAGGAAATGTCTTCCAATAAAAACTAGACAGAAAGCATTCTCAGAAACTTGTTTGTGATGTGTGTACCCAGCCAAAGGAGTTGAACATTTCTATTGATAGAGCAGTTTTGAAACACTCTTTTTGTGGAAAATGCAGGTGGATATTTGGATAGCTTGGAGGATTTCGTTGGAAGCGGGAATTCAAATAAAAGGTAGACAGCAGGATTCTCAGAAACAAGTTTGTGATGTGTGTACTCAGCTAACAGAGTGGAACCTTTCTTTTTACAGAGCAGCTTTGAAACTCTATTTTTGTGGATTTTGCAAATTGATATTTAGATTGCTTTAACGATATCGTTGGAAAAGGGAATATTGTCATACAAAATCTGGACAGAAGCATTCTCACAAACTTCTTTGTGATGTGTGTCCTCAACTAACAGAGTTGAACCTTTCTTTTGATGCAACAGTTTGGAAACACCCTTTTGGTAGAAACTGTAAGTGGATATTTGGATAGCTCTAACGATTTCGTTGGAAACGGGAATATCATCATCTAAAATCTAGACAGAAGCACTATTAGAAACTACTTGGTGATATCTGCATTCAAGTCACAGATTTGAACATTCCCTTACTTTGAGCACGTTTGAAACACTCTTTTGGAAGAATCTGGAAGTGGACATTTGGAGCGCTTTGATGCCTTTGGTGAAAAGGAAACGTCTTCCAATAAAAGCCAGACAGAAGCATTCTCAGAAACTTGTTCGTGATGTGTGTACTCAACTAAAAGTGTTGAACCTTTCTATTGATAGTGCAGTTTTGAAACACTCTTTTTGTGGATTCTGCAAGTGGATATTTGGATTGCTTTGAGGATTTCGTTGGAAGCGGGAATTCGTATAAAAACTAGACAGCAGCATTCCCAGAAATTTCTTTCGGATATTTCCATTCAACTCATAGAGATGAACATGGCCTTTCATAGAGCAGGTTTGAAACACTCTTTTTGTAGTTTGTGGAAGTGGACATTTCGATCGCCTTGACGCCTACGGTGAAAAAGGAAATATCTTCCCATAAAAAATAGACAGAAGCATTCTCAGAAACTTGTTGGTGATATGTGTCCTCAACTAACAGAGTTGAACTTTGCCATTGATAGAGAGCAGTTTTGAAACACTCTTTTTGTGGAATCTGCAAGTGGATATTTGGATAGCTTGGAGGATTTCGTTGGAAGCGGGAATTCAAATAAAAGGTAGACAGCAGCATTCTCAGAAATTTCTTTCTGATGTCTGCATTCAACTCATAGAGTTGAACATTCCCTTTCATAGGACAGGTTTGAAATACTCTTTCTGTAGTATCTGGATGTGGACATGTGGAGCGCTTTGATGCCTACAGTGAAAAAGTAAATATCTTCCCCCATAAAAACGAGACAGAAGGATTCTGAGAAACAAGTTTGTGATGTGTGTACTCAGCTAACAGAGTGGAACCTCTGTTTTGATGCAGCAGTTTGGAAACACTCTTTTTGTAGAAACTGTAAGTGGATATTTGGATAGCTCTAATGATTTCGTTGGAAACGGGAATATCATCATCTAAAATCTAGACAGAAGCCCTCTCAGAAACTACTTTGTGATATCTGCATTCAAGTCACAGAGTTGAACATTCGCTTTCTTAGAGCACGTTTGAAACACTCTTTTTGTAGTGTCTGGAAGTGGACATTTGGAGCGCTTTGATTCCTTTTGTGAAAAAGGGAATGTCTACCCATAAAAACTAGACAGAAGCATTCTCAGAAACTTGTTTGTGATGTGTGTACCCAGCTAAAGGAGTTGAACATGTCTATTGATAGAGCAGTTTTGAAACACTCTTTTTGTGGAAAATGCAAGTGGATATTTGCATAGCTTGGAGGATTTCGTTGGAAGCGGGAGTTCAAATAAAAGGTAGACAGCAGGATTCTGAGAAACAAGTTTGTGATGTGTGTACTCAGCTAACAGAGTGGAACCTTTCTTTTTACAGAGCAGCTTTGAAACTCTATTTTTGTGGATTCTGCAAATGGATATTTAGATTGCTTTAATGATATCGCTGGAAAAGGGAATAGGTCATACAAAATATAGACAGAAGCATTCTCACAAACTTCTTTGTGATGTGTGTCCTCAACTAACAGAGTTGAACCTTTCTTTTGATGCAGCAGTTTGGAAACACTCTTTTGGTAGAAACTGTAACTGGATATTTGGATAGATCTAACGATTTCGTTGGAAACGGGAATATCATCATCTAAAATCTAGACAGAAGCACTATTAGAAACTACTTGGTGATATCTGCATTCAAGTCACAGAGTTGAACATTCCCTTACTTTGAGCACGTTTGAAACACTCTTTTGGAAGAATCTGGAAGTGGACATTTGGAGCGCTTTGATGCCTTTGGTGAAAAGGAAACGTCTTCCAATAAAAGCCAGACAGAAGCATTCTCAGAAACTTGTTCGTGATGTGTGTACTCAACTAAAAGAGTTGAACCTTTCTATTGATAGAGCAGTTTTGAAACACTCTTTTTGTGGATTCTGCAAGTGGATACTTGGATTGCTTTGAGGATTTCGTTGGAAGCGGGAATTCGTATAAACACTAGACAGCAGCATTCCCAGTAAATTTCTTTCGGATATTTCCATTCAACTCATAGAGATGAACATCGCCTTTCATAGAGCAGGTTTGAAACACTCTTTTTGTAGTTTGTGGAAGTGGACATTTCGATCGCCTTGACGCCTACGGTGAAAAAGGAAATATCTTCCCATAAACAATAGACAGAAGCATTCTCAGAAACTTGTTGGTGATATGTGTCCTCAACTAACAGAGTTGAACCTTGCCATTGATAGAGAGCAGTTTTGAAACACTCTTTTTGTGGAATCTGCAAGTGGATATTTGGATAGCTTGGAGGATTTCGTTGCAAGCGGGAATTCAAATAAAAGGTAGACAGCAGCATTCTCAGAAATTTCTTTCTGATGTCTGCATTCAACTCATAGAGTTGAAGATTCCCTTTCATAGAGCAGGTTTGAAACACTCTTTCTGGAGTATCTGGATGTGGACATTTGGAGCGCTTTGATGCCTACGGTGAAAAAGTAAATATCTTCCCAGAAAAACGAGACAGAAGGATTCTCAGAAACAAGTTTGTGATGTGTGTACTCAGCTAACAGAGTGGAACCTCTCTTTTGATGCAGCAGTTTGGAAACACTCTTTTTGTAGAAACCGTAAGTGGATATTTGGATAGCTCTAATGATTTCGTTGGAAACGGGAATATCATCATCTAAAACCTAGACAGAAAGCCCTCTCAGAAACTACTTTGTGATATCTGCATTCAAGTCACAGAGTTGAACATTCGCTTTCTTAGAGCACGTTGGAAACACTCTTTTTGTAGTGTCTGGAAGTGGACATTTGGAGCGCTTTGATTCCTTTGGTGAAAAAGGGAATGTCTACCCATAAAAACTAGACAGAGCATTCTCAGAAACTTGTTTGTGATGTGTGTACCCAGCCAAAGGAGTTGAACATTTCTATTGATAGAGCAGGTTTGAAACACTCTTTTTGTGGAAAATGCAGGTGGATATTTGGATAGCTTGGAGGATTTCGTTGGAAGCGGGAATTCAAATAAAAGGTAGACAGCAGCATTCTAAGAAATTTCTTTCTGATGTCTGCATTCAACTCATAGAGTTGAAGATTCCCTTTCATAGAGCAGGTTTGAAACACTCTTTCTGGAGTATCTGGATGTGGACATTTGGAGCGCTTTGATGCCTACGGTGAAAAAGTAAATATCTTCCCATAAAAACGAGACAGAAGGATTCTCAGAAAGAAGTTTGTGATGTGTGTACTCAGCTAACAGAGTGGAACCTTTCTTTTTACAGAGCAGCTTTGAAACTCTATTTTTGTGGATTCTGCAAATTGATATTTAGATTGCTTTAACGATATCGTTGGAAAAGGGAATATCGTCATACAAAATCTAGACAGAAGCATTCTCACAAACTTCTTTGTGATGTGTCTCCTCAACTAACAGAGTTGAACCTTTCTTTTGATGCAGCAGTTTGGAAACACTCTTTTTGTAGAAACTGTAAGTGGATATTTGGATAGCTCTAACGATTTCGTTGGAAACGGGAATATCATCATCTAAAATCTAGACAGAAGCACTATTAGAAACTACTTGGTGATATCTGCATTCAAGTCACAGAGTTGAACATTCCCTTACTTTGAGCACGTTTGAAACACTCTTTTGGAAGAATCTGGAAGTGGACATTTGGAGCGCTTTGATGCCTTTGGTGAAAAGGAAACGTCTTCCAATAAAAGACAGACAGAAGCATTCTCAGAAACTTGTTCGTGATGTGTGTACTCAACTAAAAGAGTTGAACCTTTCTATTGATAGAGCAGTTTTGAAACACTCTTTTTGTGGATTCTGCAAGTGGATATTTGGATTGCTTTGAGGATTTCGTTGGAAGCGGGAATTCGTATAAACACTAGACAGCAGCATTCCCAGAAATTTCTTTCGGATATTTCCATTCAACTCATAGAGATGAACATGGCCTTTCATAGAGCAGGTTTGAAACACTCTTTTTGTAGTTTGTAGAAGTGGACATTTCGATCGCCTTGACGCCTACCGTGAAAAAGGAAATATCTTCCCATAAAAAATAGACAGAAGCATTCTCAGAAACTTGTTGGTGATATGTGTCCTCAACTAACAGAGTTGAACTTTGCCATTGATAGAGAGCAGTTTTGAAACACTCTTTTTGTGGAATCTGCAAGTGGATATTTGGATAGCTTGGAGGATTTCGTTGGAAGCGGGAATTCAAATAAAAGGTAGACAGCAGCATTCTCAGAAATTTCTTTCTGATGTCTGCATTCAACTCATAGAGTTGAAGATTCCCTTTCATAGAGCAGGTTTGAAACACTCTTTCTGGAGTATCTGGATGTGGACATTTGAAGCGCTTTGATGCCTACGGTGAAAAAGTAAATATCTTCCCATAAAAACGAGACAGAAGGATTCTGAGAAACAAGTTTGTGATGTGTGTACTCGGGCTAACAGAGTGGAACCTCTCTTTTGATGCAGCAGTTTGGAAACACTCTTTTTGTAGAAACTGTAAGTGGATATTTGGATAGCTCTAATGATTTCGTTGGAAACGGGAATATCATCATCTAAAATCTAGACAGAAGCATTCTCAGAAATTTCTTTCTGATGTTTGCATTCAACTCATAGAGTTGAACATTCCCTTTAATAGAGCAGGTTTGAAACACTCTTTCTGTACTATCCGGATGTGGACATTTGGAGCGCTTTGACGCCTACGGTGAAAAAGGAAATGTCTTCCCATAAAAAATTGAAGAATTCTCAGAAACTTGTTTGTGATGTGTGTCCTCAACTGACAGAGTTGTACCTTTCTATTGATAGAGTAGTTTTGAAACACTCTTTTTGTGGAATCTGCAAGTGAATATTTGGATAGCTTGGAGGATTTCGTCGGAAGCGGGAATTCAAATGAAAGGTAGACAGCAGCATTCTCAGAAATTACTTTCTGTTGTCTGCATTCAACTCATAGAGTTGAAGATTCCCTTTCATAGAGCAGGTTTGAAACACTCTTTCTGTAGTATCTGGATGTGGACATTTGGAGCGCTTTGATACCTACGGTGAAAAAGTAAATATCTTCCCATAAAAACTAGACAGAAGGATTCTCAGAAACAAGTTTGTGATGTGTGTACTCAGCTAACAGAGTGGATCCTTTCTTTTTACAGAGCAGC
This sequence comes from Homo sapiens, assembly GCF_000001405.40. Taxonomy (NCBI): domain Eukaryota; kingdom Metazoa; phylum Chordata; class Mammalia; order Primates; family Hominidae; genus Homo; species Homo sapiens. The sequence goes on from NC_000021.9 coordinate 12,630,007, forward strand.
TTTGAAACTCTATTTCTGTGGATTCTGCAAATTGACATTTGGGTTGATTTAACGACATCGTTGGAAAAGGGAATATCTTCATACAAAATCTAGACAGAAGCTTTCTCAGAAACTTCTTTGTGATGTGTGTCCTCAACTAACAGACTTGAACCTTTCTTTTGATGCAGCAGTTTGGAAACACTCTTTTTGTAGAAACTGTAAGTGGATATTTGGATAGGTCTAACGATATCGTTGGAAACGGGAATATCTTCATCTAAAGTATACACAGAAGCACTATTAGAAACTACTTGGTGATATCTGCATTCAAGTCACAGAGTTGAACATTCCCTTACTTTGAGCACGTTTCAAACACTCTTTTGGAAGAATCTGGAAGTGGACATTTGGAGCGCTTTGATGCCTTTGGTGAAAAGGAAACGTCTTCCAATAAAAGCCAGACAGAAGCATTCTCAGAAACTTGTTCGTGATGTGTGTACTCAACTAAAAGGGTTGAACCTTTCTATTGATAGAGCAGTTTTGAAACACTCTTTTTGTGGATTCTGCAAGTGGATATTTGGATTGCTTTGAGGATTTCGTTGGAAGCGGGAATTCGTATAAAAACTAGACAGCAGCATTCCCAGAAATTTCTTTCGGATATTTCCATTCAACTCATAGAGATGAACATGGCCTTTCATAGAGCAGGTTTGAAACACTCTTTTTGTAGTTTGTGGAAGTGGACATTTCGATCGCCTTGACGCCTACGGTGAAAAAGGAAATATCTTCCCATAAAAAATAGACAGAAGAATTCTCAGAAACTTGTTTGTGATGTGTATCCTCAACTGACAGAGTTGAACCTTGCCATTGATAGAGCAGTTTAGAAACCCTCTTTTTGTGGAATCTGCAAGTGGATATTTGGATAGCCTGGAGGATTTCGTTGGAAGCGGGAATTCAAATGAAAGGTAGACAGCAGCATTCTCAGAAATTTCTTTGTGATGTTTGCATTCAACTCATAGAGTTGAACATTCCCTTTCATAGAGCAGGTTTGAAACACTCTTTCTGTACTATCTGGATGTGGACATTTGGAACGCTTTGATGCCTACGGTGAAAAATTAAATATCTTCCCATAAAAGCTAGACAGAAGGATTCTCAGAAACAAGTTTGTGATGTGTGTACTCAGCTAACAGAGTGGAACCTCACTTTTGATGCAGCAGTTTGGAAACACTCTTTTTGTAGAAACTGTAAGTGGATATTTGGATAGCTCTAATGATTTCGTTGGAAACGGGAATATCATCATCTAAAATCGAGACAGAAGCCCTCTCAGAAACTACTTTGTGATATCTGCATTCAAGTCACAGAGTTGAACATTCGCTTTCTTAGAGCACGTTTGAAACACTCTTTTTGTAGTGTCTGGAAGTGGACATTTGGAGCGCTTTGATTCCTTTGGTGAAAAAGGGAATGTCTACCCATAAAAACTAGACAGAAGCATTCTCAGAAACTTGTTTGTGATGTGTGTACCCAGCCAAAGGAGTTGAACATTTCTATTGATAGAGCAGTTTTGAAACGCTCTTTTTGTGGAAAATGCAGGTGGATATTTGGATAGCTTGGAGGATTTCGTTGGAAGCGGGAATTCAAATAAAATTTAGACAGCAAGATTCTCAGAAACAAGTTTGTGATGTGTGAACTCAGCTAACAGAGTGGATCCTTTCTTTTTACAGAGCAGCTTTGAAACTCTATTTCTGTGGATTCTGCAAATTGATATTTGGGTTGATTTAACGACATCGTTGGAAAAGGGAATATCTTCATACAAAATCTAGACAGAAGCATTCTCACAAACTTCTTTGTGATGTGTGTCCTCAACTAACAGAGTTGAACCTTTCTTTTGATGCAGCAGTTTGGAAACACTCTTTTTGTAGAAACTGTAAGTGGATATTTGGATAGCTCTAACGATTTCGTTGGAAACGGGAATATCTTCATCTAAAAAGCACTATTAGAAACTACTTGGTGATATCTGCATTCAAGTCACAGAGTTGAACATTCCCTTACTTTGAGCACGTTTCAAACACTCTTTTGGAAGAATCTGGAAGTGGACATTTGGAGCGCTTTGATGATGACTTTGGTGAAAAGGAAACGTCTTCCAATAATAGCCAGACAGAAGCATTCTCAGAAACTTGTTTGTGATGTGTGTACTCAACTAAAAGAGTTGAACCTTTCTATTGATAGAGCGGTTTTGAAACACTCTTTTTGTGGATTCTGCAAGTGGATATTTGGATTGCTTTGAGGATTTCGTTGGAAGCGGGAATTCGTATAAACACTAGACAGCAGCATTCCCAGAAATTTCTTTCGGATATTTCCATTCAACTCATAGAGATGAACATGGCCTTTCATAGAGCAGGTTTGAAACACTCTTTTTGTAGTTTGTGGAAGTGGACATTTCGATCGCCTTGACGCCTACGGTGAAAAAGGAAATATCTTCCCATAAAAAATAGACAGAAGCATTCTCAGAAACTTGTTGGTGATATGTGTCCTCAACTAACAGAGTTGAACTTTGCCATTGATAGAGAGCAGTTTTGAAACACTCTTTTTGTGGAATCTGCAAGTGGATATTTGGATAGCTTGGAGGATTTCGTTGGAAGCGGGAATTCAAATAAAAGGTAGACAGCCAGCATTCTCAGAAATTTCTTTCTGATGTCTGCATTCAACTCATAGGAGTTGAAGATTCCCTTTCATAGAGCAGGTTTGAAACACTCGTTCTGGAGTATCTGGATGTGGACATTTGGAGCGCTTTGATGCCTACGGTGGAAAAGTAAATATCTTCCCATAAAAACGAGACAGAGGATTCTGAGAAACAAGTTTGTGATGTGTGTACTCAGCTAACAGAGTGGAACCTCTCTTTTGATGCAGTAGTTTGGAAACACCCTTTTTGTAGAAACTGTAAGGGGATATTTGGATAGCTCTAATGATTTCGTTGGAAACGGGAATATCATCATCTAAAATCTAGAGAGAAGCACTCTCAGAAACTACTTTTTCATATCTGCATTCAAGTCACAGAGTTGAACATTCGCTTTCTTAGAGCACTTTTGAAACACTCTTTTTGTAGTATCTGGAAGTGGACATTTGGAGCTCTTTGATGCCTTTGGTGAAAAAAGAAATGTCTTCCCATAAAAACTAGACAGAAGCATTCTCAGAAACTTGTTTGTGATGTGTGTACCCAGCCAAAGGAGTTGAACATTTCTATTGATAGAGCAGTTTTGAAACGCTCTTTTTGTGGAAAATGCAGGTGGATATTTGGATAGCTTGGAGGATTTCGTTGGAAGCAGGAATTCAAATAAAAGGTAGACAGCAGGATTCTGAGAAACAAGGTTTGTGATGTGTGTACTCAGCTAACAGAGTGGAACCTTTCTTTTTACAGAGCAGCTTTGAAACTCTATTTTTGTGGATTCTGCAAATGGATATTTAGATTGCTTTAACGATATCGTTGGAAAAGGGAATATCGTCATACAAAATCTAGACAGAAGCTTTCTCAGAAACTTCTTTGTGTTGTGTGTCCTCAACTCACAGAGTTGAACCTTTCTTTTGATGCAGCAGTTTGGAAACACACTTTTTGTAGAAACTGTAAGTGGATATTTGGATAGGTCTAACGATATCGTTGGAAACGGGAATATCTTCATCTAAAGTATACACAGAAAGCACTATTAGAAACTACTTGGTGATATCTGCATTCAAGTCACAGAGTTGAACATTCCCTTACTTCGACCACGTTTGAAACACTCTTTTGGAAGAATCTGGAAGTGGACATTTGGAGCGCTTTGATGCCTTTGGTGAAAAGGAAACGTCTTCCAATAAAAGCCAGACAGAGCATTCTCAGAAACTTGTTTGTGATGTGTGTACTCAACTAAAAGAGTTGAACCTTTCTATTGATAGCGCAGTTTTGAAACACTCTTTTTGTGGATTCTGCAAGTGGATATTTGGATTGCTTTGAGGATTTCGTTGGAAGCGGGAATTCGTATAAAAACTAGACAGCAGCATTCCCAGAAATTTCTTTCGGATATTTCCATTCAACTCATAGAGATGAACATCGCCTTTTATAGAGCAGGTTTGAAACACTCTTTTTGTAGTTTGTGGAAGTGGACATTTCGATCGCCTTGACGCCTACGGTGAAAAAGGAAATATCTTCCCATAAAAAATAGACAGAAGCATTCTCAGAAACTTGTTGGTGATATGTGTCCTCAACTAACAGAGTTGAAATTTGCCATTGATAGAGAGCAGTTTTGAAACACTCTTTTTGTGGAATCTGCAAGTGGATATTTGGATAGCTTGGAGGATTTCGTTGGAAGCGGGAATTCAAATAAAAGGTAGACAGCAGCATTCTCAGAAATTTCTTTCTGATGTCTGCATTCAACTCATAGAGTTGAAGATTCCCTTTCATAGAGCAGGTTTGAAACACTCTTTCTGGAGTATCTGGATGTGGACATTTGGAGCGCTTTGATGCCTACGGTGGAAAAGTAAATATCTTCCCATAAAAACGAGACAGAAGGATTCTGAGAAACAAGTTTGTGATGTGTGTACTCAGCTAACAGAGTGGAACCTCTCTTTTGATGCAGCAGTTTGGAAACACTCTTTTTGTAGAAACTGTAAGTGGATATTTGGATAGCTCTAATGATTTCGTTGGAAACGGGAATATCATCATCTAAAATCTAGACAGAAGCCCTCTCAGAAACTACTTTGTGATATCTGCATTCAAGCCACAGAGTTGAACATTCGCTTTCTTAGAGCACGTTTGAAACACTCTTTTTGTAGTGTCTGGAAGTGGACATTTGGAGCGCTTTGATGCCTTTGGTGAAAAAGGGAATGTCTTCCCATAAAAACTAGACAGAAGCATTCTCAGAAACTTGTTTGTGATGTGTGTACCCAGCCAAAGGAGTTGAACATTTCTATTGATAGAGCAGTTTTGAAACACTCTCTTTGTGGAAAATGCAGGTGGATATTTGGATAGCTTGGAGGATTTCGTTGGAAGCGGGAATTCAAATAAAAGGTAGACAGCAGCATTCTCAGAAATTTCTTTCTGATGTCTGCATTCAACTCATAGAGTTGAAGATTCCCTTTCATAGAGCAGGTTTGAAACACTCGTTCTGGAGTATCTGGATGTGGACATTTGGAGCGCTTTGATGCCTACGGTGGAAAAGTAAATATCTTCCCATAAAAACGAGACAGAAGGATTCTCAGAAACAAGTTTGTGATGTGTGTTCTCAGCTAACAGAGTGGAACCTTTCTTTTTACAGAGCAGCTTTGAAACGCTATTTTTGTGGATTCTGCAAATTGATATTTAGATTGCTTTAACGATATCGTTGGAAAAGGGAATATCGTCATACAAAATCTAGACAGAAGCATTCTCACAAACTTCTTTGTGATGTGTGTCCTCATCTAACAGAGTTGAACCTTTCTTTTGATGCAGCAGTTTGGAAACACTCTTTTTGTAGAAACTGTAACTGGATATTTGGATAGCTCTAACGATTTCGTTGGAAACGGGAATATCATCATCTAAAATCTAGACAGAAGCACTATTAGAAACTACTTGGTGATATCTGCATTCAAGTCTCAGAGTTGAACATTCCCTTACTTGAGCACGTTTGAAACACTCTTTTGGAAGAATCTGGAAGTGGACATTTGGAGCGCTTTGATGCCTTTGGTGAAAAGGAAACGTCTTCCAATAAAAGCCAGACAGAAGCATTCTCAGAAACTTGTTCGTGATGTGTGTACTCAACTAAAAGAGTTGAACCTTTCTATTGATAGAGCAGTTTTGAAACACTCTTTTTGTGGATTCTGCAAGTGGATATTTGGATTGCTTTGAAGATTTCGTTGGAAGCGGGAATTCGTATAAACACTAGACAGCAGCATTCCCAGAAATTTCTTTCGGATATTTCCATTCAACTCATAGAGATGAACATGGCCTTTCATAGAGCAGGTTTGAAACACTCTTTTTGTAGTTTGTGGAAGTGGACATTTCGATCGCCTTGACGCCTACGGTGAAAAAGGAAATATCTTCCCATAAAAAATAGACAGAAGCATTCTCAGAAACTTGTTGGCGATATGTGTCCTCAACTAACAGAGTTTAACTTTGCCATTGATAGAGAGCAGTTTTGAAACACTCTTTTTGTGGAATCTGCAAGTGGATATTTGGATAGCTTGGAGGATTTCGTTGGAAGCGGGAATTCAAATAAAAGGTAGACAGCAGCATTCTCAGAAATTTCTTTCTGATGTCTGCATTCAACTCATAGAGTTGAACATTCCCTTTCATAGAGCAGGTTTGAAATACTCTTTCTGTAGTATCTGGATGTGGACATTTGGAGCGCTTTGATGCCTACGATGAAAAAGTAAATATCTTCCCATAAAAACGAGACAGAAGGATTCTCAGAAACAAGTTGGTGATGTGTGTACTCAGCTAACAGAGTGGAACCTCTCTTTTGATGCAGCAGTTTGGAAACACTCTTTTTGTAGAAACTGTAAGTGGATATTTGGATAGCTCTAATGATTTCGTTGGAAACGGGAATATCATCATCTAAAATCTAGACAGAAGCACTCTCAGAAACTACTTTGTGATATCTGCATTCAAGTCACAGAGTTGAACATTCGGTTTCTTAGAGCACGTTTGAAACACTCTTTTTGTAGTGTCTGGAAGTGGACATTTGGAGCGCTTTGATTCCTTTGGTGAAAAAGGGAATGTCTACCCATAAAAACTAGACAGAAGCATTCTCAGAAACTTGTTTGTGATGTGTGTACCCAGCCAAAGGAGTTGAACATTTCTATTGATAGAGCAGTTTTGAAACGCTCTTTTTGTGGAAAATGCAGGTGGATATTTGGATAGCTTGGAGGATTTCGTTGGACGCGGGAATTCAAATAAAAGGTAGACAGCAGCATTCTCAGAAATTTCTTTCTGATGTCTGCATTCAACTCATAGAGTTGAAGATTCCCTTTAATGGAGCAGGTTTGAAACACTCGTTCTGCAGTATCTGGATGTGGACATTTGGAGCGCTTTGATGCCTACGGTGGAAAAGTAAATATCTTCCCATAAAAACGAGACAGAAGGATTCTCAGAAACAAGTTTGTGATGTGTGTACTCAGCTAACAGAGTGGAACCTTTCTTTTTACAGAGCAGCTTTGAAACTCTATTTTTGTGGATTCTGCAAATGGATATTTAGATTGCTTTAACGATATCGTTGGAAAAGGGAATATCGTCATACAAAATCTGGACAGAAGCATTCTCACAAACTTCTTTGTGATGTGTGTCCTCAACTAACAGAGTTGAACCTTTCTTTTGATGCAGCAGTTTGGAAACACTCTTTTGGTAGAAACTGTAAGTGGATATTTGGATAGCTCTAACGATTTCGTTGGAAACGGGAATATCATCATCTAAAATCTAGACAGAAGCACTATTAGAAACTACTTGGTGATATCTGCATTCAAGTCACAGAGTTGAACATTCCCTTACTTTGAGCACGTTTGAAACACTCTTTTGGAAGAATCTGGAAGTGGACATTTGGAGCGCTTTGATGCCTTTGGTGAAAAGGAAACGTCTTCCAATAAAAGCCAGACAGAAGCATTCTCAGAAACTTGTTTGTGATGTGTGTACTCAACTAAAAGAGTTGAACCTTTCTATTGATAGAGCAGTTTTGAAACACTCTTTTTGTGGATTCTGCAAGTGGATATTTGGATTGCTTTGAGGATTTCGTTGGAAGCGGCAATTCGTATAAAAACTAGACAGCAGCATTCCCAGAAATTTCTTTCGGATATTTCCATTCAACTCATAGAGATGAACATGGCCTTTCATAGAGCAGGTTTGAAACACTCTTTTTGTAGTTTGTGGAAGTGGACATTTCGATCGCCTTGACGCCTACGGTGAAAAAGGAAATATCTTCCCATAAAAAATAGACAGAAGCATTCTAAGAAACTTGTTGGTGATATGTGTCCTCAACTAACAGAGTTGAACTTTGCCATTGATAGAGAGCAGTTTTGAAACACTCTTTTTGTGGAATCTGCAAGTGGATATCTGGATAGCTTGGAGGATTTCGTTGGAAGCGGGAATTCAAATAAAAGGTAGACAGCAGCATTCTCAGAAATTTCTTTCTGATCTCTGCATTCAACTCATAGAGTTGAACATTCCCTTTCATAGGGCAGGTTTGAAATACTCTTTCTGTAGTATCTGGATGAGGACATTTGGAGCGCTTTGATGCCTACAGTGAAAAAGTAAATATCTTCCCATAAAAACGAGACAGAAGGATTCTGAGAAACAAGTTTGTGATGTGTGTACTCAGCTAACAGAGTGGAACCTCTCTTTTGATGCAGCAGTTTGGAAACACTCTTTTTGTAGAAACTGTAAGTGGATATTTGGATAGCTCTAATGATTTCGTTGAAAACGGGAATATCATCATCTAAAATCTAGACAGAAGCCCTCTCAGAAACTACTTTGTGATATCTGCATTCAAGTCACAGAGTTGAACATTCGGTTTCTTAGAGCACGTTTGAAACACTCTTTTTGTAGTGTCTGGAAGTGGACATTTGGAGCGCTTTGATGCCTTTGGTGAAAAAGGGAATGTCTACCCATAAAAACTAGACAGAAGCATTCTCAGAAACTTGTTTGTGATGTGTGTACCCAGCCAAAGGAGTTGAACATTTAAATTGATAGAGCAGTTGTGAAACACTCTTGTTGTGGAAAATGCAGGTGGATATTTGGATACTTGGAGGATTTCGTTGGAAGCGGGAATTCAAATAAAAGGTAGACAGCAGCATTCTCAGAAATTTCTTTCTGATGTCTGCATTCAACTCATAGAGTTGAAGATTCCCTTTCATAGAGCAGGTTTGAAACACTCGTTCTGGAGTATCTGGATGTGGACATTTGGAGCGCTTTGATGCCTACGTTGGAAAAGTAAATATCTTCCCATAAAAACGAGACAGAAGGATTCTCAGAAACAAGTTTGTGATGTGTGTACTCAGCTAACAGAGTGGAACCTTTCTTTTTACAGAGCAGCTTTGAAACTCTATTTTTGTGGATTCTGCAAATTTATATTTAGATTGCTTTAACGATATCGTTGGAAAAGGGAATATCGTCATACAAAATCTAGACAGAAGCATTCTCACAAACTTCTTTGTGACGTGTGTCCTCAACTAACAGAGTTGAACCTTTCTTTTGATGCAGCAGTTTGGAAACACTGTTTTTGTAGCAACTGTAAGTGGATATTTGGATAGCTCTAACGATTTCGTTGGAAACGGGAATATCATCATCTAAAATCTAGACAGAAGCACTATTAGAAACTACTTGGTGATATCTGCATTCAAGTCACAGAGTTGAACATTCCCTTACTTCGACCACGTTTGAAACACTCTTTTGGAAGAATCTGGAAGTGGACATTTGGAGCGCTTTGATGCCTTTGGTGAAAAGGAAACGTCTTCCAGTAAAAGCCAGACAGAAGCATTCTCAGAAACTTGTTCGTGATGTGTGTACTCAACTAAAAGAGTTGAACCTTTCTATTGATAGAGCAGTTTTGAAACACTCTTTTTGTGGATTCTGCAAGTGGATATTTGGATTGCTTTGAGGATTTCGTTGGAAGCGGGAATTCGTATAAACACTAGACAGCAGCATTCCCAGAAATTTCTTTCGGATATTTCCATTCAACTCATAGAGATGAACATGGCCTTTCATAGAGCAGGTTTGAAACACTCTTTTTGTAGTTTGTGGAAGTGGACATTTCGAACGCCTTGACGCCTACGGTGAAAAAGGAAATATCTTCCCATAAAAAATAGACAGAAGCATTCTCAGAAACTTGTTGGTGATATGTGTCCTCAACTAACAGAGTTGAACTTTGCCATTGATAGAGAGCAGTTTTGAAACACTCTTTTTGTGGAATCTGCAAGTGGATATTTGGATAGCTTGGAGGATTTCGTTGGAAGCGGGAATTCAAATAAAAGGTAGACAGCAGCATTCTCAGAAATTTCTTTCTGATGTCTGCATTCAACTCATAGAGTTGAAGATTCCCTTTCATAGAGCAGGTTTGAAACACTCTTTCTGGAGTATCTGGATGTGGACATTTGGAGCGCTTTGATGCCTACGGTGAAAAAGTAAATATCTTCCCATAAAATCGACACAGAAGGATTCTCAGAAACAAGTTTGTGATGTGTGTACTCAGCTAACAGAGTGGAACCTCTCTTTTGATGCAGCAGTTTGGAAACACTCTTTTTGTAGAAACTGTAAGTGGATATTTGGATAGCTCTGATGATTTCGTTGGAAACGGGAATATCATCATGTAAAAACTAGACAGAAGCACTCTCAGAAACTACTTTGTGATATCTGCATTCAAGTCACAGAGTTGAACATTCGCTTTCTTAGAGCACTTTTGAAACACTCTTTTTGTAGTATCTGGAAGTGGACATTTGGAGCTCTTTGATGCCTTTGGTGAAAAAGGAAATGTCTTCCCATAAAAACTAGACAGAAGCATTCTCAGAAACTTGTTTGTGATGTGTGTACCCAGCCAAAGGAGTTGAACATTTCTATTGATAGAGCACGTTTGAAACACTCTTTTTGTGGAAAATGCAGGTGGATATTTGGATAGCTTGGAGGATTTCGTTGGAAGCGGGAATTCAAATAAAAGGTAGACAGCAGGATTCTCAGAAACAAGTTTGTGATGTGTGTACTCAGCTAACAGAGTGGAACCTTTCTTTTTACAGAGCAGCTTTGAAACTCTATTTCTGTGGATTCTGCAAATTGATATTTAGATTGCTTTAACGATATCGTTGGAAAAGGGAATATCGTCATACAAAATCTAGACAGAAGCATTCTCACAAACTTCTTTGTGATGTGTGTCCTCAACTAACAGAGTTGAACCTTTCTTTTGATGCAGCAATTTGGAAACACCCTTTTGGTAGAAACTGTAACTGGATATTTGGATAGCTCTAACGATTTCGTTGGAAACGGGAATATCATCATCTAAAATGCTAGACAGAAGCACTATTAGAAACTACTTGGTGATATCTGCATTCAAGTCAAAGAGTTGAACATTCCCTTACTTTGAGCACGTTTGAAACACTCTTTTGGAAGAATCTGGAAGTGGACATTTGTAGCGCTTTGATGATGCCTTTGGTGAAAAGAAAACGTCTTCCAATAAAAGCCAGACAGAAGCATTCTCAGAAACTTGTTCGTGATGTGTGTACTCAACTAAAAGAGTTGAACCTTTCTATTGATAGAGCAGTTTTGAAACACTCTTTTTGTGGATTCTGCAAGTGGATATTTGGATTGCTTTGAGGATTTCGTTGGAAGCGGGAATTCGTATAAACACTAGACAGCAGCATTCCCAGAAATTTCTTTCGGATATTTCCATTCAACTCATAGAGATGAACTTGGCCTTTCATAGAGCAGGTTTGAAACACTCTTTTTGTAGTTTGTGGAAGTGGACATTTCGATCGCGTTGACGCCTACGGTGAAAAAGGAAATATCTTCCCATAAAAAATAGACAGAAGCATTCTCAGAAACTTGTTGGTGATATGTGTCCTCAACTAACAGAGTTGAACTTTGCCATTGATAGAGAGCAGTTTTGAAACACTCTTTTTGTGGAATCTGCAAGTGGATATTTGGATAGCTTGGAGGATTTCGTTGGAAGCGGGAATTCAAATAAAGGGTAGACAGCAGCATTCTCAGAAATTTATTTCTGATGTCTGCATTCAACTCATAGAGTTGAACATTCCCTTTCATAGAGCAGGTTTGAAATACTCTTTCTGTAGTATCTGGATGTGGACATTTGGAGCGCTTTGAGGCCTACGATGAAAAAGTAAATATCTTCCCATAAAAACGAGACAGAAGGATTCTGAGAAACAAGTTTGTGATGTGTGTACTCAGCTAACAGAGTGGAAACTCTCTTTTGATGCAGCAGTTTGGAAACACTCTTTTTGTAGAAACTGTAAGTGGATATTTGGATAGCTCTAATGATTTCGTTGGAAACGGGAATATCATCATCTAAAATCTAGACAGAAGCACTCTCAGAAACTACTGTGTGATATCTGCATTCAAGTCACAGAGTTGAACATTCGCTTTCTTAGAGCACGTTTGAAACACTCTTTTTGTAGTGTCTGGAAGTGGACATTTGGAGCGCTTTGATTCCTTTGGTGAAAAAGGGAATGTCTACCCATAAAAACTAGACAGAAGCATTCTCAGAAACTTGTTTGTGATGTGTGCACCCAGCTAAAGGAGTTGAACATTTCTATTGATAGAGCAGTTTTGAAGCACTCTTTTTGTGGAAAATGCAAGTGGATATTTGGATAGCTTGGAGGATTTCGTTGGAAGCGGGAGTTCAAATAAAAGGTAGACAGCAGCATTCTCAGAAATTTCTTTCTGATGTCTGCATTCAACTCATAGAGTTGAAGATTCCCTTTCATAGAGCAGGTTTGAAACACTCTTTCTGGAGTATCTGGATGTGGACATTTGGAGCGCTTTGATGTCTACGGTGAAAAAGTAAATATCTTCCCATAAAAACGAGACAGAAGGATTCTCAGAAACAAGTTTGTGATGTGTGTACTCAGCTAACAGAGTGGAAACTTTCTTTTTACAGAGCAGCTTTGAAACTCTATTTTTGTGGATTCTGCAAATTGATATTTGGTTTGCATTAACGATATCGTTGGAAAAGGGAATATCGTCATACAAAATCTAAACAGAAGCATTCTCACAAACTTCTTTGTGATGTGTGTCCTCAACTAACAGAGTTGAACCTTTCTTTTGATGCAGCAATTTGGAAACACCCTTTTGGTAGAAACTGTAACTGGATATTTGGATAGCTCTAGCGATTTCGTTGGAAACGGGAATATCATCATCTAAAATGTAGACAGAAGCACTATTAGAAACTACTTGGTGATATCTGCATTCAAGTCACAGAGTTGAACATTCCCTTACTTTGAGCACGCTTGAAACACTCTTTTGGAAGAATCTGGAAGTGGACATTTGGAGCGCTTTGATGCCTTTGGTGAAAAGGAAACGTCTTCCAATAAAAGCCAGACAGAAGCATTCTCAGAAACTTGTTTGTGATGTGTGTACTCAACTAAAAGAGTTGAACCTTTCTATTGATAGAGCAGTTTTGAAACACTCTTTTTGTGGATTCTGCAAGTGGATATTTGGATTGCTTTGAGGATTTCGTTGGAAGCGGGAATTCGTATAAAAACTAGACAGCAGCATTCCCAGAAATTTCTTTCGGATATTTCCATTCGACTCATAGAGATGAACATGGCCTTTCATAGAGCAGGTTTGAAACACTCTTTTTGTAGTTTGTGGAAGTGGACATTTCGATCGCCTTGACGCCTACGGTGAAAAAGGAAATAGCTTCCCATAAAAAATAGACAGAAGCATTCTCAGAAACTTGTTGGTGATATGTGTCCTCAACTAACAGAGTTGAACTTTGCCATTGATAGAGAGCAGTTTTGAAACACTCTTTTTGTGGAATCTGCAAGTGGATATTTGGATAGCTTGGAGGATTTCGTTGGAAGCGGGAATTCAAATAAAAGGTAGACAGCAGCATTCTCAGAAATTTCTTTCTGATGTCTGCATTCAACTCATAGAGTTGAAGATTCCCTTTCATAGAGCACGTTTGAAACACTCTTTCTGTAGTATCTGGATGTGGACATTTGGAGCGCTTTGATGCCTACGGTGAAAAAGTAAATATCTTCCCATAAAAACGAGACAGAAGGATTCTGAGAAACAAGTTTGTGATGTGTGTACTCAGCTAACAGAGTGGAACCTCTCTTTTGATGCAGCAGTTTGGAAACACTCTTTTTGTAGAAACTGTAAGTGGATATTTGGATAGCTCTAATGATTTCGTTGGAAACGGGAATATCATCATCTAAAATCTAGACAGAAGCCCTCTCAGAAACTACTTTGTGATATCTGCATTCAAGTCACAGAGTTGAACATTCGCTTTCTTAGAGCACGTTGGAAACACTCGTTTTGTAGTGTCTGGAAGTGGACATTTGGAGCGCTTTGATGCCTTTGGTGAAAAAGGGAACGTCTTCCCATAAAAACTAGACAGAAGCATTCTCAGAAACTTGTTTGTGATGTGTGTACCCAGCCAAAGGAGTTGAACATTTCTATTGATAGAGCAGTTTTGAAACACTCTTTTTGTGGAAAATGCAAGTGGATATTTGGATAGCTTGGAGGATTTCGTTGGAAGCGGGAATTCAAATAAAAGGTAGACAGCAGCATTCTCAGAAATTTCTTTCTGATGTCTGCATTCAACTCATAGAGTTGAAGATTCCCTTTCATAGAGCAGGTTTGAAACACTCTTTCTGGAGTATCTGGATGTGGACATTTGGAGCGCTTTGATGCCTACGGTGAAAAAGTAAATATCTTCCCATAAAAACGAGACAGAAGGATTCTCAGAAACAAGTTTGTGATGTGTGTACTCAGCTAACAGAGTGGAACCTTTCTTTTTACAGAGCAGCTTTGAAACTCTATTTTTGTGGATTCTGCAAATGGATATTTAGATTGCTTTAACGATATCGTTGGAAAAGGGAATATCGTCATACAAAATCTGGACATAAGCATTCTCACAAACTTCTTTGTGACGTGTGTCCTCAACTAACAGAGTTGAACCTTTCTTTTGATGCAGCAATTTGGAAACACCCTTTTGGTAGAAACTGTAACTGGATATTTGGATAGCTCTAGCGATTTCGTTGGAAACGGGAATATCATCATCTATAATCTAGACAGAAGCACTATTAGAAACTACTTGGTGATATCTGCATTCAAGTCACAGAGTTGAACATTCCCTTACTTCGAGCACGTTTGAAACACTCTTTTGGAAGAATCTGGAAGTGGACATTTGGAGCGCTTTGATGCCTTTGGTGAAAAGGAAACGTCTTCCAATAAAAGCCAGACAGAAGCATTCTCAGAAACTTGTTTGTGATGCGTGTACTCAACTAAAAGAGTTGAACCTTTCTATTGATAGAGCAGTTTTGAAACACTCTTTTTGTGGATTCTGCAAGTGGATATTTGGATTGCTTTGAGGATTTCGTTGGAAGCGGGAATTCGTATAAAAACTAGACAGCAGCATTCCCAGAAATTTCTTTCGGATATTTCCATTCAACTCATAGAGATGAACATGGCCTTTCATAGAGCAGGTTTGAAACACTCTTTTTGTAGTTTGTGGAAGTGGACATTTCGATCGCCTTGACGCCTACGGTGAAAAAGGAAATATCTTCCCATAAAAAATAGAAGCATTCTCAGAAACTTGTTGGTGATATGTGTCCTCAACTAACAGAGTTGAACTTTGCCATTGATAGAGAGCAGTTTTGAAACACTCTTTTTGTGGAATCTGCAAGTGGATATTTGGATAGCTTGGAGGATTTCGTTGGAAGCGGGAATTCAAATAAAAGGTAGACAGCAGCATTCTCAGAAATTTCTTTCTGATGTCTGCATTCAACTCATAGAGTTGAACATTCTCTTTCATAGAGCAGGTTTGAAACACTCTTTCTGGAGTATCTGGATGTGGACATTTGGAGCGCTTTGATGCCTACGGTGAAAAAGTAAATATCTTCCCATAAAAACGAGACAGAAGGATTCTGAGAAACAAGTTTGTGATGTGTGTACTCAGCTAACAGAGTGGAACCTCTCTTTTGATGCAGCAGTTTGGAAACACTCTTTTTGTAGAAACTGTAAGTGGATATTTGGATAGCTCTAATGATTTCGTTGGAAACGGGAATATCATCATCTAAAATCTAGACAGAAGCACTCTCAGAAACTACTTTGTGATATCTGCATTCAAGTCACAGAGTTGAACATTCGCTTTCTTAGAGCACGTTTGAAACACTCTTTTTGTAGTGTCTGGAAGTGGACATTTGGAGCGCTTTGAATTGCCTTTGGTGAAAAAGGGAATGTCTTCCCATAAAAACTAGACAGAAGCATTCTCAGAAACTTGTTTGTGATGTGTGTACCCAGCCAAAGGAGTTGAACATTTCTATTGATAGAGCAGGTTTGAAACACTCTTTTTGTGGAAAATGCAGGTGGATATTTGGATAGCTTGGAGGATTTCGTTGGAAGCGGGAATTCAAATAAAAGGTAGACAGCAAGCATTCTCAGAAATTTCTTTCTGATGTCTGCATTCAACTCATAGAGTTGAAGATTCCCTTTCATAGAGCAGGTTTGAAACACTCGTTCTGGAGTATCTGGATGTGGACATTTGGAGCGCTTTGATGCCTACGGTGGAAAAGTAAATATCTTCCCATAAAAACGAGACAGAAGGATTCTCAGAAACAAGTTTGTGATGTGTGTACTCAGCTAACAGAGTGGAACCTTTCTTTTTACAGAGCAGCTTTGAAACTCTATTTTTGTGGATTCTGCAAATTGATATTTAGATTGCTTTAACGATATCGTTGGAAAAGAGAATATCGTCATACAAAATCTAGACAGAAGCATTCTCACAAACTTCTTTGTGATGTGTGTCCTCAACTAACAGAGTTGAACCTTTCTTTTGATGCAGCAATTTGGAAACACCCTTTTGGTAGAAACTGTAACTGGATATTTGGATAGCTCTAACGATTTCTTTGGAAACGGGAATATCATCATCTAAAATCTAGACAGAAGCACTATTAGAAACTACTTGGTGATATCTGCATTCAAGTCACAGAGTTGAACATTCCCTTACTTCGACCACGTTTGAAACACTCTTTTGGAAGAATCTGGAAGTGGACATTTGGAGCACTTTGATGCCTTTGGTGAAAAGGAAACGTCTTCCAATAAAAGCCAGACAGAAAGCATTCTCAGAAACTTGTTCGTGATGTGTGTACTCAACTAAAAGAGTTGAACCTTTCTATTGATAGAGCAGTTTTGAAACACTCTTTTTGTGGATTCTGCAAGTGGATATTTGGATTGCTTTGAGGATTTCGTTGGAAGCGGGAATTCGTATAAACACTAGACAGAGCATTCCCAGAAATTTCTTTCGGATATTTCCATTCAACTCATAGAGATGAACATGGCCTTTCATAGAGCAGGTTTGAAACACACTTTTTGTAGTTTGTGGAAGTGGACATTTCGATCGCCTTGACGCCTACGGTGAAAAAGGAAATATCTTCCCATAAAAAATAGACAGAAGCATTCTCAGAAACTTGTTTGTGATGTGTGTACTCAACTAAAAGAGTTGAACCTTTCTATTGATAGAGCAGTTTTGAAACGCTCTTTTTGTGGAATCTGCAAGTGGATATTTGGATAGCTTGGAGGATTTCGTTGGAAGCGGGAATTCAAATAAAAGGTAGACAGCAGCATTCTCAGAAATTACTTTCTGATGTCTGCATTCAACTCATAGAGTTGAAGATTCCCTTTCATAGAGCAGGTTTGAAACACTCTTTCTGTAGTATCTGGATGTGGACATTTGGAGCGCTTTGATACCTACGGTGAAAAAGTAAGTATCTTCCCATAAAAACTAGACAGAAGGATTCTGAGAAACAAGTTTGTGATGTGTGTACTCAGCTAACAGAGTGGAACCTCTCTTTTGATGCAGCAGTTTGGAAACACTCTTTTTGTAGAAACTGTAAGTGGATATTTGGATAGCTCTAATGATTTCGTTGGAAACGGGAATATCATCATCTAAAATCTAGACAGAAGCACTCTCAGAAACTACTCTGTGATATCTGCATTCAAGTCACAGAGTTGAACATTCGCTTTCATAGAGCACGTTTGAAACACTCTTTTTGTAGTGTCTGGAAGTGGACATTTGGAGCGCTTTGATGGCTTTGGTGAAAAAGGGAATGTCTTCCCATAAAAACTAGGCAGAAGCATTCTCAGAAACTTGTTTGTGATGTGTGTACCCAGCCAAAGGAGTTGAACATTTCTATTGATAGAGCAGTTTTGAAACACTCTTGTTGTGGAAAATGCAAGTGGATATTTGGATAGCTTGGAGGATTTCGTTGGAAGCGGGAATTCAAATAAAAGGTAGACAGCAGGATTCTCAGAAACAAGTTTGTGATGTGTGTACTCAGCTAACAGAGTGGATCCTACCTTTTTACAGAGCAGCTTTGAAACTCTATTTCTGTGGATTCTGCAAATTGATATTTGGGTTGATTTAATGATATCGATGGAAAAGGGAATATCTTCATACAAAATCTAGACAGAAGCATTCTCACAAACTTCTTTGTGATGTGTGTCCTCAACTAACAGAGTTGAACCTTTCTTTTGATGCAGCAGTTTGAAAACACTCTTTTTGTAGAAACTGTAACTGGATATTTGGATAGCTCTAACGATTTCGTTGGAAACGGGAATATCATCATCTAAAATCTAGACAGAAGCACTATTAGAAACTACTTGGTGATATCTGCATTCAAGTCACAGAGTTGAACATTCCCTTACTTTGAGCACGTTTGAAACACTCTTTTGGAAGAATCTGGAAGTGGACATTTGGAGCGCTTTGATGCCTTTGGTGAAAAGGAAACGTCTTCCAATAAAAGCCAGACAGAAGCATTCTCAGAAACTTGTTGGTGATGTGTGTACTCAACTAAAAGAGTTGAACCTTTCTATTGATAGAGCAGTTTTGAAACACTCTTTTTGTGGATTCTGCAAGTGGATATTTGGATTGCTTTGAGGATTTCATTGGAAGCGGGAATTCATATAAAAACTAGACAGCAGCATTCCCAGAAATTTCTTTCGGATATTTCCATTCAACTCATAGAGATGAACATGGCCTTTCATAGAGCAGGTTTGAAACACTCTTTTTGTAGTTTGTGGAAGTGGACATTTCGATCGCCTTGACGCCTACGCTGAAAAAGGAAATATCTTCCCATAAAAAATAGACAGAAGCATTCTCAGAAACTTGTTGGTGATATGTGTCCTCAACTAACAGAGTTGAACTTTGCCATTGATAGAGAGCAGTTTTGAAACACTCTTTTTGTGGAATCTGCAAGTGGATATTTGGATAGCTTGGAGGATTTCGTTGGAAGCGGGAATTCAAATAAAAGTAGACAGCAGCATTCTCAGAAATTTCTTTCTGATGTCTGCATTCAACTCATAGAGTTGAAGATCCCCTTTCATAGAGCAGGTTTGAAACACTCTTTCTGGAGTATCTGGATGTGGACATTTGGAGCGCTTTGATGCCTACGGTGAAAAAGTAAATATCTTCCCATAAAAACGAGACAGAAGGATTCTGAGAAACAAGTTTGTGATGTGTGTACTCAGCTAACAGAGTGGAACCTCTCTTTTGATGCAGCAGTTTGGAAACACTCTTTTTGTAGAAACTGTAAGTGGATATTTGGATAGCTCTAATGATTTCGTTGGAAACGGGAATATCATCATCTAAAATCTAGACAGAAGCACTCTCAGAAACTACTTTGTGATATCTGCATTCAAGTCACAGAGTTGAACATTCGCTTTCTTAGAGCACGTTTGAAACACTCTTTTTGTAGTGTCTGGAAGTGGACATTTGGAGCGCTTTGATGTCTTTGGTGAAAAAGGGAATGTCTTCCCATAAAAACTAGACAGAAAGCATTCTCAGAAACTTGTTTGTGATGTGTGTACCCAGCCAAAGGAGTTGAACATTTCTATTGATAGAGCAGTTTTGAAACGCTCTTTTTGTGGAAAATGCAGGTGGATATTTGGATAGCTTGGAGGATTTCGTTGGAAGCGGGAATTCAAATAAAAGGTAGACAGAGCATTCTCAGAAATTTCTTTCTGATGTCTGCATTCAACTCATAGAGTTGAAGATTCCCTTTCATAGAGCAGGTTTGAAACACTCTTTCTGGAGTATCTGGATGTGGACATTTGGAGCGCTTTGATGCCTACGGTGAAAAAGTAAATATCTTCCCATAAAAACGAGACAGAAGGATTCTCAGAAACAAGTTTGTGATGTGTGTACTCAGCTAACAGAGTGGAACCTTTCTTTTTACAGAGCAGCTTTGAAACTCTATTTTTGTGGATTCTGCAAATTGATATTTAGATTGCTTTAACGATAATCGTTGGAAAAGGGAATATCGTCATACAAAATCTAGACAGAAGCATTCTCACAAACTTCTTTGTGATGTGTGTCCTCAACTAACAGAGTTGAACCTTTCTTTTGATGCAGCAATTTGGAAACACCCTTTTGGTAGAAACTGTAACTGGATATTTGGATAGATCTAACGATTTCGTTGGAAACGGGAATATCATCATCTAAAATGTAGACAGAAGCACTATTAGAAACTACTTGGTGATATCTGCATTCAAGTCAAAGAGTTGAGCATTCCCTTACTTTGAGCACGTTTGAAACACTCTTTTGGAAGAATCTGGAAGTGGACATTTGGAGCGCTTTGATGCCTTTGGTGAAAAGGAAACGTCTTCCAATAAAAGCCAGACAGAAGCATTCTCAGAAACTTGTTTGTGATGTGTGTACTCAACTAAAAGAGTTGAACCTTTCTATTGATAGAGCAGTTTTGAAACACTCTTTTTGTGGATTCTGCAAGTGGATATTTGGATTGCTTTGAGGATTTCGTTGGAAGCGGGAATTCGTATAAAAACTAGACAGCAGCATTCCCAGAAATTTCTTTCGGATATTTCCATTCAACTCATAGAGATGAACATCGCCTTTCATAGAGCAGGTTTGAAACACTCTTTTTGTAGTTTGTGGAAGTGGACATTTCGATCGCCTTGACGCCTACGGTGAAAAAGAAAATATCTTCCCATAAAAAATAGACAGAAGCATTCTCAGAAACTTGTTGGTGATATGTGTCCTCAACTAACAGAGTTGAACTTTGCCATTGATAGAGAGCAGTTTTGAAACACTCTTTTTGTGGAATCTGCAAGTGGATATTTGGATAGCTTGGAGGATTTCGTTGGAAGCGGGAATTCAAATAAAAGGTAGACAGCAGCATTCTCAGAAATTTCTTTCTGATGTCTGCATTCAACTCATAGAGTTGAACATTCCCTTTCATAGGGCAGGTTTGAAATACTCTTTCTGTAGTATCTGGATGTGGACATTTGGAGCGCTTTGATGCCTACGGTGAAAACGTAAATATCTTCCCATAAAAACGAGACAGAAGGATTCTGAGAAACAAGTTTGTGATGTGTGTACTCAGCTAACAGAGTGGAACCTCTCTTTTGATGCAGCAGTTTGGAAACACTCTTTTTGTAGAAACTGTAAGTGGATATTTGGATAGCTTTAATGATTTCGTTGGAAACGGGAATATCATCATCTAAAATCTAGACAGAAGCCCTCTCAGAAACTACTTTGTGATATCTGCATTCAAGTCACAGAGTTGAACATTCGCTTTCTTAGAGCACGTTTGAAACACTCTTTTTGTAGTGTCTGGAAGTGGACATTTGGAGCGCTTTGATTCCTTTTGTGAAAAAGGGAATGTCTACCCATAAAAACTAGACAGAAGCATTCTCAGAAACTTGTTTGTGATGTGTGTACCCAGCCAAAGGAGTTGAACGTTTCTATTGATAGAGCAGTTTTGAAACACTCTTGTTGTGGAAAATGCAAGTGGATATTTGGATAGCTTGGAGGATTTCGTTGGATGCGGGAATTCAAATAAAAGGTAGACAGCAGCATTCTCAGAAATTTCTTTCTGATGTCTGCATTCAACTCATAGAGTTGAAGATTCCCTTTCATAGAGCAGGTTTGAAACACTCGTTCTGGAGTATCTGGATGTGGACATTTGGAGCGCTTTGATGCCTACGGTGGAAAAGTAAATATCTTCCCATAAAAACGAGACAGAAGGATTCTGAGCAAACAAGTTTGTGATGTGTGTACTCAGCTAACAGAGTGGAACCTTTCTTTTTACAGAGCAGCTTTGAAACTCTATTTTTGTGGATTCTGCAAATGGATATTTAGATTGCTTTAACGATATCGTTGGAAAAGGGAATATCGTCATACAAAATCTAGACAGAAGCATTCTCACAAACTTCTTTGTGATGTGTGTCCTCAACTAACAGAGTTGAACCTTTCTTTTGATGCAGCAGTTTGGAAACACTGTTTTTGTAGCAACTGTAAGTGGATATTTGGATAGCTCTAACGATTTCGTTGGAAACGGGAATATCATCATCTAAAATCTAGACAGAAGCACTATTAGAAACTACTTGGTGATATCTGCATTCAAGTCACAGAGTTGAACATTCCCTTACTTTGAGCACGTTTGAAACACTCTTTTGGAAGAATCTGGAAGTGGACATTTGGAGCGCTTTGATGCCTTTGGTGGAAAGGAAACGTCTTCCAATAAAAGCCAGACAGAAGCATTCTCAGAAACTTGTTCGTGATGTGTGTACTCAACTAAAAGAGTTGAACCTTTCTATTGATAGAGCAGTTTTGAAACACTCTTTTTGTGGATTCTGCAAGTGGATATTTGGATTGCTTTGAGGATTTCGTTGGAAGCGGGAATTCGTATAAACACTAGACAGCAGCATTCCCAGAAATTTCTTTCGGATATTTCCATTCAACTCATAGAGATGAACATGGCCTTTCATACTGAAACACTCTTTTTGTAGTTTGTGGAAGTGGACATTTCGATCGCCTTGACGCCTACGGTGAAAAAGGAAATATCTTCCCATAAAAAATAGACAGAAGCATTCTCAGAAACTTGTTGGTGATATGTGCCCTCAACTAACAGAGTTGAACTTTGCCATTGATAGAGAGCAGTTTTGAAACACTCTTTTTTTGGAATCTGCAAGTGGATATTTGGATAGCTTGGAGGATTTCGTTGGAAGCGGGAATTCAAATAAAAGGTAGACAGCAGCATTCTCAGGAAATTTCTTTCTGATCTCTGCATTCAACTCATAGAGTTGAACATTCCCTTTCATAGGGCAGGTTTGAAATACTCTTTCTGGAGTATCTGGATGTGGACATTTGGAGCGCTTTGATGCCTACGGTGAAAAAGTAAATATCTTCCCATAAAAACGAGACAGAAGGATTCTCAGAAACAAGTTTGTGATGTGTGTACTCAGCTAACAGAGTGGAACCTGTCTTTTGATGCAGCAGTTTGGAAACACTTTTTTTGTAGAAACTGTAAGTGGATATTTGGATAGCTCTAATGATTTCGTTGGAAACGGGAATATCATCATCTAAAATCTAGAGAGAAGCCCTCTCAAAAACTACTTTGTGATATCTGCATTCAAGTCACAGAGTTGAACATTCGCTTTCTTAGAGCACGTTTGAAACACTCTTTTTGTAGTGTCTGGAAGTGGAAATTTGGAGCGCTTTGATGCCTTTGGTGAAAAAGGGAATATCTTCCAATAAAAACTAGACAGAAGCATTCTCAGAAACTTGTTTGTGATGTGTGCACCCAGCTAAAGGAGTTGAACATTTATTGATAGAGCAGTTTTGAAGCACTCTTTTTGTGGAAAATGCAAGTGGATATTTGGATAGCTTGGAGGATTTCGTTGGAAGCAGGAGTTCAAATAAAAGGTAGACAGCAGCATTCTCAGAAATTTCTTTCTGATGTCTGCATTCAACTCATAGAGTTGAAGATTCCCTTTCATAGAGCAGGTTTGAAACACTCTTTCTGGAGTATCTGGATGTGGACATTTGGAGCGCTTTGATGCCTACGGTGAAAAAGTAAATATCTTCCCATAAAAACGAGACAGAAGGATTCTGAGAGACAAGTTTGTGATGTGTGTACTCAGCTAACAGAGTGGAACCTTTCTTTTTACAGAGCAGCTTTGAAACTCTATTTTTGTGGATTCTGCAAATGGATATTTAGATTGCTTTAACGATATCGTTGGAAAAGGGAATATCGTCATACAAAATCTGGACAGAAGCATTCTCACAAACTTCTTTGTGACGTGTGTCCTCAACTAACAGAGTTGAACCTTTCTTTTGATGCAGCAGTTTGGAAACACTCTTTTTGTAGAAACTGTAAGTGGATATTTGGATAGCTCTAACGATTTCGTTGGAAACGGGAATATCATCATCTAAAATCTAGACAGAAGCACTATTAGAAACTACTTGGTGATATCTGCATTCAAGTCACAGAGTTGAACATTCCCTTACTTTGAGCACGTTTCAAACACTCTTTTGGAAGAATCTGGAAGTGGACATTTGGAGCGCTTTGATGCCTTTGGTGAAAAGGAAACGTCTTCCAATAAAAGCCAGACAGAAGCAATCTCAGAATCTTCTTTGGGATATATGCACGCAGCTAACAGAGTTGAACCTTTCTATTGACAGAGCAGTTTTGAAACACTCTTTTTGTGGATTCTGCAAGTGGATATTTGGATTGCTTTGAGGATTTCGTTGGAAGCGGGAATTCGTATAACAACTAGACAGCAGCATTCCCAGAAATTTCTTTTGGATATTTCCATTCAACTCATAGAGATGAACATGGCCTTTCATATTGAAACACTCTTTTTGTAGTTTGTGGAAGTGGACATTTCAATCGCCTTGACGCCTACGGTGAAAAAGGAAATATCTTCCCATAAAAAATAGACAGAAGCATTCTCAGAAACTTGTTGGTGATATGTGTCCTCAACTAACAGAGTTGAACTTTGCCATTGATAGAGAGCAGTTTTGAAACACTCTTTTTGTGGAATCTGCAAGTGGATATTTGGATAGCTTGGAGGATTTCGTTGGAAGCGGGAATTCAAATTAAAGGTAGACAGCAGGATTCTGAGAAACAAGTTTGTGATGTGTGTACTCAGCTAACAGAGGGGAACCTCTCTTTTGATGCAGCAGTTTGGAAACACTCTTTTTGTAGAAACTGTAAGTGGATATTTGGATAGCTCTAATGATTTCGTTGGAAACGGGAATATCATCATCTAAAATCTAGACAGAAGCCCTCTCAGAAACTACTTTGTGATATCTGCATTCAAGTCACAGAGTTGAACATTCGGTTTCTTAGAGCACGTTTGAAACACTCTTTTTGTAGTGTCTGGAAGTGGACATTTGGAGCGCTTTGATGCCTTTGGTGAAAAAGGGAATGTCTTCCCATAAAAACTAGACAGAAGCATTCTCAGAAACTTGTTTGTGATGTGTGTACCCAGCCAAAGGAGTTGAACATTTCTATTGATAGAGCAGTTTTGAAACACTCTTGTTGTGGAAAATGCACGTGGATATTTGGATAGCTTGGAGGATTTCGTTGGAAGCGGGAATTCAAATAAAAGGTAGACAGCAGCATTCTCAGAAATTTCTTTCTGATGTCTGCATTCAACTCATAGAGTTGAAGATTCCCTTTCATAGAGCAGGTTTGAAACACTCTTTCTGGAGTATCTGGATGTGGACATTTGGAGCGCTTTGATGCCTACGGTGAAAAAGTAAATATCTTCCCATAAAAACGAGACAGAAGGATTCTCAGAAACAAGTTTGTGATGTGTGTACTCAGCTAACAGAGTGGAACCTTTCTTTTTACAGAGCAGCTTTGAAACTCTATTTTTGTGGATTCTGCAAATTGATATTTAGATTGCTTTAACGATATCGTTGGAAAAGGGAATATCGTCATAGAAAATCTAGACAGAAGCATTCTCACAAACTTCTTTGTGATGTGTGTCCTCAACTAACAGAGTTGAACCTTTCTTTTGATGCAGCAATTTGGAAACACCCTTTTGGTAGAAACTGTAACTGGATATTTGGATAGCTCTAGCGACTTCGTTGGAAACGGGAATATCATCATCTAAAATCTAGACAGAAGCACTATTAGAAACTACTTGGTGATATCTGCATTCAAGTCACAGAGTAGAACATTCCCTTACTTCGAGCACGTTTGAAACACTCTTTTGGAAGAATCTGGAAGTGGACATTTGGAGCGCTTTGATGCCTTTGGTGAAAAGGAAACGTCTTCCAATAAAAGCCAGACAGAAGCATTCTCAGCAAACTTGTTGGTGATGTGTGTACTCAACTAAAAGAGTTGAACCTTTCTATTGATAGAGCAGTTTTGAAACACTCTTTTTGTGGATTCTGCAAGTGGATATTTGGATTGCTTAGAGGATTTCGTTGGAAGCGGGAATTCGTATAAACACTAGACAGCAGCATTCCCAGAAATTTCTTTCGGATATTTCCATTCAACTCATAGAGATGAACATGGCCTTTCATAGAGCAGGTTTGAAACACTCTTTTTGTAGTTTGTGGAAGTGGACATTTCGATCGCCTTGACGCCTACGGTGAAAAAGGAAATATCTTCCCATAAACAATAGACAGAAGCATTCTCAGAAACTTGTTTGTGATGTGTGTACCCAGCCAAAGGAGTTGAACATTTCTATTGATAGAGCAGTTTTGAAACACTCTTGTTGTGGAAAATGCAGGTGGATATTTGGATAGCTTGGAGGATTTCGTTGGAAGCGGGAATTCTAATAAAAGGTAGACAGCAGCATTCTCAGAAATTACTTTCTGATGTGTGCATTCAACCCATAGAGTTGAAGAATCCCTTTCATAGAGCAGGTTTGAAACACTCTTTCTGTAGTATCTGGATGAGGACATTTGGAGCGCTTTGATACCTACGGTGAAAAAGTAAATATCTTCCCATAAAAACTAGACAGAAGGATTCTGAGAAACAAGTTTGTGATGTGTGTACTCAGCTAACAGAGTGGAACCTCTCTTTTGATGCAGCAGTTTGGAAACACTCTTTTTGTAGAAACTGTAAGTGGATATTTGGATAGCTCTAATGATTTCGTTGGAAACGGGAATATCATCATCTAAAATCTAGACAGAAAGCACTCTCAGAAACTACTGTGTGATATCTGCATTCAAGTCACAGAGTTGAACATTCGCTTTCTTAGAGCACGTTTGAAACACTCTTTTTGTAGTGTCTGGAAGTGGACATTTGGAGCGCTTTGATTCCTTTGGTGAAAAAGGGAATGTCTACCCATAAAAACTAGACAGAAGCATTCTCAGAAACTTGTTTGTGATGTGTGTACCCAGCCAAAGGAGTTGAACATTTCTATTGATAGAGCAGTTTTGAAACACTCTTTTTGTGGAAAATGCAGGTGGATATTTGGATAGCTTGGAGGATTTCGTTGGAAGCGGGAATTCAAATAAAAGGTAGACAGCAGCATTCTCAGAAATTTCTTTCTGATGTCTGCATTCAACTCATAGAGTTGAAGATTCCCTTTCATAGAGCAGGTTTGAAACACCCTTTCTGGAGTATCTGGATGTGGACATTTGGAGCGCTTTGATGCCTGCGGTGAAAAAGTAAATATCTTCCCATAAAAACGAGACAGAAGGATTCTCAGAAACAAGTTTGTGATGTGTGTACTCAGCTAAAAGAGTGGAACCTTTCTTTTTACAGAGCAGCTTTGAAAGTCTATTTTTGTGGATTCTGCAAATTGATATTTAGATTGCTTTAACGATATCGTTGGAAAAGGGAATATCGTCATACAAAATCTAGACAGAAGCATTCTCACAAACTTCTTTGTGATGTGTGTCCTCAACTAACAGAGTTGAACCTTTCTTTTGATGCAGCAATTTGGAAACACCCTTTTGGTAGAAACTGTAACTGGATATTTGGATAGCTCTAACGATTTCGTTGTAAACGGGAATATCATCATCTAAAATCTAGACAGAAGCACTATTAGAAACTACTTGGTGATATCTGCATTCAAGTCACAGAGTTGAACATTCCCTTACTTCGAGCACGTTTGAAACACTCTTTTGGAAGAATCTGGAAGTGGACATTTGGAGCGCTTTGATGCCTTTGTTGAAAAGGAAACGTCTTCCAATAAAAGCCAGACAGAAGCATTCTCAGAAACTTGTTCGTGATGTGTGTACTCAACTAAAAGAGTTGAACCTTTCTATTGATAGAGCAGTTTTGAAACACTCTTTTTGTGGATTCTGCAAGTGGATATTTGGATTGCTTTGAGGATTTCGTTGGAAGCGGGAATTCGTATAAACACTAGACAGCAGCATTCCCAGAAATTTCTTTCGGATATTTCCATTCAACTCATAGAGATGAACATGGCCTTTCATAGAGCAGGTTTGAAACACTCTTTATGTAGTTTGTGGAAGTGGACATTTCGATCGCCTTGACGCCTACGGTGAAAAAGGAAATATCTTCCCATAAAAAATAGACAGAAGCATTCTCAGAAACTTGTTGGTGATATGTGTCCTCAACTAACAGAGTTGAACTTTGCCATTGATAGAGAGCAGTTTTGAAACACTCTTTTTCCTGAATCTGCAAGTGGATATTTGGATAGTTGGGAGGATTTCGTTGGAAGCGGGAATTCAAATAAAAGGTAGACAGCAGCATTCTCAGAAATTTCTTTCTGATGTCTGCATTCAACTCATAGAGTTGAACATTCCCTTTCATAGGGCAGGTTTGAAATACTCTTTCTGTAGTATCTGGATGTGGACATTTGGAGCGCTTTGATGCCTACGGTGAAAAAGTAAATATCTTCCCATAAAAACGAGACAGAAGGATTCTGAGAAACAAGTTTGTGATGTGTGTACTCAGCTAACAGAGTGGAACCTCTCTTTTGATGCAGCAGTTTGGAAACACTCTTTTTGTAGAAACTGTAAGTGGATATTTGGATAGCTCTAATGATTTCGTTGGAAACGGGAATATCATCATCTAAAATCTAGACAGAAGCCCTCTCAGAAACTACTTTGTGATATCTGCATTCAAGTCACAGAGTTGAACATTCGCTTTCTTAGAGCACGTTGGAAACACTCTTTTTGTAGTGTCTGGAAGTGGACATTTGGAGCGCTTTGATGCCTTTGGTGAAAAAGGGAACGTCTTCCCATAAAAACTAGACAGAAGCATTCTCAGAAACTTGTTTGTGATGTGTGTACCCAGCTAAAGGAGTTGAACATTTCTATTGATACAGCAGTTTTGAAACACTCTTTTTGTGGAAAATGCAAGTGGATATTTGGATAGCTTGGAGGATTTCGTTGGAAGAGGGAATTCAAATAAAAGGTAGACAGCAGCATTCTCAGAAATTTCTTTCTGATGTCTGCATTCAAATCATAGAGTTGAAGATTCCCTTTCATAGAGCAGGTTTGAAACACTCTTTCTGGAGTATCTGGATGTGGACATTTGGAGCGCTTTGATGCCTACGGTGGAAAAGTAAATATCTTCCCATAAAAACGAGACAGAAGGATTCTCAGAAACAAGTTTGTGATGTGTGTACTCAGCTAACAGAGTGGAACCTTTCTTTTTACAGAGCAGCTTTGAAACTCTATTTTTGTGGATTCTGCAAATTGGTATTTAGATTGCTTTAACGATATCGTTGGAAAAGGGAATATCGTCATGCAAAATCTAGACAGAAGCATTCTCACAAACTTCTTTGTGATGTGTGCCCTCAACTAACAGAGTTGAACCTTTCTTTTGATGCAGCAATTTGGAAACACCCTTTTGGTAGAAACTGTAACTGGATATTTGGATAGCTCTAACGATTTCGTTGGAAACGGGAATATCATCATCTAAAATGTAGACAGAAGCACTATTAGAAACTACTTGGTGATATCTGCATTCAAGTCACAGAGTTGAACATTCCCTTACTTCGAGCACGTTTGAAACACTCTTTTGGAAGAATCTGGAAGTGGACATTTGGAGCGCTTTGATGCCTTTGGTGAAAAGGAAACGTCTTCCAATAAAAGCCAGACAGAAGCATTCTCAGAAACTTGTTTGTGATGTGTGTACTCAACTAAAAGAGTTGAACCTTTCTATTGATAGAGCAGTTTTGAAACACTCTTTTTGTGGATTCTGCAAGTGGATATTTGGATTGCTTTGAGGATTTCGTTGGAAGCGGGAATTCGTATAAAAACTAGACAGCAGCATTCCCAGAAATTTCTTTCGGATATTTCCATTCGACTCATAGAGATGAACATGGCCTTTCATAGAGCAGGTTTGAAACACTCTTTTTGTAGTTTGTGGAAGTGGACATTTCGATCGCCTTGACGCCTACGGTGAAAAAGGAAATATCTTCCCATAAAAAATAGACAGAAGCATTCTCAGAAACTAGTTTGTGATGTGTGTACCCAGCCAAAGGAGTTGAACATTTCTATTGATAGAGCAGTTTTGAAACACTCTTGTTGTGGAAAATGCAGGTGGATATTTGGATAGCTTGGAGGATTTCGTTGGAAGCGGGAATTCAAATAAAAGGTAGACAGCAGCATTCTCAGAAATTTCTTTCTGATGTCTGCATTCAACTCATAGAGTTGAAGATTCCCTTTCATAGAGCAGGTTTGAAACACTCTTTCTGGAGTATCTGGATGTGGACATTTGGAGCGCTTTGATGCCTACGGTGAAAAAGTAAATATCTTCCCATAAAAACGAGACATAAGGATTCTGAGAAACAAGTTTGTGATGTGTGTACTCAGCTAACAGAGTGGAACCTCTCTTTTGATGCAGCAGTTTGGAAACACTCTTTTTGTAGAAACTGTAAGTGGATATTTGGATAGCTCTAATGATTTCGTTGGAAACGGGAATATCATCATCTAAAATCTAGACAGAAGCCCTCTCAGAAACTACTTTGTGATATCTGCATTCAAGTCACAGAGTTGAACATTCGCTTTCTTAGAGCACGTTTGAAACACTCTTTTTCTAGTGTCTGGAAGTGGACATTTGGAGCGCTTTGATGCCTTTGGTGAAAAAGGGAATGTCTTCCCATAAAAACTAGACAGAAGCATTCTCAGAAACTTGTTTGTGATGTGTGTACCCAGCTAAAGGAGTTGAACATTTCTATTGATAGAGCAGTTTTGAAACACTCTTTTTGTGGAAAATGCAAGTGGATATTTGGATAGCTTGGAGGATTTCGTTGGAAGCGGGAATTCAAATAAAAGGTAGACAGCAGGATTCTCAGAAACAAGTTTGTGATGTGTGTACTCAGCTAACAGAGTGGAACCTTTCTTTTTACAGAGCAGCTTTGAAACTCTAGTTTTGTGGATTCTGCTAATTGATATTTAGATTGCTTTAACGATATCGTTGGAAAAGGGAATATCCTCATACAAAATCTAGACAGAAGCATTCTCACAAACTTCTTTGTGATGTGTGTCCTCAACTAACAGAGTTGAACCTTTCTTTTGATGCAGCAATTTGGAAACACCCTTTTGGTAGAAACTGTAACTGGATATTTGGATAGCTCTAACGATTTCGTTGGAAACGGGAATATCATCATCTAAAATGTAGACAGAAGCAGTATTAGAAACTACTTGGTGATATCTGCATTCAAGTCACAGAGTTGAACATTCCCTTACTTTGAGCACGTTTGAAACACTCTTTTGGAAGAATCTGGAAGTGGACATTTGGAGCGCTTTGATGCCTTTGGTGAAAAGGAAACGTCTTCCAATAAAAGCCAGACAGAAGCATTCTGAGAAACTTGTTCGTGATGTGTGTACTCAACAAAAAGAGTTGAACCTTTCTATTGATAGAGCAGTTTTGAAACACTCTTTTTGTGGATTCTGCAAGTGGATATTTGGATTGCTTTGAGGATTTCGTTGGAAGCGGGAATTCGTATAAACACTAGACAGCAGCATTCCCAGAAATTTCTTTCGGATATTTCCATTCAACTCATAGAGATGAACATGGCCTTTCATAGAGCAGGTTTGAAACACTCTTTTTGTAGTTTGTGGAAGTGGACATTTCGATCGCCTTGACGCCTACGGTGAAAAAGGAAATATCTTCCCATAAAAAATAGACAGAAGCATTCTCAGAAACTTGTTGGTGATATGTGTCCTCAACTAACAGAGTTGAACTTTGCCATTGATAGAGAGCAGTTTTGAAACACTCTTTTTGTGGAATCTGTAAGTGGATATTTGGATAGCTTGGAGGATTTCGTTGGAAGCGGGAATTCAAATAAAAGGTAGACAGCAGCATTCTCAGAAATTTCTTTGTGACGTTTGCATTCAACTCATAGAGTTGAAGATTCCCTTTCATAGAGCAGGTTTGAAACACTCTTTCTGTACTATCTGGATGTGGACATTTGGAACGCTTTGATGCCTACGGTGAAAAAGAAAATATCTTCCCATAAAAGCTAGACAGAAGGATTCTGAGAAACAAGTTTGTGATGTGTGTACTCAGCTAACAGAGTGGAACCTCTCTTTTGATGCAGCAGTTTGGAAACGCTCTTTTTGTAGAAACTGTAAGTGGATATTTGGATAGTTCTAATGATTTCGTTGGAAACGGGAATATCATCATCTAAAATCTAGACAGAAGCCCTCTCAGAAACTACTTTGTGATATCTGCATTCAACTCACAGAGTTGAACATTCGGTTTCTTAGAGCACGTTTGAAACACTCTTTTCGTAGTGTCTGGAAGTGGACATTTGGAGCGCTTTGATGCCTTCGGTGAAAAAGGGAATGTCTTCCCATAAAAACTAGACAGAAGCATTCTCAGAAACTTGTTTGTGATGTGTGTACCCAGCCAAAGGAGTTGAACATTTCTATTGATAGAGCAGTTTTGAAACACTCTTTTTGTGGAAAATGCAGGTGGATATTTGGACAGCTTGGAGGATTTCGTTGGAAGCGGGAATTCAAATAAAAGGTAGACAGCAGCATTCTCAGAAATTTCTTTCTGATGTCTGCATTCAACTCATAGAGTTGAAGATTCCCTTTCATAGAGCAGGTTTGAAACACTCTTTCTGGAGTATCTCGATGTGGACATTTGGAGCGCTTTGATGCCTACGGTGAAAAAGTAAATATCTTCCCATAAAAACGAGACAGAAGGATTCTCAGAAACAAGTTTGTGATGTGTGTACTCAGCTAACTGAGTGGAACCTTTCTTTTTACAGAGCAGCTTTGAAACTCTATTTTTGTGGATTCTGCAAATTGATATTTAGATTGCTTTAACGATATCGTTGGAAAAGGGAATATCGTCATACAAAATCTGGACAGAAGCATTCTCACAAACTTCTTTGTGATGTGTGTCCTCAACTAACAGAGTTGAACCTTTCTTTTTATGCAGCAATTTGGAAACACCCTTTTGGTAGAAACTGTAACTGGATATTTGGATAGCTCTAACGATTTCGTTGGAAACGGGAATATCATCATCTAAAATCTAGACAGAAGCACTATTAGAAACTACTTGGTGATATCTGCATTCAAGTCACAGAGTAGAACATTCCCTTACTTCGAGCACGTTTGAAACACTCTTTTGGAAGAATCTGGAAGTGGACATTTGGAGCGCTTTGATGCCTTTGGTGAAAAGGAAACGTCTTCCAATAAAAGCCAGACAGAAGCATTCTGAGAAACTTGTTGGTGATGTGTGTACTCAACTAAAAGAGTTGAACCTTTCTATTGATAGAGCAGTTTTGAAACACTCTTTTTGTGGATTCTGCAAGTGGATATTTGGATTGCTTTGAGGATTTCGTTGGAAGCGGGAATTCGTATAAACACTAGACAGCAGCATTCCCAGAAATTTCTTTCGGATATTTCCATTCAACTCATAGAGATGAACATGGCCTTTCATAGAGCAGGTTTGAAACACTCTTTTTGTAGTTTGTGGAAGTGGACATTTCGATCGCCTTGACGCCTACGGTGAAAAAGGAAATATCTTCCCATAAAAAATAGACAGAAGCATTCTCAGAAACTTGTTGGTGATATGTGTCCTCAACTAACAGAGTTGAACTTTGCCATTGATAGAGAGCAGTTTTGAAACACTCTTTTTGTGGAATCTGCAAGTGGATATTTGGATAGCTTGGAGGATTTAGTTGGAAGCGGGAATTCAAATAAAAGGTAGACAGCAGGATTCTGAGAAACTAGTTTGTGATGTGTGTACTCAGCTAACAGAGTGGAACCTCTGTTTTGATGCAGCAGTTTGGAAACACTCTTTTTGTAGAAACTGTAAGTGGATATTTGGATAGCTCTAATGATTTCTTTGGAAACGGGAATATCATCATCTAAAATCTAGACAGAAGCCCTCTCAAAAACTACTTTGTGATATCTGCATTCAAGTCACAGAGTTGAACATTCGCTTTCTTAGAGCACGTTTGAAACACTCTTTTTGTAGTGTCTGGAAGTGGACATTTGGAGCGCTTTGATGCCTTTGGTGAAAAAGGGAATGTCTTCCCATAAAAACTAGACAGAAGCATTCTCAGAAACTTGTTTGTGATGTGTGTACCCAGCTAAAGGAGTTGAACATTTCCATTGATAGAGCAGTTTTGAAACACTCTTTTTGTGGAAAATGCAAGTGGATATTTGGATAGCTTGGAGGATTTCGTTGGAAGCGGGAATTCAAATAAAAGGAAAACGCCAGGATTCTCAGAAACAAGTTTGTGATGTGTGCACTCAGCTAACAGAGTGGAACCTTTCTTTTTACAGAGCAGCTTTGAAACTCTATTTTTGTGGATTCTGCAAATGGATATTTAGATTGCTTTAACGATATCGTTGGAAAAGGGAATATCGTCATACAAAATCTAGACAGAAGCTTTCTCAGAAACTTCTTTGTGATGTGTGTCCTCAACTAACAGAGTTGAACCTTTCTTTTGATGCAGCAGTTTGGAAACACTCTTTTTGTAGAAACTGTAAGTGGATATTTGGATAGGTCTAACGATTTCGTTGGAAACGGGAATATCATCATCTAAAATCTAGACAGAAGCACTATTAGAAACTACTTGGTGATATCTGCATTCAAGTCACAGAGTTGAACATTCCCTTACTTTGAGCACGTTTCAAACACTCTTTTGGAAGAATCTGGAAGTGGACATTTGGAGCGCTTTGATGCCTTTGGTGAAAAGGAAACGTCTTCCAATAAAAGCCAGACAGAAGCATTCTCAGAAACTTGTTTGTGATGTGTGTACTCAACTAAAAGAGTTGAACCTTTCTATTGATAGAGCAGTTTTGAAACACTCTTTTTGTGGATTCTGTAAGTGGATATTTGGATTGCTTTGAGGATTTCGTTGGAAGCGGGAATTCGTATAAAAACTAGACAGCAGCATTCCCAGAAATTTCTTTCGGATATTTCCATTCAACTCATAGAGATGAACATGGCCTTTCATAGAGCAGGTTTGAAACACTCTTTTTGTAGTTTGTGGAAGTGGACATTTCGATCGCCTTGACGCCTACGGTGAAAAAGGAAATATCTTCCCATAAAAAATAGACAGAAGCATTCTCAGAAACTTGTTGGTGATATGTGTCCTCAACTAACAGAGTTGAACTTTGCCATTGATAGAGAGCAGTTTTGAAACACTCTTTTTCCTGAATCTGCAAGTGGATATTTGTATAGCTTGGAGGATTTCGTTGGAAGCGGGAATTCAAATAAATGGTAGACAGCAGCATTCTCAGAAGTTTCTTTCTGATGTCTGCATTCAACTCATAGAGTTGAACATTCCCTTTCATAGAGCAGGTTTGAAACACTCTTTCTGGAGTATCTGGATGTGGACATTTGGAGCGCTTTGATGCCTACGGTGAAAAAGTAAATATCTTCCCATAAAAACGAGACAGAAGGATTCTGAGAAACAAGTTTGTGATGTGTGTACTCAGCTAACAGAGTGGAACCTCTCTTTTGATGCAGCAGTTTGGAAACACTCTTTTTGTAGAAACTGTAAGTGGATATTTGGATAGCTCTAATGATTTCGTTGGAAACGGGAATATCATCATCTAAAATCTAGACAGAAGCCCTCTCAGAAACTACTTTGTGATATCTGCATTCAAGTCACAGAGTTGAACATTCGGTTTCTTAGAGCACGTTGGAAACACTCTTTTTGTAGTGTCTGGAAGTGGACATTTGGAGCGCTTTGATGCCTTTGGTGAAAAAGGGAATGTCTTCCCATAAAAACTAGACAGAAGCATTCTCAGAAACTTGTTTGTGATGTGTGTACCCAGCCAAAGGAGTTGAACATTTCTATTGATAGAGCAGTTTTGAAACACTCTTTTTGTGGAAAATGCAAGTGGATATTTGGATAGCTTGGAGGATTTCGTTGGAAGCGGGAATTCAAATAAAAGGTAGACAGCAGCATTCTCAGAAATTTCTTTCTGATGTCTGCATTCAACTCATAGAGTTGAAGATTCCCTTTCATAGAGCAGGTTTGAAACACTCGTTCTGGAGTATCTGGATGTGGACATTTGGAGTGCTTTGATGCCTACGGTGGAAAAGTAAATATCTTCCCATAAAAACGAGACAGAAGGATTCTGAGAAACAAGTTTGTGATGTGTGTACTCAGCTAACAGAGTGGAACCTTTCTTTTTACAGAGCAGCTTTGAAACTCTATTTTTGTGGATTCTGCAAATTGATATTTAGATTGCTTTAACGATATCGTTGGAAAAGGGAATATGGTCATACAAAATCTAGACAGAAGCATTCTCACAAACTTCTTTGTGATGTGTGTCCTCAACTAACAGAGTTGAACCTTTCTTTTGATGCAGCAGTTTGGAAACACTGTTTTTGTAGCAACTGTAAGTGGATATTTGGATAGCTCTAACGATTTCGTTGGAAACGGGAATATCATCATCTAAAATCTAGACAGAAGCACTATTAGAAACTACTTGGTGATATCTGCATTCAAGTCACAGAGATGAACATTCCCTTACTTCGAGCACGTTTGAAACACTCTTTTGGAAGAATCTGGAAGTGGACATTTGGAGCGCTTTGATGCCTTTGGTGAAAAGGAAACGTCTTCCAATAAAAGCCAGACAGAAGCATTCTCAGAAACTTGTTCGTGATGTGTGTACTCAACTAAAAGAGTTGAACCTTTCTATTGATAGAGCAGTTTTGAAACACTCTTTTTGTGGATTCTGCAAGTGGATATTTGGATTGCTTTGAGGATTTCGTTGGAAGCGGGAATTCGTATAAACACTAGACAGCAGCATTCCCAGAAATTTCTTTCGGATATTTCCATTCGACTCATAGAGATGAACATGGCCTTTCATAGAGCAGGTTTGAAACACTCTTTTTGTAGTTTGTGGAAGTGGACATTTCAGATCGCCTTGACGCCTACGGTGAAAAAGGAAATATCTTCCCATAAAAAATAGACAGAAGCATTCTCAGAAACTTGTTGGTGATATGTGTCCTCAACTAACAGAGTTGAACTTTGCCATTGATAGAGACCAGTTTTGAAACACTCTTTTTGTGGAATCTGCAAGTGGATATTTGGATAGCTTGGAGGATTTCGTTGGAAGCGGGAATTCAAATAAAAGGTAGACAGCAGCATTCTCAGAAATTTCTTTCTGATGTCTGCATTCAACTCATAGAGTTGAACATTCCCTTTCATAGAGCAGGTTTGAAACACTCTTTCTGGAGTATCTGGATGTGGACATTTGGAGCGCTTTGATGCCTACGGTGAAAAAGTAAATATCTTCCCATAAAAACGAGACAGAAGGATTCTGAGAAACAAGTTTGTGATGTGTGTACTCAACTAACAGAGTGGAACCTCTCTTTTGATGCAGCAGTTTGGAAACACTCTTTTTGTAGAAACTGTAAGTGGATATTTGGATAGCTGTAATGATTTCGTTGGAAACGGGAATATCATCATCTAAAATCTAGACAGAAAGCCCTCTCAGAAACTACTTTGTGATATCTGCATTCAAGTCACAGAGTTGAACATTCGCTTTCTTAGAGCACGTTTGAAACACTCTTTTTGTAGTGTCTGGAAGTGGACATTTGGAGCGCTTTGATGCCTTTGGTGAAAAAGGGAATGTCTTCCCATAAAAACTAGACAGAAGCATTCTCAGAAACTTGTTTGTGATGTGTGCACCCAGCCAAAGGAGTTGAACATTTATTGATAGAGCAGTTTTGAAGCACTCTTTTTGTGGAAAATGCAAGTGGATATTTGGATAGCTTGGAGGATTTCGTTGGAAGCGGGAGTTCAAATAAAAGGTAGACAGCAGCATTCTCAGAAATTTCTTTCTGATGTCTGCATTCAACTCATAGAGTTGAAGATTCCCTTTCATAGAGCAGGTTTGAAACACTCTTTCTGGAGTATCTGGATGTGGACATTTGGAGCGCTTTGATGCCTACAGTGAAAAAGTAAATATCTTCCCAGAAAAACGAGACAGAAGGATTCTCAGAAACAAGTTTGTGATGTGTGTACTCAGCTAACAGAGTGGAACCTTTCTTTTTACAGAGCAGCTTTGAAACTCTATTTTTGTGGATTCTGCAAATGGATATTTAGATTGCTTTAATGATATCGTTGGAAAAGGGAATATCGTCATACAAAATCTGGACAGAAGCATTCTCACAAACTTCTTTGTGATGTGTGTCCTCAGCTAACAGAGTGGAACCTCTCTTTTGATGCAGCAGTTTGGAAACACTCTTTTTGTAGAAACTGTAAGTGGATATTTGGATAGCTCTAATGATTTCGTTGGAAACGGGAATATCATCATCTAAAATCTAGACAGAAGCACTATTAGAAACTACTTGGTGATATCTGCATTCAAGTCACAGAGTAGAACATTCCCTTACTTCGAGCACGTTTGAAACACTCTTTTGGAAGAATCTGGAAGTGGACATTTGGAGCGCTTTGATGCCTTTGGTGAAAAGGAAACGTCTTCCAATAAAAGCCAGACAGAAGCATTCTCAGAAACTTCTTCGTGATGTGTGTACTCAACTAAAAGAGTTGAACCTTTCTATTGATAGCGCAGTTTTGAAACACTCTTTTTGTGGATTCTGCAAGTGGATATTTGGATTGCTTTGAGGATTTCGTTGGAAGCGGGAATTCATATAAAAACTAGACAGCAGCATTCCCAGAAATTTCTTTCGGATATTTCCATTCAACTCATTGAGATGAACATCGCCTTTCATAGAGCAGGTTTGAAACACTCTTTTTGTAGTTTGTGGAAGTGGACATTTCGATCGCCTTGATGCCTACAGTGAAAAAGGAAATATCTTCCCATAAAAAATAGACAGAAGCATTCTCAGAAACTTGTTGGTGATATGTGTCCTCAACTAACAGAGTTGAACTTTGCCATTGATAGAGAGCAGTTTTGAAACACTCTTTTTGTGGAATCTGCAAGTGGATATTTGGATAGCTTGGAGGATTTCGTTGGAAGCGGGAATTCAAATAAAAGGTAGACAGCAGGATTCTGAGAAACAAGTTTGTGATGTGTGTACTCAGCTAACAGAGTGGAACCTCTCTTTTGATGCAGCAGTTTGGAAACACTCTTTTTGTAGAAACTGTAAGTGGATATTTGGATAGCTCTAATGATTTCGTTGGAAACGGGAATATCATCATCTAAAATCTAGACAGAAGCCCTCTCAGAAACTACTTTGTGATATCTGCATTCAAGTCACAGAGTTGAACATTCGCTTTCTTAGAGTACGTTGGAAACACTCTTTTTGTAGTGTCTGGAAGTGGACATTTGGAGCGCTTTGATGCCTTTGGTGAAAAAGGGAATGTCTTCCCATAAAAACTAGACAGAAGCATTCTCAGAAACTTGTTTGTGATGTGTGTACCCAGCCAAAGGAGTTGAACATTTCTATTGATAGAGCAGTTTTGAAACACTCTTTTTGTGGAAAATGCAGGTGGATATTTGGATAGCTTGGAGGATTTCCGTTGGAAGCGGGAATTCAAATAAAAGGTAGACAGCGGATTCTGAGAAACAAGTTTGTGATGTGTGTACTCAGCTAACAGAGTGGAACCTTTCTTTTTACAGAGCAGCTTTGAAACTCTATTTTTGTGGATTCTGCAAATGGATATTTAGATTGCTTTAACGATATCGTTGGAAAAGGGAATATCGTCATACAAAATCTAGACAGAAGCATTCTCACAAACTTCTTTGTGATGTGTGTCCTCAACTAACAGAGTTGAACCTTTCTTTTGATGCAGCAGTTTGGAAACACTCTTTTTGTAGAAACTGTAAGTGGATATTTGGATAGCTCTAACGATTTCGTTGGAAACGGGCATATCATCATCTAAAATCTAGACAGAAGCACTATTAGAAACTACTTGGTGATATCTGCATTCAAGTCACAGAGTTGAACATTCCCTTACTTTGAGCACGTTTGAAACACTCTTTTGGAAGAATCTGGAAGTGGACATTTGGAGCACTGTGATGCCTTTGGTGAAAAGGAAACGTCTTCCAATAAAAGCCAGACAGAAGCATTCTCAGAAACTTGTTCGTGATGTGTGTACTCAACTAAAAGAGTTGAACCTTTCTATTGATAGAGCAGTTTTGAAACACTCTTTTTGTGGATTCTGCAAGTGGATATTTGGATTGCTTTGAGGATTTCGTTGGAAGCGGGAATTCGTATAAACACTAGACAGCAGCATTCCCAGAAATTTCTTTCGGATATTTCCATTCAACTCATAGAGATGAACATGGCCTTTCATAGAGCAGGTTTGAAACACTCTTTTTGTAGTTTGTGGAAGTGGACATTTCGATCGCCTTGACGCCTACGCTGAAAAAGGAAATATCTTCCCATACAAAATAGACAGAAGCATTCTCAGAAACTTGTTGGTGATATGTGTCCTCAACTAACAGAGTTGAACTTTGCCATTGATAGAGAGCAGTTTTGAAACACTCTTTTTGTGGAATCTGCAAGTGGATATTTGGATAGCTTGGCAGGATTTCGTTGGAAGCGGGAATTCAAATAAAAGGTAGACAGCAGCATTCTCAGAAATTACTTTCTGATGTCTGCATTCAACTCGTAGAGTTGAGGATTCCCTTTCATAGAGCAGGTTTGAAACACTCTTTCTGTAGTATCTGGATGTGGACATTTGGAGCGCTTTGATACCTACAGTGAAAAAGTAAATATCTTCCCATAAAAACTAGACAGAAGGATTCTCAGAAACAAGTTTGTGATGTGTGTACTCAGCTAACAGAGTGGATCCTTTCTTTTTACAGAGCAGCTTTGAAACTCTATTTCTGTGGATTCTGCAAATTGATATTTGGGTTGATTTAACGACATCGTTGGAAAAGGGAATATCTTCATACAAAATCTAGACAGAAGCCCTCTCAGAAACTACTTTGTGATATCTGCACTCAAGTCACAGAGTTGAACATTCGCTTTCTTAGAGCACGTTGGAAACACTCTTTTTGTAGTGTCTGGAAGTGGACATTTGGAGCGCTTTGATGCCTTTGGTGAAAAAGGGAATGTCTTCCCATAAAAACTAGACAGAAAGCATTCTCAGAAACTTGTTTGTGATGTGTGTACCCAGCTAAAGGAGTTGAACATTTCTATTGATAGAGCAGTTTTGAAACACTCTTTTTGTGGAAAATGCAAGTGGATATTTGGATAGCTTGGAGGATTTCGTTGGAAGCGGGAATTCAAATAAAAGGTAGACAGAGCATTCTCAGAAATTTCTTTCTGATGTCTGCATTCAACTCATAGAGTTGAAGATTCCCTTTCATAGAGCAGGTTTGAAACACTCTTTCTGGAGTATCTGGATGTGGACATTTGGAGCACTTTGATGCCTACGGTGAAAAAGTAAATATCTTCCCATAAAAACGAGACAGAAGGATTCTCAGAAACAAGTTTGTGATGTGTGTACTCAGCTAACAGAGTGGAACCTTTCTTTTTACAGAGCAGCTTTGAAACTCTATTTTTGTGGATTCTGCAAATGGATATTTAGATTGCTTTAATGATATCGCTGGAAAAGGGAATATGGTCATACAAAATCTAGACAGAAGCATTCTCACAAACTTCTTTGTGATGTGTGTCCTCAACTAACAGAGTTGAACCTTTCTTTTGATGCAGCAATTTGGAAACACCCTTTTGGTAGAAACTGTAACTGGATATTTGGATAGCTCTAACGATTTCGTTGGAAACGGGAATATCATCATCTAAA
Organism: Homo sapiens; assembly: GCF_000001405.40. NCBI lineage: Eukaryota > Metazoa > Chordata > Mammalia > Primates > Hominidae > Homo > Homo sapiens. The sequence continues at coordinate 12,671,540 of NC_000021.9, forward strand.
ATCTAGACAGAAGCACTATTAGAAACTACTTGGTGATATCTGCATTCAAGACACAGAGTTGAACATTCCCTTACTTTGAGCACGTTTGAAACACTCTTTTGGAAGAATCTGGAAGTGGACATTTGGAGCGCTTTGATGCCTTTGGTGAAAAGGAAACGTCTTCCAATAAAAGACAGACAGAAGCATTCTCAGAAACTTGTTTGTGATGTGTGTACTCAACTAAAAGAGTTGAACCTTTCTATTGATAGAGCAGTTTTGAAACACTCTTTTTGTGGATTCTGCAAGTGGATATTTGGATTGCTTTGAGGATTTCGTTGGAAGCGGGAATTCGTATAAAAACTAGACAGCAGCATTCCCAGAAATTTCTTTCGGATATTTCCATTTGACTCATAGAGATGAACATGGCCTTTCATAGAGCAGGTTTGAAACACTCTTTTTGTAGTTTGTGGAAGTGGACATTTCGATCGCCTTGACGCCTACGGTGAAAAAGGAAATATCTTCCCATAAAAAATAGACAGAAGCATTCTCAGAAACTTGTTGGTGATATGTGTCCTCAACTAACAGAGTTGAACTTTGCCATTGATAGAGAGCAGTTTTGAAACACTCTTTTTGTGGAATCTGCAAGTGGATATTTGGATAGCTTGGAGGATTTCGTTGGAAGCGGGAATTCAAATAAAAGGTAGACAGCAGCATTCTCAGAAATTTCTTTCTGATGTCTGCATTCAACTCATAGAGTTGAAGATTCCCTTTCATAGAGCAGGTTTGAAACACTCTTTCTGGAGTATCTGGATGTGGACATTTGGAGAGCTTTGATGCCTACTGTGAAAAAGTAAATATCTTCCCATAAAAACGAGACAGAAGGATTCTGAGAAACAAGTTTGTGATGTGTGTACTCAGCTAACAGAGTGGAACCTCTCTTTTGATGCAGCAGTTTGGAAACACTCTTTTTGTAGAAACTGTAAGTGGATATTTGGATAGCTCTAATGATTTCGTTGGAAACGGGAATATCATCATCTAAAATCTAGACAGAAGCACTCTCAGAAACTACTTTGTGATATCTGCATTCAAGTCACAGAGTTGAACATTCCCTTTCTTAGAGCACGTTTGAAACACTCTTTTTGTAGTGTCTGGAAGTGGACATTTGGAGCGCTTTGATTCCTTTGGTGAAAAAGGGAATGTCTACCCATAAAAACTAGACAGAAGCATTCTCAGAAACTTGTTGGTGATATGTGTCCTCAACTAACAGAGTTGAACTTTGCCATTGATAGAGAGCAGTTTTGAAACACTCTTTTTGTGGAATCTGCAAGTGGATATTTGGATAGCTTGGAGGATTTCGTTGTAAGCGGGAATTCAAATAAAAGGTAGACAGCAGCATTCTCAGAAATTTCTTTCTGATGTCTGCATTCAACTCATAGAGTTGAAGATTCCCTTTCATAGAGCAGGTTTGAAACACCCTTTCTGGAGTATCTGGATGTGGACATTTGGAGCGCTTTGATGCCTACGGTGAAAAAGTAAATATCTTCCCATAAAAACGAGACAGAAGGATTCTCAGAAACAAGTTTGTGATGTGTGTACTCAGCTAACAGAGTGGAACCTTTCTTTTTACAGAGCAGCTTTGAAACTCTATTTTTGTGGATTCTGCAAATGGATATTTAGATTGCTTTAACGATATCGTTGGAAAAGGGAATATCGTCATACAAAATCTAGACAGAAGCATTCTCACAAACTTCTTTGTGATGTGTGTCCTCAACTAACAGAGTTGAACCTTTCTTTTGATGCAGCAGTTTGGAAACACTCTTTTTGTAGAAACTGTAAGTGGATATTTGGATAGCTCTAACGATTTCGTTGGAAACGGGAATATCATCATCTAAAATCTAGACATAAGCACTATTAGAAACTACTTGGTGATATCTGCATTCAAGTCACAGAGTTGAACATTCCCTTACTTCGACCACGTTTGAAACACTCTTTTGGAAGAATCTGGAAGTGGACATTTGGAGCGCTTTGATGCCTTTGGTGAAAAGGAAACGTCTTCCAATAAAAGCCAGAGAGAAGCATTCTCAGAAACTTGGTCGTGATGTGTGTACTCAACTAAAAGAGTTGAACCTTTCTATTGATAGAGCAGTTTTGAAACACTCTTTTTGTGGATTCTGCAAGTGGATATTTGGATTGCTTTGAGGATTTCGTTGCAAGCGGGAATTCGTATAAACACTAGACAGCAGCATTCCCAGAAATTTCTTTCGGATATTTCCATTCGACTCATAGAGATGAACATGGCCTTTCATAGAGCAGGTTTGAAACACTCTTTTTGTAGTTTGTGGAAGTGGACATTTCGATTGCCTTGACGCCTACGGTGAAAAAGGAAATATCTTCCCATAAAAAATAGACAGAAGCATTCTCAGAAACTTGTTGGTGATATGTGTCCTCAACTAACAGAGTTGAACTTTGCCATTGATAGAGAGCAGTTTTGAAACACTCTTTTTGTGGAATCTGCAAGTGGATATTTGGATAGCTTGGAGGATTTCGTTGGAAGCGGGAATTCAAATAAAAGGTAGACAGCAGCATTCTCAGAAATTTCTTTCTGATGTCTGCATTCAACTCATAGAGTTGAAGATTCCCTTTCATAGAGCAGGTTTGAAACACTCGTTCTGGAGTATCTGGATGTGGACATTTGGAGCGCTTTGATGCCTACGGTGAAAAAGTAAATATCTTCCCATAAAAACGAGACAGAAGGATTCTGAGAAACAAGTTTGTGATGTGTGTACTCAGCTAACAGAGTGGAACCTCTCTTTTGATGCAGCAGTTTGGAAACACTCTTTTTGTAGAAACTGTAAGTGGATATTTGGATAGCTCTAATGATTTCGTTGGAAACGGGAATATCATCATCTAAAATCTAGACAGAAGGACTCTCAAGAAACTACTTTTTGATATCTGCATTCAAGTCACAGAGTTGAACATTCGCTTTCTTAGAGCACTTTTGAAACACTCTATTTGTCGTATCTGGAAGTGGACATTTGGAGCTCTTTGATGCCTTTGGTGAAAAAGGAAATGTCTTCCCATAAAAACTAGACAGAAGCATTCTCAGAAACTTGTTTGTGATGTGTGCACCCAGCTAAAGGAGTTGAACATTTATTGATAGAGCAGTTTTGAAGCACTCTTTTTGTGGAAAATGCAAGTGGATATTTGGATAGCTTGGAGGATTTCGTTGGAAGCGGGAGTTCAAATAAAAGGTAGACAGCAGCATTCTCAGAAATTTCTTTCTGATGTCTGCATTCAACTCATAGAGTTGAAGATTCCCTTTCATAGAGTAGGTTTGAAACACTCGTTCCGGAGTATCTGGATGTGGACATTTGGAGCGCTTTGATGCCTACGGTGGAAAAGTAAATATCTTCCCATAAAAACGAGACAGAAGGATTCTGAGTAAACAAGTTTGTGATGTGTGTACTCAGCTAACAGAGTGGAACCTTTCTTTTTACAGAGCAGCTTTGAAACTCTATTTTTGTGGATTCTGCAAATGGATATTTAGATTGCTTTAATGATATCGCTGGAAAAGGGAATATGGTCATACAAAATCTAGACAGAAGCATTCTCACAAACTTCTTTGTGATGTGTGTCCTCAACTAACAGAGTTGAACCTTTCTTTTGATGCAGCAGTTTGGAAACACTCTTTTTGTAGAAACTGTAACTGGATATTTGGATAGCTCTAACGATTTCGTTGGAAACGGGAATATCATCATCTAAAATCTAGACAGAAGCACTATTAGAAACTACTTGGTGATATCTGCATTCAAGTCACAGAGTTGAACATTCCCTTACTTTGAGCACGTTTGAAACACTCTTTTGGAAGAATCTGGAAGTGGACATTTGGAGCGCTTTGATGCCTTTGGTGAAAAGGAAACGTCTTCCAATAAAAGCCAGACAGAAGCATTCTCAGAAACTTGTTTGTGATGTGTGTACTCAACTAAAAGAGTTGAACCTTTCCATTGATAGAGCAGTTTTGAAACACTCTTTTTGTGGATTCTGCAAGTGGATATTTGGATTGCTTTGAGGATTTCGTTGGAAGCGGGAATTCGTATAAAAACTAGACAGCAGCATTCCCAGAAATTTCTTTCAGATATTTCCATTCAACTCATAGAGATGAACATGGCCTTTCATAGAGCAGGTTTGAAACACTCTTTTTGTAGTTTGTGGAAGTGGACATTTCGATCGCCTTGACGCCTACGGTGAAAAAGGAAATATCTTCCCATAAAAAATAGACAGAAGCATTCTCAGAAACTTGTTGGTGATATGTGTCCTCAACTAACAGAGTTGAACTTTGCCATTGATAGAGAGCAGTTTTGAAACACTCTTTTTGTGGAATCTGCAAGTGGATATTTGGATAGCTTGGAGGATTTCGTTGGAAGCGGGAATTCAAATAAAAGGTAGACAGCAGCATTCTCAGAAATTTCTTTCTGATCTCTGCATTCAACTCATAGAGTTGAACATTCCCTTTCATAGGGCAGGTTTGAAATACTCTTTCTGTAGTATCTGGATGAGGACATTTGGAGCGCTTTGATGCCTACGGTGAAAAAGTAAATATCTTCCCATAAAAACGAGACAGAAGGATTCTGAGAAACAAGTTTGTGATGTGTGTACTCAGCTAACAGAGTGGAACCTCTCTTTTGATGCAGCAGTTTGGAAACACTCTTTTTGCAGAAACTGTAAGTGGATATTTGGATAGCTCTAATGATTTCGTTGGAAACGGGAATATCATCATCTAAAATCTAGGCAGAAAGCCCTCTCAGAAACTACTTTGTGATATCTGCATTCAAGTCACAGAGTTGAACATTCGCTTTCTTAGAGCACGTTTGAAACACTCTTTTTGTAGTGTCTGGAAGTGGACATTTGGAGCGCTTTGATGCCTTTGGTGAAAAAGGGAACGTCTTCCCATAAAAACTAGACAGAAGCATTCTCAGAAACTTGTTTGTGATGTGTGTACCCAGCTAAAGGAGTTGAACATTTCTATTGATAGAGCAGTTTTGAAACACTCTTTTTGTGGAAAATGCAAGTGGATATTTGGATAGCTTGGAGGATTTCGTTGGAAGCGGGAATTCAAATAAAAGGTAGACAGCAGCATTCTCAGAAATTTCTTTCTGATGTCTGCATTCAACTCATAGAGTTGAAGATTCCCTTTCATAGAGCAGGTTTGAAACACTCGTTCTGGAGTGTCTGGATGTGGACATTTGGAGCGCTTTGATGCCTATGGTGGAAAAGTAAATATCTTCCCATAAAAACGAGACAGAAGGATTCTCAGAAACAAGTTTGTGATGTGTGTACTCAGCTACCAGAGTGGAACCTTTCTTTTTACAGAGCAGCTTTGAAACTCTATTTTTGTGGATTCTGCAAATTGATATTTAGATTGCTTTAACGATATCGTTGGAAAAGGGAATATCGTCATACAAAATCTAGACAGAAGCATTCTCACAAACTTCTTTGTGACGTGTGTCCTCAACTAACAGAGTTGAACCTTTCTTTTGATGCAGCAGTTTGGAAACACTGTTTTTGTAGCAACTGTAAGTGGATATTTGGATAGCTCTAACGATTTCGTTGGAAACGGGAATATCATCATCTAAAATCTAGACAGAAGCACTATTAGAAACTACTTGGTGATATCTGCATTCAAGTCACAGAGTTGAACATTCCCTTACTTTGAGCACGTTTGAAACACTCTTTTGGAAGAATCTGGAAGTGGACATTTGGAGCGCTTTGATGCCTTTGGTGAAAAGGAAACGTCTTCCAATAAAAGCCAGACAGAAGCATTCTCAGAAACTTGTTCGTGATGTGTGTACTCAACTAAAAGAGTTGAACCTTTCTATTGATAGAGCAGTTTAGAAACACTCTTTTTGTGGATTCTGCAAGTGGATATTTGGATTGCTTTGAGGATTTCGTTGGAAGCGGGAATTCGTATAAACACTAGACAGCAGCATTCCCAGAAATTTCTTTCGGATATTTCCATTCGACTCATAGAGATGAACATGGCCTTTCATAGAGCAGGTTTGAAACACTCTTTTTGTAGTTTGTGGAAGTGGACATTTCGATCGCCTTGACGCCTACGGTGAAAAAGGAAATATCTTCCCATAAAAAATAGACAGAAGCATTCTCAGAAACTTGTTGGTGATATGTGTCCTCAACTAACAGAGTTGAACTTTGCCATTGATAGAGAGCAGTTTTGAAACACTCTTTTTGTGGAATCTGCAAGTGGATATTTGGATAGCTTGGAGGATTTCGTTGGAATCGGGAATTCAAATAAAAGGTAGACAGCAGCATTCTCAGAAATTTCTTTGTGATGTTTGCATTCAACTCATAGAGTTGAACATTCCCTTTAATAGAGTAGGTTTGAAACACTCTTTCTGTACTATCTGGATGTGGACATTTGGAGCGCTTTGACGCCTACGGTGAAAAAGGAAATGTCTTCCCATAAAAAATTGAAGAAGGATTCTCAGAAACAGGTTTGTGATGTGTGTACTCAGCTAACAGAGTGGAACCTCTCTTTTGATGCAGCAGTTTGGAAACACTCTTTTTGTAGAAACTGTAAGTGGATATTTGGATAGCTCTAATGATTTCGTTGGAAACGGGAATATCATCATCTAAAATCTAGACAGAAGCACTCTCAGAAACTACTTTGTGATATCTGCATTCAAGTCACAGAGTTGAACATTCGCTTTCTTAGAGCACTTTTGAAACACCCTTTTTGTCGTATCTGGAAGTGGACATTTGGAGCTCTTTGATGCCTTTGGTGAAAAAGGAGATGTCTTCCCATAAAAACTAGACAGAAGCATTCTCAGAAACTTGTTTGTGATGTGTGTACCCAGCCAAAGGAGTTGAACATTTCTATTGATAGAGCAGTTTTGAAACACTCTTTTTGTGGAAAATGCAGGTGGATATTTGGATAGCTTGGAGGATTTCGTTGGAAGCGGGAATTCAAATAAAAGTTAGACAGCAGCATTCTCAGAAATTTCTTTCTGATGTCTGCATTCAACTCATAGAGTTGAACATTCCCTTTCATAGGACAGGTTTGAAATACTCTTTCTGTAGTATCTGGATGTGGACATTTGGAGCGCTTTGATGCCTACAGTGAAAAAGTAAATATCTTCCCATAAAAACGAGACAGAAGGATTCTCAGAAACAAGTTTGTGATGTGTGTACTCAGCTAACAGAGTGGAACCTTTCTTTTTACAGAGCAGCTTTGAAACTCTATTTTTGTGGATTCTGCAAATTGATATTTAGATTGCTTTAACGATATCGTTGGAAAAGGGAATATCGTCATACAAAATCTGGACAGAAGCATTCTCACAAACAGCTTTGTGAAGTGTGTCCTCAACTAACAGAGTTGAACCTTTCTTTTGATGCAGCAGTTTGGAAACACCCTTTTGGTAGAAACTGTAAGTGGATATTTGGATAGCTCTAACGATTTCGTTGGAAACGGGAATACCATCATCTAAAATCTAGACAGAAGCACTATTAGAAACTACTTGGTGATATCTGCATTCAAGTCACAGAGTTGAACATTCCCTTACTTCGAGCACGTTTGAAACACTCTTTTGGAAGAATCTGGAAGTGGACATTTGGAGCGCTTTGATGCCTTTGGTGAAAAGGAAACGTCTTCCAATAAAAGCCAGACAGAAGCATTCTCAGAAACTTGTTTGAGATGTGTGTACTCAACTAAAAGAGTTGAACCTTTCTATTGATAGAGCAGTTTTGAAACACTCTTTTTGTGGATTCTGCAAGTGGATATTTGGATTGCTTTGAGGATTTCGTTGGAAGCGGGAATTCGTATAACAACTAGACAGCAGCATTCCCAGAAATTTCTTTCGGATATTTCCATTCAACTCATAGAGATGAACATGGCCTTTCATAGAGCAGGTTTGAAACACTCTTTTTGTAGTTTGTGGAAGTGGACATTTCGATCGCCTTGACGCCTACGGTGAAAAAGGAAATATCTTCCCCATAAAAAATAGACAGAAGCATTCTCAGAAACTTGTTGGTGATATGTGTCCTCAACTAACAGAGTTGAACTTTGCCATTGATAGAGAGCAGTTTTGAAACACTCTTTTTGTGGAGTTTGCAAGTGGATATTTGGATAGCTTGGAGGATTTCGTTGGAAGCGGGAATTCAAATTAAAGGTAGACAGCAGCATTCTCAGAAATTTCTTTCTGATGTCTGCATTCAACTCATAGAGTTGAACATTCCCTTTCATAGAGCAGGTTTGAAACACTCTTTCTGGAGTATCTGGATGTGGACATTTGGAGCGCTTTGATGCCTACGGTGAAAAAGTAAATATCTTCCCATAAAAACGAGACAGAAGGATTCTGAGAAACAAGTTTGTGATGTGTGTACTCAGCTAACAGAGTGGAACCTCTCTTTTGATGCAGCAGTTTGGAAAAACTCTTTTTGTAGAAACTGTAAGTGGATATTTGGATAGCTCTAATGATTTCGTTGGAAACGGGAATATCATCATCTAAATCTAGACAGAAGCACTCTCAGAAACTACTTTGTGATATCTGCATTCAAGTCACAGAGTTGAACATTCGCTTTCTTAGAGCACGTTTGAAACACTCTTTTTGTAGTGTCTGGAAGTGGACATTTGGAGCGCTTTGATTCCTTTGGTGAAAAAGGGAATGTCTACCCATAAAAACTAGACAGAAGCATTCTCAGAAACTTGTTTGTGATGTGTGTACCCAGCCAAAGGAGTTGAACATTTCTATTGATAGAGCAGTTTTGAAACACTCTTGTTGTGGAAAATGCAGGTGGATATTTGGATAGCTTGGAGGATTTCGTTGGAAGCGGGAAATCAAATAAAAGGTAGACAGCAGCATTCTCAGAAATTTCTTTCTGATGTCTGCATTCAACTCATAGAGTTGAAGATTCCCTTTCATAGAGCAGGTTTGAAACACTCGTTCTGGAGTATCTGGATGTGGACATTTGGAGCGCTTTGATGCCTACGGTGGAAAAGTAAATATCTTCCCATAAAAACGAGACAGAAAGGATTCTCAGAAACAAGTTTGTGATGTGTGTACTCAGCTAACAGAGTGGAACCTTTCTTTTTACACAGCAGCTTTGAAACTCTATTTTTGTGGATTCTGCAAATTGATATTTAGATTGTTTTAACGATATCGTTGGAAAAGGGAATACCGTCATACAAAATCTAGACAGAAGCATTCTCACAAACTTCTTTGTGATGTGTGTCCTCAACTAACAGAGTTGAACTTTTCTTTTGATGCAGCAGTTTGGAAACACTCTTTTTGTAGAAACTGTAAGTGGATATTTGGATAGCTCTAACGATTTCGTTGGAAACGGGAATATCATCATCTAAAATCTAGACAGAAGCACTATTAGAAACTACTTTGTGATATCTGCATTCAAGTCACAGAGTTGAACATTCGCTTTCTTAGAGCACGTTTGAAACACTCTTTTGGAAGAATCTGGAAGTGGACATTTGGAGCGCTTTGATGCCTTTGGTGAAAAGGAAACGTCTTCCAATAAAAGCCAGACAGAAGCATTCTCAGAAACTTGTTCGTGATGTGTGTACTCAACTAAAAGAGTTGAACCTTTCTATTGATGGAGCAGTTTTGAAACACTCTTTTTGTGGATTCTGCAAGTGGATATGTGGATTGCTTTGAGGATTTCGTTGGAAGCGGGAATTCGTATAACAACTAGACAGCAGCATTCCCAGAAATTTCTTTCGGATATTTCCATTCAACTCATAGAGATGAACATGGCCTTTCATAGAGCAGGTTTGAAACACTCTTTTTGTAGTTTGTGGAAGTGGACATTTCGATCGCCTTGACGCCTAAGGTGAAAAAGGAAATATCTTCCCATAAAAAATAGACAGAAGCATTCTCAGAAACTTGTTGGTGATATGTGTCCTCAACTAACAGAGTTGAACTTTGCCATTGATAGAGAGCAGTTTTGAAACACTCTTTTTGTGGAATCTGCAAGTGGATATTTGGATAGCTTGGAGGATTTCGTTGGAAGCGGGAATTCAAATAAAAGGTAGACAGCAGCATTCTCAGAAATTTCTTTCTGATGTCTGCATTCAACTCATAGAGTTGAACATTCCCTTTCATAGAGCAGGTTTGAAACACTCTTTCTGGAGTTTCTGGATGTGGACATTTGGAGCGCTTTGATGCCTACGGTGAAAAAGTAAATATCTTCCCATAAAAACGAGACAGAAGGAATCTGAGAAACAAGTTTGTGATGTGTGTACTCAGCTAACAGAGTGGAACCTCTCTTTTGATGCAGCAGTTTGGCAACACTCTTTTTGTAGAAACTGTAAGTGGATATTTGGATAGCTCTAATGATTTCGTTGGAAACGGGAATATCATCATCTAAAATCTAGACAGAAGCCCTCTCAGAAACTACTTTGTGATATCTGCATTCAAGTCACAGAGTTGAACATTCGCTTTCTTAGAGCACGTTTGAAACACTCTTTTTGTAGTGTCTGGAAGTGGACATTTGGAGCGCTTTGATGCCTTTGGTGAAAAAGGGAACGTCTTCCCATAAAAACTAGACAGAAGCATTCTCAGAAAGTTGTTTGTGATGTGTGTACCCAGCTAAAGGAGTTGAACATTTCTATTGATAGAGTAGTTTTGAAACACTCTTTTTGTGGAAAATGCAAGTGGATATTTGGATAGCTTGGAGGATTTCGTTGGAAGCGGGAATTCAAATAAAAGGTAGACAGCAGCATTCTCAGAAATTTCTTTCTGATGTCTGCATTCAACTCATAGAGTTGAAGATTCCCTTTCATAGAGCAGGTTTGAAACACTCTTTCTGGAGTATCTGGATGTGTACATTTGGAGCGCTTTGATGCCTACGGTGAAAAAGTAAATATCTTCCCAGAAAAACGAGACAGACAAGGATTCTGAGAAACAAGTTTGTGATGTGTGTACTCAGCTAACAGAGTGGAACCTTTCTTTTTACAGAGCAGCTTTGAAACTCTATTTTTGTGGATTCTGCAAATGGATATTTAGATTGCTTTAATGATATCGTTGGAAAAGGGAATATCGTCATACAAAATCTAGACAGAAGCATTCTCACAAACTTCTTTGTGATGTGTGTCCTCAACTAACAGAGTTGAACCTTTCTTTTGATGCAGCAATTTGGAAACACCCTTTTGGTAGAAACTGTAACTGGATATTTGCTTAGCTCTAACGATTTCGTTGGAAACGGGAATATCATCATCTAAAATCTAGACAGAAGCACTATTAGAAACTACTTGGTGATATCTGCATTCAAGTCACATAGTAGAACATTCCCTTACTTCGAGCACGTTTGAAACACTCTTTTGGAAGAATCTGGAAGTGGACATTTGGAGCGCTTTGATGCCTTTGGTGAAAAGGAAACGTCTTCCAATAAAAGCCAGACAGAAGCATTCTCAGAAACTTGTTCGTGATGTGTGTACTCAACTAAAAGAGTTGAACCTTTCTATTGATAGAGCAGTTTTGAAACCCTCTTTTTGTGGATTCTGCAAGTGGATATTTGGATTGCTTTGAGGATTTCGTTGGAAGCGGGAATTCGTATAAACACTAGACAGCAGCATTCCCAGAAATTTCTTTCGGATATTTCCATTCAACTCATAGAGATGAACATGGCCTTTCATATTGAAACACTCTTTTTGTAGTTTGTGGAAGTGGACATTTCGATCGCCTTGACGCCTACGGTGAAAAAGGAAATATCTTCCCATAAAAAATAGACAGAAGCATTCTCAGAAACTTGTTGGTGATATGTGTCCTCAACTAACAGAGTTGAACTTTGCCATTGATAGAGAGCAGTTATGAAACACTCTTTTTGTGGAATCTGCAAGTGGATATTTGGATAGCTTGGAGGATTTCGTTGGAAGCGGGAATTCAAATAAAAGGTAGACAGCAGCATTCTCAGAAATTTCTTTCTGATGTCTGCATTCAACTCATAGAGTTGAACATTCCCTTTCATAGAGCAGGTTTGAAACACTCTTTCTGGAGTATCTGGATGTGGACATTTGGAGCGCTTTGATGCCTACGGTGAAAAAGTAAATATCTTCCCATAAAAACGAGACAGAAGGATTCTGAGAAACAAGTTTGTGATGTGTGTACTCAGCTAACAGAGTGGAACCTCTCTTTTCATGCAGCAGTTTGGAAACACTCTTTTTGTAGAAACTGTAAGTGGATATTTGGATAGCTCTAATGATTTCGTTGGAAACGGGAATATCATCATCTAAAATCTAGACAGAAGCCCTCTCAGCAAACTACTTTGTGATATCTGCATTCAAGTCACAGAGTTGAACATTCGCTTTCTTAGAGCACGTTGGAAACACTCTTTTTGTAGTGTCTGGAAGTGGACATTTGGAGCGCTTTGATGCCTTTGGTGAAAAAGGGAATGTCTTCCCATAAAAACTAGACAGAAGCATTCTCAGAAACTTGTTTGTGATGTGTGTACCCAGCTAAAGGAGTTGAACATTTCTATTGATAGAGCAGTTTTGAAACACTCTTTTTGTGGAAAATGCAAGTGGATATTTGCGTAGCTTGGAGGATTTCGTTGGAAGCGGGAGTTCAAATAAAAGGTAGACAGCAGCATTCTCAGAAATTTCTTTCTGATGTCTGCATTCAACTCATAGAGTTGAAGATTCCCTTTCATAGAGCAGGTTTGAAACACTCGTTCTGGAGTATCTGGATGTGGACATTTGGAGCGCTTTGATGCCTACGGTGGAAAAGTAAATATCTTCCCATAAAAACGAGACAGAAGGATTCTCAGAAACAAGTTTGTGATGTGTGTACTCAGCTAACAGAGTGGAACCTTTCTTTTTACAGAGCAGGTTTGAAACTCTATTTTTGTGGATTCTGCAAATTGATATTTAGATTGCTTTAACGATATCGTTGGAAAAGGGAATATCGTCATACAAAATCTAGACAGAAGCATTCTCACAAACTTCTTTGTGATGTGTGTCCTCAACTAACAGAGTTGAACCTTTCTTTTGATGCAGCAATTTGGAAACACCCTTTTGGTAGAAACTGTAACTGGATATTTGGATAGCTCTAACGATTTCGTTGGAAACGGGAATATCATCATCTAAAATGTAGACAGAAGCACTATTAGAAACTACTTGGTGATATCTGCATTCAAGACACAGAGTAGAACATTCCCTTACTTCGAGCACGTTTGAAACACTCTTTTGGAAGAATCTGGAAGTGGACATTTGGAGCGCTTTGATGCCTTTGGTGAAAAGGAAACGTCTTCCAATAAAAGCCAGACAGAAGCATTCTCAGAAACTTGTTTGTGATGTGTGTACTCAACTAAATGTGTTGAACCTTTCCATTGATAGAGCAGTTTTGAAACACTCTTTTTGTGGATTCTGCAAGTGGATATTTGGATTGCTTTGAGGATTTCGTTGGAAGCGGGAATTCGTATAAACACTAGACAGCAGCATTCCCAGCAAATTTCTTTCGGATATTTCCATTCAACTCATAGAGATGAACATGGCCTTTCATAGAGCAGGTTTGAAACACTCTTTTTGTAGTTTGTGGAAGTGGACATTTCGATCGCCTTGACGCCTACGGTGAAAAAGGAAATATCTTCCCATAAAAAATAGACAGAAGCATTCTCAGAAACTTGTTGGTGATATGTGTCCTCAACTAACAGAGTTGAACTTTGCCATTGATAGAGAGCAGTTTTGAAACACTCTTTTTGTGGAATCTGCAAGTGGATATTTGGATAGCTTGGAGGATTTCGTTGGAAGCGGGAATTCAAATAAAAGGTAGACAGCAGCATTCTCAGAAATTTCTTTCTGATGTCTGCATTCAACTCATAGAGTTGAAGATTCCCTTTCATAGAGCAGGTTTGAAACACTCTTTCTGGAGTATCTGGATGTGGACATTTGGAGCGCTTGGATGCCTTTGGTGAAAAAGGGAACGTCTTCCCATAAAAACTAGACAGAAGGATTCTGAGAAACAAGTTTGTGATGTGTGTACTCAGCTAACAGAGTGGAACCTCTCTTTTGATGCAGCAGTTTGGAAACACTCTTTTTGTAGAAACTGTAAGTGGATATTTGGATAGCTCTAATGATTTCGTTGGAAACGGGAATATCATCATCTAAAATCTAGACAGAAGCCCTCTCAGAAACTACTTTGTGATATCTGCATTCAAGTCACAGAGTTGAACATTCGCTTTCTAAGAGCACGTTTCAAACACTCTTTCTGTAGTGTCTGGAAGTGGACATTTGGAGCGCTTTGATGCCTTTGGTGAAAAAGGGAACGTCTTCCCATAAAAACTAGACAGAAGCATTCTCAGAAACTTGTTTGTGATGTGTGTACCCAGCCAAAGGAGTTGAACATTTCTATTGATAGAGCAGTTTTGAAACACTCTTTTTGTGGAAAATGCAGGTGGATATTTGGATAGCTTGGAGGATTTCGTTGGAAGCGGGAATTCAAATAAAAGGTAGACAGCAGCATTCTCAGAAATTTCTTTCTGATGTCTGCATTCAACTCATAGAGTTGAAGATTCCCTTTCCTAGAGCAGGTTTGAAACACTCTTTCTGGAGTATCTGGATGTGGACATTTGGAGCGCTTTGATGCCTACGGTGAAAAAGTAAATATCTTCCCATAAAAACGAGACAGAAGGATTCTGAGAAACAAGTTTGTGATGTGTGTACTCAGCTAACGGAGTGGAACCTTTCTTTTTACAGAGCAGGTTTGAAACTCTATTTTTGTGGATTCTGCAAATTGATATTTAGATTGCTTTAACGATATCATTGGAAAAGGGAATATCGTCATACAAAATCTAGACAGAAGCATTCTCACAAACTTCTTTGTGATGTGTGTCCTCAACTAACAGAGTTGAACCTTTCTTTTGATGCAGCAGTTTGGAAACACCCTTTTGGTAGAAACTGTAACTGGATATTTGGATAGCTCTAACGATTTCGTTGGAAACGGGAATATCATCATCTAAAATCTAGAGAGAAGCACTATTAGACACTGCTTGGTGATATCTGCATTCAAGTCACAGAGTTGAACATTCCCTTACTTTGAGCACGTTTGAAACACTCTTTTGGAAGAATCTGGAAGTGGACATTTGGAGCGCTTTGATGCCTTGGTGAAAAGGAAACGTCTTCCAATAAAAGCCAGACAGAAGCATTCTCAGAAACTTGTTTGTGATGTGTGTACTCAACTAAAAGAGTTGAACCTTTCTATTGATAGAGCAGTTTTGAAACACTCTTTTTGTGGATTCTGCAAGTGGATATTTGGATTGCTTTGAGGATTTCGTTGGAAGCGGGAATTCGTATAAAAACTAGACAGCAGCATTCCCAGAAATTTCTTTCGGATATTTCCATTCAACTCATAGAGATGAACATGGCCTTTCATAGAGCAGGTTTGAAACACTCTTTTTGTAGTTTGTGGAAGTGGACATTACGATCGCCTTGACGCCTACGGTGAAAAAGGAAATATCTTCCCATAAAAAATAGACAGAAGCATACTCAGAAACTTGTTGGTGATATGTGTCCTCAACTAACAGAGTTGAACTTTGCCATTGATAGAGAGCAGTTTTGAAACACTCTTTTTGTGGAATCTGCAAGTGGATATTTGGATAGCTTGGAGGATTTCGTTGGAAGCGGGAATTCAAATAAAAGGTAGACAGCAGCATTCTCAGAAATTTCTTTGTGATGTTTGCATTCAACTCATAGAGTTGAACATTCCCTTTCATAGAGCAGGTTTGAAACACTCTTTCTGTACTATCTAGATGTGGACATTTGGAACGCTTTGATGCCTACGGTGAAAAAGTAAATATCTTCCCATAAAAACTAGACAGAAGGATTCTCAGAAAGAAGTTTGTGATGTGTCTACTCAGCTAACAGAGTGGAACCTTTCTTTTTACAGAGCAGCTTTGAAACTCTATTTTTGTGGATTCTGCAAATTGATATTTAGATTGCTTTAACGATATCGTTGGAAAAGGGAATATCGTCATACAAAATCTAGACAGAAGCATTCTCACAAACTTCTTTGTGATGTGTGTCCTCAACTAACAGAGTTGAACCTTTATTTTGATGCAGCAGTTTGGAAACACTCTTTTTGTAGAAACTGTAAGTGGATATTTGGATAGCTCTAACGATTTCGTTGGAAACGGGAATATCATCATCTAAAATCTAGACAGAAGCATTCTCAGAAACTTGTTTGTGATGTGTGTACCCAGCTAATGGAGTTGAACATTTCTATTGATAGAGCAGTTTTGAAACACTCTTTTTGTGGAAAATGCAAGTTGATATTTGGATAGCTTGGAGGATTTCGTTGGAAGCGGGAATTCAAATAAAAGGTAGACAGCAAGGATTCTCAGAAACAAGTTTGTGATGTGTGTACTCAGCTAACAGAGTGGAACCTTTCTTTTTACAGAGCAGCTTTGAAACTCTATTTTTGTGGATTCTGCAAATTGATATTTAGATTGCTTTAACGATATCGTTGGAAAAGGGAATATCATCATACAAAATCTAGACAGAAGCATTCTCACAAACTTCTTTGTGATGTGTGTCCTCAACTAACAGAGTTGAACCTTTCTTTTGATGCAGCAATTTGGAAACACCCTTTTGGTAGAAACTGTAACTGGATATTTGGATAGCTCTAACGATTTCGTTGGAAACGGGAATATCATCATCTAAAATCTAGACAGAAGCACTATTAGAAACTACTTGGTGATATCTGCATTCAAGTCACAGAGTTGAACATTCCCTTACTTTGAGCACGTTTCAAACACTCTTTTGGAAGAATCTGGAAGTGGACATTTGGAGCGCTTTGATGCCTTTGGTGAAAAGGAAACGTCTTCCAATAAAAGCCAGACAGAAGCATTCTCAGAAACTTGTTTGTGATGTGTGTACTCAACTAAAAGAGTTGAACCTTTCTATTGATAGAGCAGTTTTGAAACACTCTTTTTGTGGATTCTGCAAGTGGATATTTGGATTGCTTTGAGGATTTCGTTGGAAGCGGGAATTCGTATAAAAACTAGACAGCAGCATTCTCAGAAACTTGTTTGTGATGTGTGTACTCAACTAAAAGAGTTGAACCTTTCTATGATAGAGCAGTTTTGAAACACTCTTTTTGTGGAATCTGCAAGTGGATATTTGGATTGCTTTGAGCATTTCGTTGGAAGCGGGATTTCATATAAAAACTAGACAGCAGCATTCTCAGAAACTTGTTGGTGATATGTGTCCTCAACTAACAGAGTTGAACTTTGCCATTGATAGAGAGCAGTTTTGAAACACTCTTTTTGTGGAATCTGCAAGTGGATATTTGGATAGCTTGGAGGATTTCGTTGGAAGCGGGAATTCAAATAAAAAGGTAGACAGCAGGATTCTCAGAAACAAGTTTGTGATGTGTGTACTCAGCTAACAGAGTGGAACCTCTCTTTTGAATGCAGCAGTTTGGAAACACTCTTTTTGTAGAAACTGTAAGTGGATATTTGGAAAGCTCTAATGATTTCATTGGAAACGGGAATATCATCATGTAAAATCTAGACAGAAAGCCCTCTCAGAAACTACTTTGTGATATCTGCATTCAAGTCACAGAGTTGAACATTCGCTTTCTTAGAGCACGTTGGAAACACTCTTTTTGTAGTGTCTGGAAGTGGACATTTGGAGCGCTTTGATGCCTTTGGTGAAAAAGGGAATGTCTTCCCATAAAAACTAGACAGAGCATTCTCAGAAACTTGTTTGTGATGTGTGTACCCAGCCAAAGGAGTTGAACATTTCTATTGATAGAGCAGTTTTGAAACACTCTTGTTGTGGATAATGCAGGTGGATATTTGGATAGCTTGGAGGATTTCGTTGGAAGCGGGAATTCAAATAAAAGGTAGACAGCAGCATTCTCAGAAATTTCTTTCTGATGTCTGCATTCAACTCATAGAGTTGAAGATTCCCTTTCATAGAGCAGGTTTGAAACACTCGTTCTGGAGTATCTGGATGTGGACATTTGGAGCGCTTTGATGCCTACGGTGGAAAAGTAAATATCTTCCCATAAAAACGAGACAGAAGGATTCTCAGAAACAAGTTTGTGATGTGTGTACTCAGCTAACAGAGTGGAACCTTTCTTTTTACAGAGCAGCTTTGAAACTCTATTTTTGTGGATTCTGCAAATTGATATTTAGATTGCTTTAACGATATCGTTGGAAAAGGGAATACCGTCATACAAAATCTAGACAGAAGCATTCTCACAAACTTCTTTGTGATGTGTGTCCTCAACTAACAGAGTTGAACCTTTCTTTTGATGCAGCAATTTGGAAGCACCCTTTTGGTAGAAACTGTAACTAGATATTTGGATAGCTCTAACGATTTCGTTGGAAACGGGAATATCATCATCTAAAATGTAGACAGAAGCACTATTAGAAACTACTTGGTGATATCTGCATTCAAGTCACAGAGTTGAACATTCCCTTACTTTGAGCACGTTTGAAACACTCTTTTGGAAGAATCTGGAAGTGGACATTTGGAGCGCTTTGATGCCTTTGGTGAAAAGGAAACGTCTTCCAATAAAAGCCAGACAGAGCATTCTCAGAAACTTGTTTGTGATGTGTGTACTCAACTAAAAGAGTTGAACCTTTCTATTGATAGAGCAGTTTTGAAACACTCTTTTTGTGGATTCTGCAAGTGGATATTTGGATTGCTTTGAGGATTTCGTTGGAAGCGGGAATTCGTATAAAAACTAGACAGCAGCATTCCCAGAAATTTCTTTCGGATATTTCCATTCAACTCATAGAGAAGAACATGGCCTTTCATAGAGCAGGTTTGAAACACTCTTTTTGTAGTTTGTGGAAGTGGACATTTCGATCGCCTTGACGCCTACGGTGAAAAAGGAAATATCTTCCCATAAAAAATAGACAGAAGCATTCTCAGAAACTTGTTGGTGATATGTGTCCTCAACTAACAGAGTTGAACTTTGCCATTGATAGAGAGCAGTTTTGAAACACTCTTTTTGTGGAATCTGCAAGTGGATATTTGGATAGCTTGGAGGATTTCGTTGGAAGCGGGAATTCAAATAAAAGGTAGACAGCAGCATTCTCAGAAATTTCTTTCTGATGTCTGCATTCAACTCATAGAGTTGAAGATTCCCTTTCATAGAGCAGGTTTGAAACACTCTTTCTGGAGTATCTGGATGTGGACATTTGGAGCGCTTTGAGGCCTACGGTGAAAAAGTAAATATCTTCCAATAAAAACGAGAGAGAAGGATTCTGAGAAACAAGTTTGTGATGTGTGTACTCAGCTAACAGAGTGGAACCTCTCTTTTGATGCAGCAGTTTGGAAACACTCTTTTTGTAGAAACTGTAAGTGGATATTTTGATAGCTCTAATGATTTCGTTGGAAACGGGAATATCATCATCTAAAATCTAGACAGAAGCACTCTCAGAAACTACTTTGTGATATCTGCATTGAAGTCACAGAGTTGAACATTCGCTTTCTTAGAGCACTTTTGAAACACTCTTTTTGTAGTATCTGGAAGTGGACATTTGGAGCTCTTTGATGCCTTTGGTGAAAAAGGAAATGTCTTCCCATAAAAACTAGACAGAAGCATTCTCAGAAACTTGTTTGTGATGTGTGCACCCAGCTAAAGGAGTTGAACATTTATTGATAGAGCAGTTTTGAAGCACTCTTTTTGTGGAAAATGCAAGTGGATATATGGATAGCTTGGAGGATTTCGTTGGAAGCGGGAATTCAAATAAAAGGTAGACAGCAGCATTCTCAGAAATTTCTTTCTGATGTCTGCATTCAACTCATAGAGTTGAAGATTCCCTTTCATAGAGCAGGTTTGAAACACTCTTTCTGGAGTATCTGGATGTGGACATTTGGAGCGCTTTGATGCTTACGGTGAAAAAGTAAATATGTTCCCATAAAAACGACACAGAAGGATTCTCAGAAACAAGTTTGTGATGTGTGTACTCAGCTAACAGAGTGGAACCTTTCTTTTTACAGAGCAGCTTGGAAACTCTATTTTTGTGGATTCTGCAAATTGATATTTAGATTGCTTTAACAATATCGTTGGAAAAGGGAATATCGTCATACAAAATCTAGACAGAAGCATTCTCACAAACATCTTTGTGATGTGTGTCCTCAACTAACAGAGTTGAACCTTTCTTTTGATGCAGCAGTTTGGAAACACCCTTTTGGTAGAAACTGTAACTGGATATTTGGATAGCTCTAACGATTTCGTTGGAAACGGGAATATCATCATCTAAAATCTAGACAGAAGCACTATTAGAAACTACTTGGTGATATCTGCATTCAAGTCACAGAGTTGAACATTCCCTTACTTTGAGCACGTTTCAAACACTCTTTTGGAAGAATCTGGAAGTGGACATTTGGAGCGCTTTGATGCCTTTGGTGAAAAGGAAACGTCTTCCAATAAAAGCCAGACAGAAGCATTCTCAGAAACTTGTTCGTGATGTGTGTACTCAACTAAAAGAGTTGAACCTTTCTATTGATAGAGCAGTTTTGAAACACTCTTTTTGTGGATTCTGCAAGTGGATATTTGGATTTCTTTGAAGATTTCGTTGGAAGCGGGAATTCGTATAAACACTAGACAGCAGCATTCCCAGAAATTTCTTTCGGATATTTCCATTCGACTCATAGAGATGAACATGGCCTTTCATAGAGCAGGTTTGAAACACTCTTTTTGTAGTTTGTGGAAGTGGACATTTCGATCGCCTTGACGCCTACGGTGAAAAAGGAAATATCTTCCCATAAAAAATAGACAGAAGCATTCTCAGAAACTTGTTGGTGATATGTGTCCTCAACTAACAGAGTTGAACTTTGCCATTGATAGAGAGCAGTTTTGAAACACTCTTTTTCCTGAATCTGCAAGTGGATATTTGGATAGTTTGGAGGATTTCGTTGGAAGCGGGAATTCAAATAAAAGGTAGACAGCAGCATTCTCAGAAATTTCTTTCTGATCTCTGCATTCAACTCATAGAGTTGAACATTCCGTTTCATAGGGCAGGTTTGAAATACTCTTTCTGTAGTATCTGGATGTGGACATTTGGAGCGCTTTGATGCCTACGGTGAAAAAGTAAATATCTTCCCATAAAAACGAGACAGAAGGATTCTGAGAAACAAGTTTGTGATGTGTGTACTCAGCTAACAGAGTGGAACCTCTCTTTTGATGCAGCAGTTTGGAAACACTCTTTTTGTAGAAACTGTAAGTGGATATTTGGATAGCTCTAATGATTTCGTTGGAAACGGGAATATCATCATCTAAAATCTAGACAGAAGCCCTCTCAGAAACTACTTTGTGATATCTGCATTCAAGTCACAGAGTTGAACATTCGCTTTCTTAGAGCACGTTGGAAACACTCTTTTTGTAGTGTCTGGAAGTGGACATTTGGAGCGCTTTGATGCCTTTGGTGAAAAAGGGAACGTCTTCCCATAAAAACTGGACAGAAGCATTCTCAGAAACTTGTTTGTGATGTGTGTACCCAGCTAAAGGAGTTGAACATTTCCATTGATAGAGCAGTTTTGAAACACTCTTTTTGTGGAAAATGCAAGTGGATATTTGGATAGCTTGGAGGATTTCGTTGGAAGCGGGAATTCAAATAAAAGGTAGACAGCAGCATTCTCAGAAATTTCTTTCTGATGTCTGCATTTAACTCATAGAGTTGAAGATTCCCTTTCATAGAGCAGGTTTGAAACACTCTTTCTGGAGTATCTGGATGTGGACATTTGGAGCGCTTTGATGCCTACGGTGAAAAAGTAAATATCTTCCCATAAAAACGAGACAGAAGGATTCTCAGAAAGAAGTTTGTGATGTGTGTACTCAGCTAACAGAGTGGAACCTTTCCTTTTACAGAGCAGCTTTGAAACTCTATTTTTGTGGATTCTGCAAATTGATATTTAGATTGCTTTAACGATATCGTTGGAAAAGGGAATATCGTCATACAAAATCTAGACAGAAGCATTCTCACAAACTTCTTTGTGATGTGTGTCCTCAACTAACAGAGTTGAACCTTTCTTTTGATGCAGCAATTTGGAAACACCCTTTTGGTAGAAACTGTAACTGGATATTTGGATAGCTCTAACGATTTCATTGGAAACGGGAATATCATCATCTAAAATCTAGACAGAAGCACTATTAGAAACTACTTGGTGATATCTGCATTCAAGTCACAGAGTTGAACATTCCCTTACTTTGAGCACGTTTCAAACACTCTTTTGGAAGAATCTGGAAGTGGACATTTGGAGCGCTTTGATGCCTTTGGTGAAAAGGAAACGTCTTCCAATAAAAGCCAGACAGAAGCATTCTCAGAAACTTGTTTGTGATGTGTGTACTCAACTAAAAGAGTTGAACCTTTCTATTGATAGAGCAGTTTTGAAACACTCTTTTTGTGGATTCTGCAAGTGGATATTTGGATTGCTTTGAGGATTTCGTTGGAAGCGGGAATTCGTATAAAAACTAGACAGCAGCATTCCCAGAAATTTCTTTCGGATATTTCCATTCGACTCATAGAGATGAACATGGCCTTTCATAGAGCAGGTTTGAAACACTCTTTTTGTAGTTTGTGGAAGTGGACATTTCGATCGCCTTGACGCCTACGGTGAAAAAGGAAATATCTTCCCATAAATAATAGACAGAAGCATTCTCAGAAACTTGTTGGTGATATGTGTCCTCAACTAACAGAGTTGAACTTTGCCATTGATAGAGAGCAGTTTTGAAACACTCTTTTTCCTGAATCTGCAAGTGGATATTTGGATAGCTTGGAGGATTTCGTTGGAAGCGGGAATTCAAATAAAAGTAGACAGCAGCATTCTCAGAAATTTCTTTCTGATCTCTGCATTCAACTCATAGAGTTGAACATTCCCTTTCATAGGGCAGGTTTGAAATACTCTTTCTGTAGTATCTGGATGTGGACATTTGGAGCGCTTTGATGCCTACGGTGAAAAAGTAAATATCTTCCCATAAAAACGAGACAGAAGGATTCTGAGAAACAAGTTTGTGATGTGTGTACTCAGCTAACAGAGTGGAACCTCTCTTTTGATGCAGTAGTTTGGAAACACTCTTTTTGTAGAAACTGTAAGTGGATATTTGGATAGCTCTAATGATTTCGTTGGAAACGGGAATATCATCATCTAAAATGCTAGACAGAAGCACTCTCAGAAACTACTGTGTGATATCTGCATTCAAGTCACAGCAGTTGAACATTCGCTTTCTTAGAGCACGTTTGAAACACTCTTTTTGTAGTGTCTGGAAGTGGACATTTGGAGCGCTTTGATGTCTTTGGTGAAAAAGGGAATGTCTTCCCATAAAAACTAGACAGAAGCATTCTCAGAAACTTATTTGTGATGTGTGTACCCAGCTAAAGGAGTTGAACATTTCTATTGATAGAGCAGTTTTGAAACACTCTTTTTGTGGAAAATGCAAGTGGATATTTGGATAGCTTGGAGGATTTCGTTGGAAGCGGGAATTCAAATAAAAGGTAGACAGCAGCATTCTCAGAAATTTCTTTCTGATGTCTGCATTCAACTCATAGAGTTGAAGATTCCCTTTCATAGAGCAGGTTTGAAACACTCTTTCTGGAGTATCTGGATGTGGACATTTGGAGCGCTTTGATGCCTACGGTGAAAAAGTAAATATCTTCCCATAAAAACGAGACAGAAAGGATTCTCAGAAACAAGTTTGTGATGTGTGTACTCAGCTAACAGAGTGGAACCTTTCTTTTTACAGAGCAGCTTTGAAACTCTATTTTTGTGGATTCTGCAAATGGATATTTAGATTGCTTTAATGATATCGCTGGAAAAGGGAATATGGTCATACAAAATCTAGACAGAAGCATTCTCACAAACTTCTTTGTGACGTGTGTCCTCAACTAACAGAGTTGAACCTTTCTTTTGATGCAGCAGTTTGGAAACACTGTTTTTGTAGCAACTGTAAGTGGATATTTGGATAGCTCTAACGATTTCGTTGGAAACGGGAATATCATCATCTAAAATCTAGACAGAAGCACTATTAGAAACTACTTGGTGATATCTGCATTCAAGTCACAGAGTTGAACATTCCCTTACTTTGAGCACGTTTCAAACACTCTTTTGGAAGAATCTGGAAGTGGACATTTGGAGCGCTTTGATGCCTTTGGTGAAAAGGAAACGTCTTCCAATAAAAGCCAGACAGAAGCATTCTCAGAAACTTGTTCGTGATGTGTGTACTCAACTAAAAGAGTTGACCCTTTCTATTGATGGAGCAGTTTTGAAACACTCTTTTTGTGGATTCTGCAAGTGGATATGTGGATTGCTTTGAGGATTTCGTTGGAAGCGGGAATTCGTATAACAACTAGACAGCAGCATTCCCAGAAATTTCTTTCGGATATTTCCATTCAACTCATAGAGATGAACATGGCCTTTCATAGAGCAGGTTTGAAACACTCTTTTTGTAGTTTGTGGAAGTGGACATTTCGATCGCCTTGACGCCTACGGTGAAAAAGGAAATATCTTCCCATAAAAAATAGACAGAAGCATTCTCAGAAACTTGTTGGTGATATGTGTCCTCAACTAACAGAGTTGAACTTTGCCATTGATAAAGAGCAGTTTTGAAACACTCTTTTTGTGGAATCTGCAAGTGGATATTTGGATAGCTTGGAGGATTTCGTTGGAAGCGGGAATTCAAATAAAAGGTAGACAGCAGCATTCTCACAAATTTCTTTCTGATCTCTGCATTCAACTCATAGAGTTGAACATTCCCTTTCATAGGGCAGGTTTGAAATACTCTTTCTGTAGTATCTGGATGTGGACATTTGGAGCGCTTTGATGCCTACGGTGAAAAAGTAAATATCTTCCCATAAAAACGAGACAGAAGGATTCTCAGAAACAAGTTTGTGATGTGTGTACTCAGCTAACAGAGTGGAACCTCTCTTTTGATGCAGCAGTTTGGAAACACTCTTTTTGTAGAAACCGTAAGTGGATATTTGGATAGCTCTAATGATTTCGTTGGAAACGGGAATATCATCATCTAAAATCTAGACAGAAGCCCTCTCAGAAACTACTTTGTGATATCTGCATTCAAGTCACAGAGTTGAACATTCGCTTTCTTAGAGCACGTTTGAAACACTCTTTTTGTAGTGTCTGGAAGTGGACATTTGGAGCGCTTTGATGCCTTTGGTGAAAAAGGGAATGTCTTCCCATAAAAAATAGACAGAAGCATTCTCAGAAACTTGTTTGTGATGTGTGTACCCAGCTAAAGGAGTTGAACATTTCTATTGATAGAGCAGTTTTGAAACACTCTTGTTGTGGAAAATGCAGGTGGATATTTGGATAGCTTGGAGGATTTCGTTGGAAGCGGGAATTCAAATAAAAGGTAGACAGCAGCATTCTCAGAAATTTCTTTCTGATGTCTGCATTCAACTCATAAGAGTTGAAGATTCCCTTTCATAGAGCAGGTTTGAAACACTCTTTCTGGAGTATCTGGATGTGGACATTTGGAGGGCTTTGATGCCTACGGTGAAAAAGTAAATATCTTCCCATAAAAACGAGACAGAAGGATTCTGAGAAACAAGTTTGTGATGTGTGTACTCAGCTAACAGAGTGGAACCTTTCTTTTTACAGAGCAGCTTTGAAACTCTATTTTTGTGGATTCTGCAAATGGATATTTAGATTGCTTTAATGATATCGTTGGAAAAGGGAATATCGTCATACAAAATCTAGACAGAAGCATTCTCACAAACTTCTTTGTGATGTGTGTCCTCAACTAACAGAGTTGAACCTTTCTTTTGATGCAGCAATTTGGAAACACCCTTTTGGTAGAAACTGTAACTGGATATTTGGATAGCTCTAACGATTTCGTTGGAAACGGGAATATCATCATCTAAAATCTAGACAGAAGCACTATTAGAAACTACTTGGTGATATCTGCATTCAAGTCACAGAGTAGAACATTCCCTTACTTCGAGCACGTTTGAAACACTCTTTTGGAAGAATCTGGAAGTGGACATTTGGAGCGCTTTGATGCCTTTGGTGAAAAGGAAACGTCTTCCAATAAAAGCCAGACAGAAGCATTCTCAGAAACTTGTTCATGATGTGTGTACTCAACTAAAAGAGTTGAACCTTTCTATTGATAGAGCAGTTTTGAAACACTCTTTTTGTGGATTCTGCAAGTGGATATTTGGATTGCTTTGAGGATTTCGTTGGAAGCGGGAATTCGTATAAACACTAGACAGCAGCATTCCCAGAAATTTCTTTCGGATATTTCCATTCAACTCAAAGAGATGAACATGGCCTTTCATAGAGCAGGTTTGAAACACTCTTTTTGTAGTTTGTGGAAGTGGACATTTCGATCGCCTTGACGCCTACGGTGAAAAAGGAAATATCTTCCCATAAAAAATAGACAGAAGCATTCTCAGAAACTTGTTGGTGATATGTGTCCTCAACTAACAGCAGTTGAACTTTGCCATTGATAGAGAGCAGTTTTGAAACACTCTTTTTGTGGAATCTGCAAGTGGATATTTGGATAGCTTGGAGGATTTCGTTGGAAGCGGGAATTCAAATAAAAGGTAGACAGCAGCATTCTCAGAAATTTCTTTCTGATGTTTGCATTCAACTCATAGAGTTGAACATTCCCTTTCATAGAGCAGGTTTGAAACACTCTTTCTGTACTATCTGGATGTGGACATTTGGAGCGCTTTGATGCCTACGGTGAAAAAGGAAATGTCTTCCCATAAAAAATTGAAGAAGGATTCTCAGAAACAAGTTTGTGATGTGTGTACTCAGCTAACAGAGTGGAACCTCTCTTTTGATGCAGCAGTTTGGAAACACTCTTTTTGTAGAAACTGTAAGTGGATATTTGGATAGCTCTAATGATTTCGTTGGAAACGGGAATATAATCATCTAAAATCTAGACAGAAGCCCTCTCAGAAACTACTTTGTGATATGTGCATTCAAGTCACAGAGTTGAACATTCGCTTTCTTAGAGCACGTTTGAAACACTCTTTTTGTAGTGTCTGGAAGTGGACATTTGGAGCGCTTTGATGCCTTTGGTGAAAAAGGGGAACGTCTACCCATAAAAACTAGACAGAAGCATTCTCAGAAACTTGTTTGTGATGTGTGTACCCAGCTAAAGGAGTTGAACATTTCTATTGATAGAGCAGTTTTGAAACACTCTTTTTGTGGAAAATGCAAGTGGATATTTGCATAGCTTGGAGGATTTCGTTGGAAGCGGGAGTTCAAATAAAAGGTAGACAGCAGCATTCTCAGAAATTTCTTTCTGATGTCTGCATTCAACTCATAGAGTTGAAGATTCCCTTTCATAGAGCAGGTTTGAAACACTCTTTCTGGAGTATCTGGATGTGGACATTTGGAGCGCTTTGATGCCTACGGTGAAAAAGTAAATATCTTCCCATAAAAACGAGACAGAAGGATTCTCAGAAACAAGTTTGTGATGTGTGTACTCAGCTAACAGAGTGGAACCTTTCTTTTTACAGAGCAGCTTTGAAACTCTATTTTTGTGGATTCTGCAAATTGATATTTAGATTGCTTTAACGATATCGTTGGAAAAGGGAATATGGTCATACAAAATACTAGACAGAAAGCATTCTCACAAACTTCTTTGTGACGTGTGTCCTCAACTAACAGAGTTGAACCTTTCTTTTGATGCAGCAGTTTGGAAACACTGTTTTTGTAGCAACTGTAAGTGGATATTTGGATAGCTCTAACGATTTCGTTGGAAACGGGAATATCATCATCTAAAATCTAGACAGAGCACTATTAGAAACTACTTGGTGATATCTGCATTCAAGTCACAGAGTTGAACATTCCCTTACTTTGAGCACGTTTCAAACACTCTTTTGGAAGAATCTGGAAGTGGACATTTGGAGCGCTTTGATGCCTTTGGTGAAAAGGAAACGTCTTCCAATAAAAGCCAGACAGAAGCATTCTCAGAAACTTGTTTGTGATGTGTGCACTCAACTAAAAGAGTTGAACCTTTCTATTGATAGAGCAGTTTTGAAACACTCTTTTTGTGGATTCTGCAAGTGGATATTTGGATTGCTTTGAGGATTTCGTTGGAAGCGGGAATTCGTATAAAAACTAGACAGCAGCATTCCCAGAAATTTCTTTCGGATATTTCCATTCGACTCATAGAGATGAACATGGCCTTTCATAGAGCAGGTTTGAAACACTCTTTTTGTAGTTTGTGGAAGTGGACATTTCGATCGCCTTGACGCCTACGGTGAAAAAGGAAATATCTTCCCATAAAAAATAGACAGAAGCATTCTCAGAAACTTGTTGGTGATATGTGTCCTCAACTAACAGAGTTGAACTTTGCCATTGATAGAGAGCAGTTTTGAAACACTCTTTTTGTGGAATCTGCAAGTGGATATTTGCATAGCTTAGAGGATTTCGTTGGAAGCGGGAATTCAAATAAAAGGTAGACAGCAGCATTCTCAGAAATTTCTTTCTGATGTCTGCATTCAACTCATAGAGTTGAAGATTCCCTTTCATAGAGCAGGTTTGAAACACTCTTTCTGGAGTATCTGGATGTGGACATTTGGAGCGCTTTGATGCCTACGGTGAGAAAGTAAATATCTTCCCATAAAAACGAGACAGAAGGATTCTCAGAAACAAGTTTGTGATGTGTGTACTCAGCTAACAGAGTGGAACCTCTCTTTTGATGCAGCAGTTTGGAAACACTCTTTTTGTAGAAACTGTAAGTGGATATTTGGATAGCTCTAATGATTTCGTTGGAAACGGGAGTATCATCATCTAAAATCTAGACAGAAGCACTCTCAGAAACTACTTTGTGATATCTGCATTCAAGTCACAGAGTTGAACATTCGCTTTCTTAGAGCACGTTTGAAACACTCTTTTTGTAGTGTCTGGAAGTGGACATTTGGAGCGCTTTGATGCCTTTGGTGAAAAAGGGAATGTTTACCCATAAAAACTAGACAGAAGCATTCTCAGAAACTTGTTTGTGATGTGTGTACCCAGCTAAAGGAGTTGAACATTTCTGTTGATAGAGCAGTTTTGATACACTCTTTTTGTGGAAAATGCAAGTGGATATTTGGATAGCTTGGAGGATTTCGTTGGAAGCGGGAATTCAAATAAAAGGTAGACAGCAGCATTCTCAGAAATTTCTTTCTGATGTCTGCATTCAACTCATAGAGTTGAAGATTCCCTTTCATAGAGCAGGTTTGAAACACTCGTTCTGGAGTATCCGGATGTGGACATTTGGAGCGCTTTGATGCCTACGGTGGAAAAGTAAATATGTTCCCATAAAAACGAGACAGAAGGATTCTGAGAAACAAGTTTGTGATGTGTGTACTCAGCTAACAGAGTGGAACCTTTCTTTTTACAGAGCAGCTTTGAAACTCTATTTTTGTGGATTCTGCAAATGGATATTTAGATTGCTTTAACGATATCGTTGGAAAAGGGAATATCGTCATACAAAATCTAGACAGAAGCATTCTCACAAACTTGCTTTGTGATGTGTGTCCTCAACTAACAGAGTTGAACCTTTCTTTTGATGCATCAGTTTGGAAACACTCTTTTTGTAGAAACTGTAAGTGGATATTTGGATAGCTCTAACGATTTCGTTGGAAACGGGAATATCATCATCTAAAATCTAGACAGAAGCACTATTAGAAACTACTTGGTGATATCTGCATTCAAGTCACACAGTTGAACATTCCCTTACTTCGACCACGTTTGAAACACTCTTTTGGAAGAATCTGGAAGTGGACATTTGGAGCGCTTTGATGCCTTTGGTGAAAAGGAAACGTCTTCCAATAAAAGCCAGAGAGAAGCATTCTCAGAAACTTGTTTGTGATGTGTGTACTCAACTAAAAGAGTTGAACCTTTCTATTGATAGAGCAGTTTTGAAACACTCTTTTTGTGGATTCTGCAAGTGGATATTTGGATTGCTTTGAGGATTTCGTTGGAAGCGGGAATTCGTATAAAAACTAGACAGCAGCATTCCCAGAAATTTCTTTCGGATATTTCCATTCAACTCATAGAGATGAACATCGCCTTTCATAGAGCAGGTTTGAAACACTCTTTTTGTAGTTTGTGGAAGTGGACATTTCGATCGCCTTGATGCCTACGGTGAAAAAGGAAATATCTTCCCATAAAAAATAGACAGAAGCATTCTCAGAAACTTGTTGGTGATATGTGTCCTCAACTAACAGAGTTGAACTTTGCCATTGATAGAGAGCAGTTTTGAAACACTCTTTTTGTGGAATCTGCAAGTGGATATTTGGATAGCTTGGAGGATTTCGTTGGAAGCGGGAATTCAAATAAAAGGTAGACAGCAGGATTCTGAGAAACAAGTTTGTGATGTGTGTACTCAGCTAACAGAGTGGAACCTCTCTTTTGATGCAGCAGTTTGGAAACACTCTTTTTGTAGAAACTGTATGTGGATATTTGGATAGCTCTAATGATTTCGTTGGAAACGGGAATATCATCATCTAAAATCTAGACAGAAGCCCTCTCAGAAACTACTTTGTGATATCTGCATTCAAGTAACAGAGTTGAACATTCGCTTTCTTAGAGCACGTTGGAAACACTCTTTTTGTAGTGTCTGGAAGTGGACATTTGGAGCACTTTGATGCCTTTGGTGAAAAAGGGAACGTCTTCCCATAAAAACTAGACAGAAGCATTCTCAGAAACTTGTTTGTGATGTGTGTACCCAGCTAAAGGAGTTGAACATTTCTATTGATAGAGCAGTTTTGAAACACTCTTTTTGTGGAAAATGCAAGTGGATATTTGGATAGCTTGGAGGATTTCGTTGGAAGCGGGAATTCAAATAAAAGGTAGCAGGAGGCTCAGAAACAAGTTTGTGATGTGTGTACTCAGCTAACAGAGTGGATCCTTTCTTTTTACAGAGCAGCTTTGAAACTCTATTTCTGTGGATTCTGCAAATTGATATTTGGGTTGATTTAACGATATCGATGGAAAAGGGAATATCTTCATTCAAAATCTAGACAGAAAGCATTCTCACAAACTTCTTTGTGATGTGTGTCCTCAACTAACAGAGTTGAACCTTTCTTTTGATGCAGCAATTTGGAAACACCCTTTTGGTAGAAACTGTAACTGGATATTTGGATAGCTCTAACGATTTCGTTGGAAACGGGAATATCATCATCTAAAATCTAGACAGAGCACTATTAGAAACTACTTGGTGATATCTGCATTCAAGTCACAGAGTTGAACATTCCCTTACTTTGAGCACGTTTCAAACACTCTTTTGGAAGAATCTGGAAGTGGACATTTGGAGCGCTTTGATGCCTTTGGTGAAAAGGAAACGTCTTCCAATAAAAGCCAGACAGAAGCATTCTCAGAAACTTGTTCGTGATGTGTGTACTCAACTAAAAGAGTTGAACCTTTCTATTGATAGCGCAGTTTTGAAACACTCTTTTTGTGGATTCTGCAAGTGGATATTTGGATTGCTTTGAGGATTTCGTTGGAAGCGGGAATTCGTATAAACCCTAGACAGCAGCATTCCCAGAAATTTCTTTCGGATATTTCCATTCAACTCATAGAGATGAACATCGCCTTTCATAGAGCAGGTTTGAAACACTCTTTTTGTAGTTTGTGGAAGTGGACATTTCGATTGCCTTGACGCCTACGGTGAAAAAGGAAATATCTTCCCATAAAAAATAGACAGAAGCATTCTCAGAAACTTGTTGGTGATATGTGTCCTCAACTAACAGAGTTGAACTTTGCCATTGATAGAGAGCAGTTTTGAAACACTCTTTTTGTGGAATCTGCAAGTGGATATTTGGATAGCTTGGAGGATTTCGTTGGAAGCGGGAATTCAAATAAAAGGTAGACAGCAGCATTCTCAGAAATTTCTTTCTGATGTCTGCATTCAACTCATAGAGTTGAAGATTCCCTTTTCATAGAGCAGGTTTGAAACACTCTTTCTGGAGTATCTGGATGTGGACATTTGGAGCGCTTTGATGCCTACGGTGAAAAAGTAAATATCTTCCCATAAAAACGAGACAGAAGGATTCTCAGAAACAAGTTTGTGATGTGTGTACTCAGCTAACAGAGTGGAACCTCTCTTTTGATGCAGCAGTTTGGAAACACTCTTTTTGTAGAAAATGTAAGTGGATATTTGGATAGCTCTAATGATTTCGTTGGAAACGGGAATATCATCATCTAAAATCTAGACAGAAGCAGTCTCAGAAACTACTTTGTGATATCTGCATTCCAGTCACAGAGTTGAAAACTCCCTTACTTAGAGCAGGTTTGAAACACTCTTTTTGTAGAATCTGGAAGTGGACATTTGGAGCGCTTTGATGCCTTTGGTGAAAAAGGAAATGTCTTCCCTTAAAAAGTAGACAGAAGCATTCTCAGAAACTTGTTTGTGATGTGTGTACCCAGCCAAAGGGGTTGAACATTTCTATTGATAGAGCAGTTTTGAAACACTCTTTTTGTGGAAAATGCAGGTGGATATTTGGATAGCTTGGAGGATTTCGTTGGAAGCGGGAATTCAAATAAAAGGTTGACAGCAGCATTCTCAGAAATTTCTTTCTGATGTCTGCATTCAACTCATAGAGTTGAAGATTCCCTTTCATAGAGCAGGTTTGAAACACTCTTTCTGGAGTATCTGGATGTGGACATTTGGAGCGCTTTGATGCCTACGGTGAAAAAGTAAATATCTTCCCATAAAAACGAGACAGAAGGATTCTGAGAAACAAGTTTGTGATGTGTGTACTCACCTAACAGAGTGGAACCTTTCTTTTTACAGAGCAGCTTTGAAACTCTATTTTTGTGGATTCTGCAAATTGATATTTAGATTGCTTTAACGATATCGTTGGAAAAGGGAATATCGTCATACAAAATCTAGACAGAAGCATTCTCACAAACTTGCTTTGTGATGTGTGTCCTCAACTAACAGAGTTGAACCTTTCTTTTGATGCAGCAATTTGGAAACACCCTTTTGGTAGAAACTGTAACTGGATATTTGGATAGCTCTAACGATTTCGTTGGAAACGGGAATATCATCATCTAAAATCTAGACAGAAGCACTATTAGAAACTACTTGGTGATATCTGCATTCAAGTCACAGAGTTGAACATTCCCTTACTTTGAGCACGTTTGAAACACTCTTTTGGAAGAATCTGGAAGTGGACATTTGGAGCGCTTTGATGCCTTTGGTGAAAAGGAAACGTCTTCCAATAAAAGCCAGACAGAAGCATTCTCAGAAACTTGTTCGTGATGTGTGTACTCAACTAAAAGAGTTGAACCTTTCTATTGATAGAGCAGTTTTGAAACACTCTTTTTGCGGATTCTGCAAGTGGATATTTGGATTGCTTTGAGGATTTCGTTGAAAGCGGGAATTCGTATAAACACTAGACAGCAGCATTCCCAGAAATTTCTTTCGGATATTTCCATTCGACTCATAGAGATGAACATGGCCTTTCATAGAGCAGGTTTGAAACACTCTTTTTGTAGTTTGTGGAAGTGGACATTTCGATCGCCTTGACGCCTACGGTGAAAAAGGAAATATCTTCCCATAAAAAATAGACAGAAGAATTCTCAGAAACTTGTTTGTGATGTGTATCCTCAACTGACAGAGTTGAACCTTGCCATTGATAGAGCAGTTTTGAAACACTCTGTTTGTGGAATCTGCAAGTGGATATTTGGATAGCCTGGAGGAATTCGTTGGAAGCGGGAATTCAAATAAAAGGTAGACAGCAGCATTCTCAGAAATTTCTTTGTGATGCTTGCATTCAACTCATAGAGTTGAACATTCCCTTTCATAGAGCAGGTTTGAAACACTCTTTCTGTACTATCTGGATGTGGACATTTGGAACTCTTTGATGCCTACGGTGAAAAAGTAAATATCTTCCCATAAAAACTAGACAGAAAGGATTCTGAGAAACAAGTTTGTGATGTGTGTACTCAGCTAACAGAGTGGAACCTCTCTTTTGATGCAGCAGTTTGGAAACACTCTTTTTGTAGAAACTGTAAGTGGTTATTTGGATAGCTCTAATGATTTCGTTGGAAACGGGAATATCATCATCTAAAATCTAGACAGAAGCCTTCTCAGAAACTACTTTGTGATATCTGCATTCAAGTCACAGAGTTGAACATTCGCTTTCTTAGAGCACGTTGGAAACACTCTTTTTGTAGTGTCTGGAAGTGGACATTTGGAGCGCTTTGATGCCTTTGGTGAAAAAGGGAATGTCTTCCCATAAAAACTAGACAGAAGCATTCTCAGAAACTTGTTTGTGATGTGTGTACCCAGCCAAAGGAGTTGAACATTTCTATTGATAGAGCAGTTTTGAAACGCTCTTTTTGTGGAAAATGCAGGTGGATATTTGGATAGCTTGGAGGATTTCGTTGGAAGCGGGAATTCAAATAAAAGGTAGACAGCAGCATTCTCAGAAATTTCTTTCTGATGTCTGCATTCAACTCATAGAGTTGAAGATTCCCTTTCCTAGAGCAGGTTTGAAACACTCTTTCTGGAGTATCTGGATGTGGACATTTGGAGCGCTTTGATGCCTACGGTGAAAAAGTAAATATCTTCCCATAAAAACGAGACAGAAGGATTCTGAGAGACAAGTTTGTGATGTGTGTACTCAGCTAACAGAGTGGAACCTTTCTTTTTACAGAGCAGCTTTGAAACTCTATTTTTGTGGATTCTGCAAATGGATATTTAGATTGCTTTAACGATATCATTGGAAAAGGGAATATCGTCATACAAAATCTGGACAGAAGCATTCTCACAAACTTCTTTGTGATGTGTGTCCTCAACTAACAGAGTTGAACCTTTATTTTGATGCAGCAGTTTGGAAACACTCTTTTTGTAGAAACTGTAAGTGGATATTTGGATAGCTCTAACGATTTCATTGGAAACGGGAATATCATCATCTAAAATCTAGACAGAAGCACTATTAGAAACTACTTGGTGATATCAGCATTCAAGTCACAGAGTTGAACATTCCCTTACTTCGAGCACGTTTGAAACACTCTTTTGGAAGAATCTGGAAGTGGACATTTGGAGCGCTTTGATGCCTTTGGTGAAAAGGAAACGTCTTCCAATAAAAGCCAGACAGAAGCATTCTCAGAAACTTGTTGGTGATGTGTGTACTCAACTAAAAGAGTTGAACCTTTCTATTGATAGAGCAGTTTTGAAACACTCTTTTTGTGGATTCTGCAAGTGGATATTTGGATTGCTTTGAGGATTTCGTTGGAAGCGGGAATTCGTATAAACACTAGACAGCAGCATTCCCAGAAATTTCTTTCGGATATTTCCATTCGACTCATAGAGATGAACATGGCCTTTCATAGAGCAGGTTTGAAACACTCTTTTTGTAGTTTGTGGAAGTGGACATTTCGATCGCCTTGACGCCTACGGTGAAAAAGGAAATATCTTCCCATAAAAAATAGACAGAAGCATTCTCAGAAAGTTGTTGGTGATATGTGTCCTCAACTAACAGAGTTGAACTTTGCCATTGATAGAGAGCAGTTTTGAAACACTCTTTTTGTGGAATCAGCAAGTGGATATTTGGATAGCTTGAAGGATTTCGTTGGAAGCGGGAATTCAAATAAAAGGTAGACAGCAGCATTCTCAGAAATTTCTTTCTGATGTCTGCATTCAACTCATAGAGTTGAAGATTCCCTTTCATAGAGCAGGTTTGAAATACTCTTTCTGTAGTATCTGGATGTGGACATTTGGAGCGCTTTGAGGCCTACGATGAAAAAGTAAATATCTTCCCATAAAAACGAGACAGAAGGATTCTGAGAAACAAGTTTGTGATGTGTGTACTCAGCTAACAGAGTGGAACCTCTCTTCTGATGCAGCAGTTTGGAAACACTCTTTTTGTAGAAACTGTAAGTGGATATTTGGTTAGCTCTAATGATTTCGTTGGAAATGGGAATATCATCATCTAAAATCTAGACAGAAGCCCTCTCAGAAACTACTTTGTGATATCTGCATTCAAGTCACAGAGTTGAACATTCGCTTTCTTAGAGCACGTTTGAAACACTCTTTTTGTAGTGTCTGGAAGTGGACATTTGGAGTGCTTTGATGCCTTTGGTGAAAAAGGGAATGTCTTCCCATAAAAACTAGACAGAAGCATTCTCAGAAACTTGTTTGTGATGTGTGTACCCAGCTAAAGGAGTTGAACATTTCTATTGATAGAGCAGTTTTGAAACACTCTTTTTGTGGAAAATGCAAGTGGATATTTGGATAGCATGGAGGATTTCGTTGGAAGCGGGAATTCAAATAAATGGTAGACAGCAGCATTCTCAGAAATTTCTTTCTGATGTCTGCATTCAACTCATAGAGTTAAAGATTCCCTTTCATAGAGCAGGTTTGAAACACTCGTTCTGGAGTATCTGGATGTGGACATTTGGAGCGCTTTGATGCCTACGGTGGAAAAGTAAATATCTTCCCATAAAAACGAGACAGAAGGATTCTCAGAAACAAGTTTGTGATGTGTGTACTCAGCTAACAGAGTGGAACCTTTCTTTTTAAAGAGCAGCTTTGAAACTCTATTTTTGTGGATTCTGCAAATTGATATTTAGATTGCTTTAACGATATCGTTGGAAAAGGGAATATCGTCATACAAAATCTAGACAGAAGCATTCTCACAAACTTCTTTGTGATGTGTGTCCTCAACTAACAGAGTTGAACCTTTCTTTTGATGCAGCAATTTGGAAACACCCTTTTGGTAGAAACTGTAACTGGATATTTGGATAGCTCTAACGATTTCGTTGGAAACGGGAATATCATCATCTAAAATCTAGACAGAAGCACTATTAGAAACTACTTGGTGATATCTGCATTCAAGTCACAGAGTAGAATATTCCCTTACTTCGAGCACGTTTGAAACACTCTTTTGGAAGAATCTGGAAGTGGACATTTGGAGCGCTTTGATGCCTTTGGTGAAAAGGAAACGTCTTCCAATAAAAGCCAGACAGAAGCATTCTCAGAAACTTGTTTGTGATGTGTGTACTCAACTAAAAGAGTTGAACCTTTCTATTGATAGAGCAGTTTTGAAACACTCTTTTTGTGGATTCTGCAAGTGGATATTTGGATTGCTTTGAGGATTTCGTTGGAAGCGGGAATTCGTATAAAAACTAGACAGCAGCATTCCCAGAAATTTCTTTCGGATATTTCCATTCGACTCATAGAGATGAACATGGCCTTTCATAGAGCAGGTTTGAAACACTCTTTTTGTAGTTTGTGGAAGTGGACATTTCGATCGCCTTGACGCCTATGGTGAAAAAGGAAATATCTTCCCATAAAAAATAGACAGAAGCATTCTCAGAAACTTGTTGGTGATATGTGTCCTCAACTAACAGAGTTGAACTTTGCCATTGATAGAGAGCAGTTTTGAAACACTCTTTTTGTGGAATCTGCAAGTGGATATTTGGATAGCTTGGAGGATTTCGTTGGAAGCGGGAATTCAAATAAAAGGTAGACAGCAGCATTCTCAGAAATTTCTTTCTGATGTCTGCATTCAACTCGTAGAGTTGAACATTCCCTTTCATAGAGCAGGTTTGAAACACTCTTTCTGGAGTATCTGGATGTGGACATTTGGAGCGCTTTGATGCCTACGGTGAAAAAGTAAATATCTTCCCATAAAAACGAGACAGAAGGATTCTGAGAAACAAGTTTGTGATGTGTGTACTCGGCTAACAGAGTGGAACCTCTCTTTTGATGCAGCAGTTTGGAAACACTCTTTTTGTAGAAACTGTAAGTGGATATTTGGATAGCTCTAATGATTTCGTTGGAAACGGGAATATCATCATCTAAAATCTAGACAGAAGCACTCTCAGAAACTACTGTGTGATATCTGCATTCAAGTCACAGAGTTGAACATTCGCTTTCTTAGAGCACGTTTGAAACACTCTTTTTGTAGTGTCTGGAAGTGGACATTTGGAGCGCTTTGATTCCTTTGGTGAAAAAGGGAATGTCTTCCCATAAAAACTAGGCAGAAGCATTCTCAGAAACTTGTTTGTGATGTGTGTACCCAGCTAAAGGAGTTGAACATTTCTATTGACAGAGCAGTTATGAAACACTCTTTTTGTGGAAAATGCAAGTGGATATTTGGATAGCTTGGAGGATTTCGTTGGAAGCGGGAATTCAAATAAAAGGTAGACAGCAGCATTCTCAGAAATTTCTTTCTGATGTCTGCATTCAACTCATAGAGTTGAAGATTCCCTTTCATGGAGCAGGTTTGAAACACTCGTTCTGCAGTATCTGGATGTGGACATTTGGAGCGCTTTGATGCCTACGGTGGAAAAGTAAATATCTTCCCATAAAAACGAGACAGAAGGATTCTGAGGAACAAGTTTGTGATGTGTGTACTCAGCTAACAGAGTGGAACCTTTCTTTTTACAGAGCAGCTTTGAAACTCTATTTTTGTGGATTCTGCAAATGGATATTTAGATTGCTTTAATGATATCGTTGGAAAAGGGAATATCGTCATACAAAATCTAGACAGAAGCATTCTCACAAACTTCTTTGTGATGTGTGTCCTCAACTAACAGAGTTGAACCTTTCTTTTGATGCAGCAATTTGGAAACACCCTTTTGGTAGAAACTGTAACTGGATATTTGGATAGCTCTAACGATTTCGTTGGAAACGGGAATATCATCATCTAAAATGTAGACAGAAGCACTATTAGAAACTACTTGGTGATATCTGCATTCAAGTCACAGAGTTGAACATTCCCTTACTTTGAGCACGTTTGAAACACTCTTTTGGAAGAATCTGGAAGTGGACATTTGGAGCGCTTTGATGCCTTTGGTGAAAAGGAAACGTCTTCCAATAAAAGCCAGAGAGAAGCATTCTCAGAAACTTGTTTGTGATGTGTGTACTCAACTAAAAGAGTTGAACCTTTCTATTGATAGAGCAGTTTTGAAACACTCTTTTTTTGGATTCTGCAAGTGGATATTTGGATTGCTTTGAGGATTTCGTTGGAAGCGGGAATTCGTATAACAACTAGACAGCAGCATTCCCAGAAATTTCTTTCGGATATTTCCATTCAACTCATAGAGATGAACATGGCCTTTCATAGAGCAGGTTTGAAACACTCTTTTTGTAGTTTGTGGAAGTGGACATTTCGATCGCCTTGACGCCTACGGTGAAAAAGGAAATATCTTCCCATAAAAAATAGACAGAAGCATTCTCAGAAATATCTTTCTGATGTTTGCATTCAACTCATAGAGTTGAACATTCCCTTTAATAGAGCAGGTTTGAAACACTCTTTCTGTACTATCTGGATGTGGACATTTGGAGCGCTTTGACGCCTACGGTGAAAAAGGAAATGTCTTCCCATAAAAAATTGAAGAAGCATTCTCAGAAATTACTT
The DNA here is from genome assembly GCF_000001405.40 of Homo sapiens. Taxonomy (NCBI): domain Eukaryota; kingdom Metazoa; phylum Chordata; class Mammalia; order Primates; family Hominidae; genus Homo; species Homo sapiens. The sequence continues at coordinate 12,710,831 of NC_000021.9, forward strand.
TCTGATGTCTGCATTCAACTCATAGAGTTGAAAACTCCCTTTCATAGCGCAGGTTTGAAACACTCTTTCTGTAGTATCTGGATGTGGACATTTGGAGCGCTTTGATACCTACGGTGAAAAAGTAAATATCTTCCCATAAAAACTAGACAGAAGGATTCTGAGAAACAAGTTTGTGATGTGTGTACTCAGCTAACAGAGTGGAACCTCTCTTTTGATGCAGCAGTTTGGAAACACTCTTTTTGTAGAAACTGTAAGTGGATATTTGGATAGCTCTAATGATTTCGTTGAAAACGGGAATATCATCATGTAAAATCTAGACAGAAGCACTCTCAGAAACTACTTTGTGATATCTGCATTCAAGTCACAGAGTTGAACATTCGCTTTCTTAGAGCACGTTTGAAACACTCTTTTTGTAGTCTCTGGAAGTGGACATTTGGAGCGCTTTGATGGCTTTGGTGAAAAAGGGAACGTCTTCCCATAAAAACTAGACAGAAGCATTCTCAGAAACTTGTTTGTGATGTGTGTACCCAGCCAAAGGAGTTGAACGTTTCTATTGATAGAGCAGTTTTGAAACACTCTTGTTGTGGAAAATGCAGGTGGATATTTGGATAGCTTGGAGGATTTCGTTGGAAGCGGGAATTCAAATAAAAGGTAGACAGCAGCATTCTCAGAAATTTCTTTCTGATGTCTGCATTCAACTCATAGAGTTGAAGATTCCCTTTCATAGAGCAGGTTTGAAACACTCGTTCTGGAGTATCTGGATGTGGACATTTGGAGCGCTTTGATGCCTACGGTGGAAAAGTAAATATCTTCCCATAAAAACGAGACAGAAGGATTCTGAGAGACAAGTTTGTGATGTGTGTACTCAGCTAACAGAGTGGAACCTTTCTTTTTACAGAGCAGCTTTGAAACTCTATTTTTGTGGATTCTGCAAATGGATATTTAGATTGCTTTAATGATATCGCTGGAAAAGGGAATATGGTCATACAAAATCTAGACAGAAGCATTCTCACAAACTTCTTTGTGATGTGTGTCCTCAACTAACAGAGTTGAACTTTTCTTCTGATGCAGCAGTTTGGAAACACTGTTTTTGTAGAAACTGTAAGTGGATATTTGGATAGCTCTAACGATTTCGTTGGAAACGGGAATATCATCATCTAAAATCTAGACAGAAGCACTATTAGAAACTACTTGGTGATATCTGCATTCAAGTCACAGAGTTGAACATTCCCTTACTTTGAGCACGTTTCAAACACTCTTTTGGAAGAATCTGGAAGTGGACATTTGGAGCGCTTTGATGCCTTTGGTGAAAAGGAAACGTCTTCCAATAAAAGCCAGACAGAAGCATTCTCAGAAACTTGTTTGAGATGTGTGTACTCAACTAAAAGAGTTGAACCTTTCTATTGATAGAGCAGTTTTGAAACACTCTTTTTGTGGATTCTGCAAGTGGATATTTGGATTGCTTTGAGGATTTCGTTGGAAGCGGGAATTCGTATAACAACTAGACAGCAGCATTCCCAGAAATTTCTTTCGGATATTTCCATTCAACTCATAGAGATGAACATCGCCTTTCATAGAGCAGGTTTGAAACACTCTTTTTGTAGTTTGTGGAAGTGGACATTTCGATCGCCTTGACGCCTACGGTGAAAAAGGAAATATCTTCCCATAAAAAATAGACAGAAGCATTCTCAGAAACTTGTTGGTGATATGTGTCCTCAACTAACAGAGTTGAACTTTGCCATTGATAGAGAGCAGTTTTGAAACACTCTTTTTGTGGAATCTGCAAGTGGATATTTGGATAGCTTGGAGGATTTCGTTGGAAGCGGGAATTCAAATAAAAGGTAGACAGCCAGCATTCTCAGAAATTGCTTTCTGATGTCTGCATTCAACTCATAGAGTTGAACATTCCCTTTCATAGGGCAGGTTTGAAATACTCTTTCTGTAGTATCTGGATGTGGACATTTGGAGCGCTTTGATGCCTACGGTGAAAAAGTAAATATCTTCCCATAAAAACGAGACAGAGGATTCTGAGAAACAAGTTTGTGATGTGTGTACTCAGCTAACAGAGTGGAACCTCTGTTTTGATGCAGCAGTTTGGAAACACTCTTTTTGTAGAAACTGTAAGTGGATATTTGGATAGCTCTAATGATTTCGTTGGAAACGGGAATATCATCATCTAAAATCTAGACAGAAGCCCTCTCAGAAACTACTTTGTGATATCTGCATTCAAGTCACAGAGTTGAACATTCGGTTTCTTAGAGCACGTTTGAAACACTCTTTTTGTAGTGTCTGGAAGTGGACATTTGGAGCGCTTTGATGCCTTTGGTGAAAAAGGGAATGTCTTCCCATAAAAACTAGACAGAAGCATTCTCAGAGACTTGTTTGTGATGTGTGTACCCAGCCAAAGGAGTTGAACATTTCTATTGATAGAGCAGTTTTGAAACACTCTTGTTGTGGAAAATGCAGGTGGATATTTGGATAGTTTGGAGGATTTCGTTGGAAGCGGGAATTCAAATAAAAGGTAGACAGCAGCATTCTCAGAAATTTCTTTCTGATGTCTGCATTCAACTCATAGAGTTGAAGATTCCCTTTCATAGAGCAGGTTTGAAACACTCGTTCTGGAGTATCTGGATGTGGACATTTGGAGCGCTTTGATGCCTACGGTGGAAAAGTAAATATCTTCCCATAAAAACGAGACAGAAAGGATTCTGAGAAACAAGTTTGTGATGTGTGTACTCAGCTAACACAGTGGAACCTTTCTTTTTACAGAGCAGCTTTGAAACTCTATTTTTGTGGATTCTGCAAATTGATATTTAGATTGCTTTAACGATATCGTTGGAAAAGGGAATATCGTCATACAAAATCTAGACAGAAGCATTCTCACAAACTTCTTTGTGATGTGTGTCCTCAACTAACAGAGTTGAACCTTTCTTTTGATGCAGCAATTTGGAAACACCCTTTTGGTAGAAACTGTAACTGGATATTTGGATAGCTCTAACGATTTCGTTGGAAACGGGAATATCATCATCTAAAATCTAGACAGAAGCACTCTCAGTAAACTACTTTTTGATATCTGCATTCAAGTCACAGAGTTGAACATTCCCTTACTTTGAGCACGTTTGAAACACTCTTTTGGAAGAATCTGGAAGTGGACATTTGGAGCGCTTTGATGCCTTTGGTGAAAAGGAAACGTCTTCCAATAAAAGCCCAACAGCAGCATTCTCAGAAACTTGTTTGTGATGTGTGTACTCAACTAAAAGAGTTGAACCTTTCTATTCATAGAGCAGTTTTGAAACACTCTTTTTGTGGATTCTGCAAGTGGATATTTGGATTGATTTGAGGATTTCGTTGGAAGCGGGAATTCGTATAAAAACTAGACAGCAGCATTCCCAGTAAATTTCTTTCGGATATTTCCATTCAACTCATAGAGATGAACATCGCCTTTCATAGAGCAGGTTTGAAACACTCTTTTTGTAGTTTGTGGAAGTGGACATTTCGATCGCCTTGACGCCTACAGTGAAAAAGGAAATATCTTCCCATAAAAAATAGACAGAAGCATTCTCAGAAACTTGTTGGTGATATGTGTCCTCAACTAACAGAGTTGAACTTTGCCATTGATAGAGAGCAGTTTTGAAACACTCTTTTTGTGGAATCTGCAAGTGGATATTTGGATAGCTTGGAGGATTTCGTTGGAAGCGGGAATTCAAATAAAGGGTAGACAGCAGCATTCTCAGAAATTTCTTTCTGATGTCTGCATTCAACTCATAGAGTTGAAGATTCCCTTTCATAGAGCAGGTTTGAAACACTCTTTCTGGAGTATCTGGATGTGGACATTTGGAGCGCTTTGATGCCTACGGTGGAAAAGTAAATATCTTCCCATAAAAACGAGACAGAAGGATTCTGAGAGACAAGTTTGTGATGTGTGTACTCAGCTAACAGAGTGGAACCTTTCTTTTTACAGAGCAGCTTTGAAACTCTATTTTTGTGGATTCTGCAAATGGATATTTAGATTGCTTTAACGATATCCGTTGGAAAAGGGAATATCGTCATACAAAATCTGGACAGAAGCACTCTCAGAAACTACTTTTTAATATCTGCATTCAAGTCACAGAGTTGAACATTCGCTTTCTTAGAGCACTTTTGAAACACTCTTTTTGTAGTATCTGGAAGTGGACATTTGGAGCTCTTTGATGCCTTTGGTGAAAAAGGAAATGTCTTCCCATAAAAACTAGACAGAAGCTTTCTCAGAAACTTGTTTGTGATGTGTGTACCCAGCGAAAGGAGTTGAACATTTCTATTGATAGAGCAGTTTTGAAACACTCTTTTTGTAGAATCTGCAAGTGGATATTTGGATAGCTTGGAGGTTTTCGTTGGAAGCGGGAATTCAAATAAAAGGTAGACAGCAGCATTCTCAGAAATTTCTTTCTGATGTCTGCATTCAACTCATAGAGTTGAAGATTCCCTTTCATAGAGCAGGTTTGAAACACTCTTTCTGGAGTATCTGTATGTGGACATTTGGAGCGCTTTGATGCCTACGGTGAAAAAGTAAATATCTTCCCATAAAAACGAGACAGAAGGATTCTGAGAAACAAGTTTGTGATGTGTGTACTCAGCTAACAGAGTGGAACCTTTCTTTTTACAGAGCAGCTTTGAAACTCTATTTTTGTGGATTCTGCAAATGGATATTTAGATTGCTTTAATGATATCGCTGGAAAAGGGAATATCGTCATACAAAATCTAGACAGAAGCATGCTCACAAACTTCTTTGTGACGTGTGTCCTCAACTAACAGAGTTGAACCTTTCTTTTGATGCAGCAGTTTGGAAACACTCTTTTTGTAGAAACTGTAAGTGGATATTTGGATAGCTCTAACGATTTCGTTGGAAACGGGAATATCATCATCTAAAATCTAGACAGAAGCACTATTAGAAACTACTTGGTGATATCTGCATTCAAGTCACAGAGTTGAACATTCCCTTACTTTGAGCACGTTTGAAACACTCTTTTGGAAGAATCTGTAAGTGGACATTTGGAGCGCTTTGATGCCTTTGGTGAAAAGGAAACGTCTTCCAATAAAAGCCAGACAGAAGCATTCTGAGAAACTTGTTCGTGATGTGTGTACTCAACTAAAAGAGTTGAACCTTTCTATTGATAGAGCAGTTTTGAAACACTCTTTTTGTGGATTCTGCAAGTGGATATTTGGATTGCTTTGAGGATTTCGTTGGAAGCGGGAATTCGTATAAACACTAGACAGCAGCATTCCCAGAAATTTCTTTCGGATATTTCCATTCAACTCATAGAGATGAACATCGCCTTTCATAGAGCTGGTTTGAAACACTCTTTTTGTAGTTTGTGGAAGTGGACATTTCGATCGCCTTGACGCCTACAGTGAAAAAGGAAATATCTTCCCATAAAAAATAGACAGAAGCATTCTCAGAAACTTGTTGGTGATATGTGTCCTCAACTAACAGAGTTGAACTTTGCCATTGATAGAGAGCAGTTTTGAAACACTCTTTTTGTGGAATCTGCAAGTGGATATTTGGATAGCTTGGAGGATTTCGTTGGAAGCGGGAATTCAAATAAAAGGTAGACAGCAGCATTCTCAGTAAATTTCTTTCTGATGTCTGCATTCAACTCATAGAGTTGAAGATTCCCTTTCATAGAGCAGGTTTGAAACACTCTTTCTGGAGTATCTGGATGTGGACATTTGGAGCGCTTTGATGCCTACGGTGAAAAAGTAAATATCTTCCCAGAAAAACGAGACAGAAGGATTCTGAGAAACAAGTTTGTGATGTGTGTACTCAGCTAACAGAGTGGAACCTCTCTTTTGATGCAGCAGTTTGGAAACACTCTTTTTGTAGAAACTGTAAGTGGATATTTGGATAGCTCTAATGATTTCGTTGGAAACGGGAATATCATCATCTAAAATCTAGACAGAAGCCCTCTCAGAAACTACTTTGTGACATCTGCATTCAAGTCACAGAGTTGAACATTCGCTTTCTTAGAGAACGTTGGAAACACTCTTTTTGTAGTGTCTGGAAGTGGACATTTGGAGCGCTTTGATGCCTTTGGTGAAAAAGGGAATGTCTTCCCATAAAAACTAGACAGAAGCATTCTCAGAGACTTGTTTGTGATGTGTGTACCCAGCCAAAGGAGTTGAACATTTCTATTGATAGAGCAGTTTTGAAACACTCTTGTTGTGGAAAATGCAGGTGGATATTTGGATAGCTTGGAGGATTTCGTTGGAAGCGGGAATTCAAATAAAAGGTAGACAGCAGCATTCTCAGAAATTTCTTTCTGATGTCTGCATTCAACTCATAGAGTTGAAGATTCCCTTTCATAGAGCAGGTTTGAAACACTCGTTCTGGAGTATCTGGATGTGGACATTTGGAGCGCTTTGATGCCTACGGTGGAAAAGTAAATATCTTCCCATAAAAACGAGACAGAAGGATTCTCAGAAACAAGTTTGTGATGTGTGTACTCAGCTAACAGAGTGGAACCTTTCTTTTTACAGAGCAGCTTTGAAACTCTATTTTTGTGGATTCTGCAAATTGATATTTAGATTGCTTTAACGATATCGTTGGAAAAGGGAATATCATCATACAAAATCTAGACAGAAGCATTCTCACAAACTTCTTTGTGATGTGTGTCCTCAACTAACAGAGTTGAACCTTTCTTTTGATGCAGCAATTTGGAAACACCCTTTTGGTAGAAACTGTAACTGGATATTTGGATAGCTCTAACGATTTCGTTGGAAACGGGAATATCATCATCTAAAATGTAGACAGAAGCACTATTAGAAACTACTTGGTGATATCTGCATTCAAGTCACAGAGTTGAACATTCCCTTACTTTGAGCACGTTTGAAACACTCTTTTGGAAGAATCTGGAAGTGGACATTTGGAGCGCTTTGATGCCTTTGGTGAAAAGGGAAACGTCTTCCAATAAAAGCCAGACAGGAAGCATTCTCAGAAACTTGTTCGTGATATGTGTACTCAACTAAAAGAGTTGAACCTTTCTATTCATAGCGCAGTTTTGAAACACTCTTTTTGTGGATTCTGCAAGTGGATATTTGGATTGCTTTGAGGATTTCGTTGGAAGCGGGAATTCATATAAAAACTAGACAGCAGCATTCCCAGAAATTTCTTTCGGATATTTCCATTCGACTCATAGAGATGAACATGGCCTTTCATAGAGCAGGTTTGAAACACTCTTTTTGTAGTTTGTGGAAGTGGACATTTCGATCGCCTTGACGCCTACGGTGAAAAAGGAAATATCTTCCCATAAAAAATAGACAGAAGCATTCTCAGAAACTTGTTGGTGATATGTGTCCTCAACTAACAGGGTTGAACTTTGCCATTGATAGAGAGCAGTTTTGAAACACTCTTTTTGTGGAATCTGCAAGTGGATATTTGGATAGCTTGGAGGATTTCGTTGGAAGCGGGAATTCAAATAAAAGGTAGACAGCAGCATTCTCAGAAATTTCTTTCTGATGTCTGCATTCAACTCATAGAGTTGTAGATTCCCTTTCATAGAGCAGGTTTGAAACACTCGTTCTGGAGTATCTGGATGTGGACATTTGGAGCGCTTTGATGCCTACGGTGGAAAAGTAAATATCTTCCCATAAAAACGAGACAGAAGGATTCTGAGAAACAAGTTTGTGATGTGTGTACTCAGCTAACAGAGTGGAACCTCTCTTTTGATGCAGCAGTTTGGAAACACTCTTTTTGTAGAAACTGTAAGTGGATATTTGGATAGCTCTAATGATTTCGTTGGAAACGGGAATATCATCATCTAAAATCTAGACAGAAGCACTATTAGAAACTACTTTGTGATATCTGCATTCAAGTCACAGGAGTTGAACATTCGCTTTCTTAGAGCACGTTGGAAACACTCTTTTTGTAGTGTCTGGAAGTGGACATTTGGAGCGCTTTGATGCCTTTGGTGAAAAAGGGAATGTCTTCCCATAAAAACTAGACAGAAGCATTCTCAGAAACTTGTTTGTGATGTGTGTACCCAGCCAAAGGAGTTGAAAATTTCTATTGATAGAGCAGTTTTGAAACACTCTTGTTGTGGAAAATGCAGGTGGATATTTGGATAGCTGGGAGGATTTCGTTGGAAGCGGGAATTCAAATAAAAGGTAGACAGCAGCATTCTCAGAAATTTCTTTCTGATGTCTGCATTCAACTCATAGAGTTGAAGATTCCCTTTCATAGAGCAGGTTTGAAACACTCGTTCTGGAGTATCTGGATGTGGACATTTGGAGCGCTTTGATGCCTACGGTGGAAAAGTAAATATCTTCCCATAAAAACGAGACAGAAGGATTCTCAGAAACAAGTTTGTGATGTGTGTACTCAGCTAACAGAGTGGAACCTTTCTTTTTACAGAGCAGCTTTGAAACTCTATTTTTGTGAATTCTGCAAATTGATATTTAGATTGCTTTAACGATATCGTTGGAAAAGGGAATACCGTCATACAAAATCTAGACAGAAGCATTCTCACAAACTTCTTTGTGATGTGTGTCCTCAACTAACAGAGTTGAACCTTTCTTTTGATGCAGCAGTTTGGAGACACTCTTTTTGTAGAAACTGTAAGTGGATATTTGGATAGCTCTAACGATTTCGTTGGAAACGGGAATATCATCATCTAAAATCTAGACAGAAGCACTATTAGAAACTACTTGGTGATATCTGCATTCAAGTCACAGAGTTGAACATTCCCTTACTTTGGGCACGTTTCAAACACTCTTTTGGAAGAATCTGGAAGTGGACATTTGGAGCGCTTTGATGCCTTTGGTGAAAAGGAAACGTCTTCCAATAAAAGCCAGACAGAAGCATTCTCAGAAACTTGTTCGTGATGTGTGTACTCAACTAAAAGAGTTGAACCTTTCTATTGATAGAGCAGTTTTGAAACACTCTTTTTGTGGATTCTGCAAGTGGATATTTGGATTGCTTTGAGGATTTCATCGGAAGCGGGAATTCGTATAAACACTAGACAGCCAGCATTCCCAGAAATTTCTTTCGGATATTTCCATTCGACTCATAGAGATGAACATGGCCTTTCATAGAGCAGGTTTGAAACACTCTTTTTGTAGTTTGTGGAAGTGGACATTTCGATCGCCTTGACGCCTACGGTGAAAAAGGAAATATCTTCCCATAAAAAATAGACAGAGCATTCTCAGAAACTTGTTGGTGATATGTGTCCTCAACTAACAGAGTTGAACTTTGCCATTGATAGAGAGCAGTTTTGAAACACTCTTTTTGTGGAATCTGCAAGTGGATATTTGGATAGCTTGGAGGATTTCGTTGGAAGCGGGAATTCAAATAAAAGGTAGACAGCAGCATTCTCAGAAATTTCTTTCTGATGTCTGCAATCAACTCATAGAGTTGAAGATTCCCTTTCATAGAGCAGGTTTGAAACACTCTTTGTGGAGTATCTGGATGTGGACATTTGGAGCGCTTTGATGCCTACGGTGAAAAAGTAAATATCTTCCCATAAAAACGAGACAGAAGGATTCTGAGAAACAAGTTTGTGATGTGTGTACTCAGCTAACAGAGTGGAACCTCTCTTTTGATGCAGCAGTTTGGAAACACTCTTTTTGTAGAAACTGTAAGTGGATATTTGGATAGCTCTAATGATTTCGTTGGAAACGGGAATATCATCATCTAAAATCTAGACAGAAGCCCTCTCAGAAACTACTTTGTGATATCTGCATTCAAGTCACAGAGTTGAACATTCGCTTTCTTAGAGCACGTTGGAAACACTCTTTTTGTAGTGTCTGGAAGTGGACATTTGGAGCGCTTTGATTCCTTTGGTGAAAAAGGGAACGTCTACCCATAAAAACTAGACAGAAGCATTCTCAGAAACTTGTTTGTGATGTGTGTACCCAGCCAAAGGAGTTGAACATTTCTATTGATAGAGCAGGTTTGAAACACTCTTTTTGTGGAAAATGCAGGTGGATATTTGGATAGCTTGGAGGATTTCGTTGGAAGCGGGAATTCAAATAAAAGGTAGACAGCAGCATTCTCAGAAATTACTTTCTGATGTCTGCATTCAACTCATAGAGTTGAAGATTCCCTTTCATAGAGCAGGTTTGAAACACTCTTTCTGGAGTATCTGGATGTGGACATTTGGAGCGCTTTGATGCCTACGGTGAAAAAGTAAATATCTTCCCATAAAAACGAGACAGAAGGATTCTCAGAAACAAGTTTGTGATGTGTGTACTCAGCTAACAGAGTGGAACCTTTCTTTTTACAGAGCAGCTTTGAAACTCTATTGTTGTGGATTCTGCAAATTGATATTTAGATTGCTTTAACGATATCGTTGGAAAAGGGAATACCGTCATACAAAATCTAGACAGAAGCATTCTCACAAACTTCTTTGTGATGTGTGTCCTCAACTAACAGAGTTGAACCTTTCTTTTGATGCAGCAATTTGGAAACACCCTTTTGGTAGAAACTGTAAGTGGATATTTGGATAGCTCTAACGATTTCGTTGGAAACGGGAATATCATCATCTAAAATCTAGACAGAAGCACTATTAGAAACTACTTGGTGATATCTGCATTCAAGTGACAGAGTTGAACATTCCCTTACTTTGAGCACGTTTGAAACACTCTTTTGGAAGAATCTGGAAGTGGACATTTGGAGCGCTTTGATGCCTTTGGTGAAAAGGAAACGTCTTCCAATAAAAGCCAGACAGAAGCATTCTCAGAAACTTGTTCGTGATGTGTGTACTCAACTAAAAGAGTTGAACCTTTCTATTGATAGAGCAGTTTTGAAACACTCTTTTTGTGGATTCTGCAAGTGGATATTTGGATTGCTTTGAGGATTTTGTTGGAAGCGGGAATTCGTATAAACACTAGACAGCAGCATTCCCAGAAATTTCTTTCGGATATTTCCATTCAACTCATAGAGATGAACATGGCCTTTCATAGAACAGGTTTGAAACACTCTTTTTGTAGTTTGTGGAAGTGGACATTTCGATCGCCTTGACGCCTACGGTGAAAAAGGGAATATCTACCCATAAAAAATAGACAGAAGCATTCTCAGAAACTTGTTGGCGATATGTGTCCTCAACTAACAGAGTTGAACTTTGCTATTGATAGAGAGCAGTTTTGAAACACTCTTTTTGTGGAATCTGCAAGTGGATATTTGGATAGCTTGGAGGATTTCGTTGGAAGCGGGAATTCAAATAAAAGGTAGACAGCAGCATTCTCAGAAATTTCTTTCTGATCTCTGCATTCAACTCATAGAGTTGAACATTCCCTTTCATAGGGCAGGTTTGAAATACTCTTTCTGTAGTATCTGGATGTGGACATTTGGAGCGCTTTGATGCCTACGGTGAAAAAGTAAATATCTTCCCATAAAAACGAGACAGAAGGATTCTGAGAAACAAGTTTGTGATGTGTGTACTCAGCTAACAGAGTGGAACCTCTCTTTTGATGCAGCAGTTTGGAAACACTCTTTTTGTAGAAATTGTAAGTGGATATTTGGATAGCTCTAATGATTTCGTTGGAAACGGGAATATCATCATCTAAAATCTAGACAGAAGCACTCTCAGAAACTACTTTGTGATATCTGCATTCAAGTCACAGAGTTGAACATTCGCTTTCTTAGAGCACGTTGGAAACACTCTTTTTGTAGTGTCTGGAAGTGGACACTTGGAGCGCTTTGATGCCTTTGGTGAAAAAGGGAACGTCTTCCCATAAAAACTAGACAGAAGCATTCTCAGAAACTTGTTTGTGATGTGTGTACCCAGCTAAAGGAGTTGAACATTTCTATTGATAGAGCAGTTTTGAAACACTCTTTTTGTGGAAAATGCAAGTGGATATTTGGATAGCTTGGAGGATTTCGTTGGAAGCGGGAATTCAAATAAAAGGTAGACAGCAGCATTCTCAGAAATTTCTTTCTGATGTCTGCATTCAACTCATAGAGTTGAAGATTCCCTTTCATAGAGCAGGTTTGAAACACTCTTTCTGGAGTATCTGGATGTGGACATTTGGAGGGCTTTGATGCCTACGGTGAAAAAGTAAATATCTTCCCATAAAAACGAGACAGAAGGATTCTGAGAAACAAGTTTGTGATGTGTGTACTCAGCTAACAGAGTGGAACCTTTCTTTTTACAGAGCAGCTTTGAAACTCTATTTTTGTGGATTCTGCAAATTGATATTTAGATTGCTTTAACGATATCGTTGGAAAAGGGAATATCGTCATACAAAATCTAGACAGAAGCATTCTCACAAACTTCTTTGTGATGTGTGTCCTCAACTAACAGAGTTGAACCTTTCTTTTGATGCAGCAGTTTGGAAACACTCTTTTTGTAGAAACTGTAAGTGGATATTTGGATAACTCTAACGATTTCGTTGGAAACGGGAATATCATCATCTAAAATCTAGACAGAAGCACTATTAGAAACTACTTGGTGATATCTGCATTCAAGTCACAGAGTTGAACATTCCCTTACTTTGAGCACGTTTCAAACACTCTTTTGGAAGAATCTGGAAGTGGACATTTGGAGCGCTTTGATGCCTTTGGTGAAAAGGAAACGTCTTCCAATAAAAGCCAGACAGAAGCATTCTCAGAAACTTGTTCTTGACGTGTGTACTCAACTAAAAGAGTTGAACCTTTCTATTGATAGAGCAGTTTTGAAACACTCTTTCTGTGGATTCTGCAAGTGGATATTTGGATTGCTTTGAGGATTTCGTTGGAAGCGGTAATTCGTATAACAACTAGACAGCAGCATTCCCAGAAATTTCTTTCGGATATTTCCATTCAACTCATAGAGATGAACATGGCCTTTCATAGAGCAGGTTTGAAACACTCTTTTTGTAGTTTGTGGAAGTGGACATTTCGATCGCCTTGACGCCTACAGTGAAAAAGGAAATATCTTCCCATAAAAAATAGACAGAAGCATTCTCAGAAACTTGTTGGTGATATGTGTCCTCAACTAACAGAGTTGAACTTTGCCATTGATAGAGAGCAGTTTTGAAACACTCTTTTTGTGGAATCTGCAAGTGGATATTTGGATAGCTTGGAGGATTTCGTTGGAAGCGGGAATTCAAATAAAAGGTAGACAGCCGCATTCTCAGAAATTTCTTTCTGATGTCTGCATTCAACTCATAGAGTTGAACATTCCCTTTCATAGAGCAGGTTTGAAACACTCTTTCTGGAGTATCTGGATGTGGACATTTGGAGCGCTTTGATGCCTACGGTGAAAAAGTAAATATCTTCCCATAAAAACGAGACAGAAGGATTCTCAGAAACAAGTTTGTGATGTGTGTACTCAGCTAAAAGAGTGGAACCTCTCTTTTGATGCAGCAGTTTGGAAACACTCTTTTTGTAGAAACTGTAAGTGGATATTTGGATAGCTCTAATGATTTCGTTGGAAACGGGAATATCATCATCTAAAATCTAGACAGAAGCACTCTCAGAAACTACTTTGTGATATCTGCATTCAAGTCACAGAGTTGAACATTCGCTTTCTTAGAGCACGTTTGAAACACTCTTTTTGTAGTGGCTGGAAGTGGACATTTGGAGCGCTTTGATGCCTTTGGTGAAAAAGGGAATGTCTTCCCATAAAAACTAGGCAGAAGCATTCTCAGAAACTTGTTTGTGATGTGTGTACCCAGCCAAAGGAGTTGAACATTTCTATTGATAGAGCAGTTTTGAAACACTCTTGTTGTGGAAAATGCAAGTGGATATTTGGATAGCTTGGAGGATTTCGTTGGAAGCGGGAATTCAAATAAAAGGTAGACAGCAGCATTCTCAGAAATTTCTTTCTGATGTCTGCATTCAACTCATAGAGTTGAAGATTCCCTTTCATAGAGCAGGTTTGAAACAGTCTTTCTGGAGTTTCTGGATGTGGACATTTGGAGCGCTTTGATGCCTACGGTGAAAAAGTAAATATCTTCCCATAAAAACGAGACAGAAGGATTCTCAGAAACAAGTTTGTGATGTGTGTACTCAGCTAACAGAGTGGAACCTTTCTTTTTACAGAGCAGCTTTGAAACTCTATTTTTGTGGATTCTGCAAATGGATATTTAGATTGCTTTAACGATATCGTTGGAAAAGGGAATATCGTCATACAAAATACTGGACAGAAGCATTCTCACAAACTTCTTTGTGATGTGTTTCCTCAACTAACAGAGTTGAACCTTTCTTTTGATGCAGCAATTTGGAAACACCCTTTTGGTAGAAACTGTAACTGGATATTTGGATAGCTCTAACGATTTCGTTGGAAACGGGAATATCATCATCTAAAATCTAGACAGAAGCACTATTAGAAACTACTTGGTGATATCTGCATTCAAGTCACAGAGTAGAACATTCCCTTACTTCGAGCACGTTTGAAACACTCTTTTGGAAGAATCTGGAAGTGGACATTTGGAGCGCTTTGATGCCTTTGGTGAAAAGGAAACGTCTTCCAATAAAAGCCAGACAGAAGCATTCTCAGAAACTTGTTTGTGATGTGTGTACTCAACTAAAAGAGTTGAACCTTTCTATTGATAGAGCAGTTTTGAAACACTCTTTTTGTGGATTCTGCAAGTGGATATTTGGATTGCTTTGAGGATTTCGTTGGAAGCGGGAATTCGTATAACAACTAGACAGCAGCATTCCCAGAAATTTCTTTCGGATATTTCCATTCAACTCATAGAGATGAACATGGCCTTTCATAGAGCAGGTTTGAAACACTCTTTTTGTAGTTTGTGGAAGTGGACATTTCGATCGCCTTGACGCCTACGGTGAAAAAGTAAATATCTTCCCATAAAAAATAGAAACATTCTCAGAAACTTGTTGGTGATATGTGTCCTCAACTAACAGAGTTGAACTTTGCCATTGATAGAGAGCAGTTTTGAAACACTCTTTTTCCTGAATCTGCAAGTGGATATTTGGATAGTTTGGAGGATTTCGTTGGAAGCGGGAATTCAAATAAAAGGTAGACAGCAGCATTCTCAGAAATTTCTTTCTGATCTCTGCATTCAACTCATAGAGTTGAACATTCCCTTTCATAGGGCAGGTTTGAAATACTCTTTCTGTAGTATCTGGATGTGGACATTTGGAGCGCTTTGATGCCTACGGTGAAAAAGTAAATATCTTCCCATAAAAACGAGACAGAAGGATTCTGAGAAACAAGTTTGTGATGTGTGTACTCAGCTAACAGAGTGGAACCTCTCTTTTGATGCAGTAGTTTGGAAACACTCTTTTTGTAGAAACTGTAAGGGGATATTTGGATAGCTCTAATGATTTCGTTGGAAACGGGAATATCATCATCTAAAATCTAGAGAGAAGCCCTCTCAGAAACTACTCTGTGATATCTGCATTCAAGTCACAGAGTTGAACATTCGTTTTCTTAGAGCACGTTTGAAACACTCTTTTTGTAGTGTCTGGAAGTGGACATTTGGAGCGCTTTGATGCCTTTGGTGAAAAAGGGAATGTCTTCCCATAAAAACTAGACAGAAGCATTCTCAGAAACTTGTTTGTGATGTGTGTACCCAGCCAAAGGAGTTGAACATTTCTATTGATAGAGCAGTTTTGAAACACTCTTTTTGTGGAAAATGCAGGTGGATATTTGGATAGCTTGGAGGATTTCGTTGGAAGCGGGAATTCAAATAAAAGGTAGACAGCAGCATTCTCAGAAATTTCTTTCTGATGTCTGCATTCAACTCATAGAGTTGAAGATTCCCTTCCATAGAGCAGGTTTGAAACACTCGTTCTGGAGTATCTGGATGTGGACATTTGGAGCGCTTTGATGCCTACGGTGGAAAAGTAAATATCTTCCCATAAAAACGAGACAGAAGGATTCTCAGAAACAAGTTTGTGATGTGTGTACTCAGCTAACAGAGTGGAACCTTTCTTTTTACAGAGCAGCTTTGAAACTCTATTTTTGTGGATTCTGCAAATTGATATTTAGATTGCTTTAACGATATCGTTGGAAAAGGGAATATCGTCATACAAAATCTAGACAGAAGCATTCTCACAAACTTCTTTGTGATGTGTGTCCTCAACTAACAGAGTTGAACCTTTCTTTTGATGCAGCAGTTTGGAAACACTCTTTTTGTAGAAACTGTAAGTGGATATTTGGATAGCTCTAACGATTTCGTTGGAAACGGGAATATCATCATCTAAAATCTAAACAGAAGCACTATTAGAAACTACTTGGTGATATCTGCATTCAAGTCACAGAGTTGAACATTCCCTTACTTCGACCACGTTTGAAACGCTCTTTTGGAAGAATCTGGAAGTGGACATTTGGAGCGCTTTGATGCCTTTGGTGAAAAGGAAACGTCTTCCAATAAAAGCCAGAGAGAAGCATTCTCAGAAACTTGTTCGTGATGTGTGTACTCAACTAAAAGAGTTGAACCTTTCTATTGATAGAGCAGTTTTGAAACACTCTTTTTGTGGATTCTGCAAGTGGATATTTGGATTGCTTTGAGGATTTCATTGGAAGCGGGAATTCGTATAAACACTAGACAGCAGCATTCCCAGAAATTTCTTTCGGATATTTCCATTCGACTCATAGAGATGAACATGGCCTTTCATAGAGCAGGTTTGAAACACTCTTTTTGTAGTTTGTGGAAGTGGACATTTCGATCGCCTTGACGCCTACGGTGAAAAAGGAAATATCTTCCCATAAAAAATAGACAGAAGCATTCTCAGAAACTTGTTGGTGATATGTGTCCTCAACTAACAGAGTTGAACTTTGCCATTGATAGAGAGCAGTTTTGAAACACTCTTTTTGTGGAATCTGCAAGTGGATATTTGGATAGCTTGGAGGATTTCGTTGGAAGCGGGAATTCAAATAAAAGGTAGACAACAGCATTCTCAGAAATTTCTTTCTGATGTCTGCATTCAACTCATAGAGTTGAAGATTCCCTTTCATAGAGCAGGTTTGAAACACTCTTTCTGGAGTATCTGGATGTGGACATTTGGAGAGCTTTGATGCCTACGGTGAAAAAGTAAATATCTTCCCATAAAAACGAGACAGAAGGATTCTGAGAAACAAATTTGTGATGTGTGTACTCAGCTAACAGAGTGGAACCTCTCTTTTGATGCAGCAGTTTGGAAACACTCTTTTTGTAGAAACTGTAAGTGGATATTTGGAAGCTCTAATGATTTTGTTGGAAACGGGATTATCATCATCTAAAATCTAGACAGAAGCCCTCTCAGAAACTACTTTGTGATATGTGCATTCAAGTCACAGAGTTGAACATTCGCTTTCTTAGAGCACGTTGGAAACACTCTTTTTGTAGTGTCTGGAAGTGGACATTTGGAGCGCTTTGATGCCTTTGGTGAAAAAGGGAACGTCTTCCCATAAAAACTAGACAGAAGCATTCTCAGAAACTTGTTTGTGATGTGTGTACCCAGCCAAAGGAGTTGAACATTTCTATTGATAGAGCAGTTTTGAAACACTCTTGTTGTGGAAAATGCAGGTGGATATTTGGATAGCTTGGAGGATTTCGTTGGAAGGGGGAATTCAAATAAAAGGTAGACAGCAGCATTCTCAGAAATTTCTTTCTGATGTCTGCATTCAACTCATAGAGTTGAAGATTCCCTTTCATAGAGCAGGTTTGAAACACTCGTTCTGGAGTATCTGGATGTGGACATTTGGAGCGCTTTGATGCCTATGGTGGAAAAGTAAATATCTTCCCATAAAAACGAGACAGAAGGATTCTCAGAAACAAGTTTGTGATGTGTGTACTCAGCTAACAGAGTGGAACCTTTCTTTTTACAGAGCAGCTTTGAAACTCTATTTTTGTGGATTCTGCAAATTGATATTTAGATTGCTTTAACGATATCGTTGGAAAAGGGAATATCGTCATACAAAATCTAGACAGAAGCATTCTCACAAACTTCTTTGTGACGTGTGTCCTCAACTAACAGAGTTGAACCTTTCTTTTGATGCAGCAGTTTGGAAACACTGTTTTTGTAGCAACTGTAAGTGGATATTTGGATAGCTCTAACGATTTCGTTGGAAACGGGAATATCATCATCTAAAATCTAGACAGAAGCACTCTCAGAAACTACTTTGTGATATCTGCATTCAAGTCACAGAGTTCAACATTTGCTTTCTTAGAGCACGTTTGAAACACTCTTTTTGTAGTGTCTGGAAGTGGACATTTGGAGCGCTTTGATGCCTTTGGTGAAAAGGAAACGTCTTCCAATAAAAGCCAGACAGAAGCATTCTCAGAAACTTGTTTGTGATGTGTGTACTCAACTAAAAGAGTTGAACCTTTCTATTGATAGAGCAGTTTTGAAACACTCTTTTTGTGGATTCTGCAAGTGGATATTTGGATTGCTTTGAGGATTTCGTTGGAAGCGGGAATTCGTATAAACACTAGACAGCAGCATTCCCAGAAATTTCTTTCGGATATTTCCATTCAACTCATAGAGATGAACATCGCCTTTCATAGAGCAGGTTTGAAACACTCTTTTTGTAGTTTGTGGAAGTGGACATTTCGATCGCCTTGACGCCTACGGTGAAAAAGGAAATATCTTCCCATAAAAAATAGACAGAAGCATTCTCAGAAACTTGTTGGTGATATGTGTCCTCAACTAACAGAGTTGAACTTTGCCATTGATAGAGAGCAGTTTTGAAACACTCTTTTTGTGGAATCTGCAAGTGGATATTTGGATAGCTTGGAGGATTTCGTTGGAAGCGGGAATTCAAATAAAAGGTAGACAGCAGCATTCTCAGAAATTTCTTTCTGATGTCTGCATTCAACTCATAGAGTTGAAGATTCCCTTTCATAGAGCAGGTTTGAAACACTCTTTCTGGAGTATCTGGATGTGGACATTTGGAGCGCTTTGATGCCTACGGTGAAAAAGTAAATATCTTCCCATAAAAACGAGACTGAAGGATTCTGAGAAACAAGTTTGTGATGTGTGTACTCAGCTAACAGAGTGGAACCTCTCTTTTGAAGCAGCAGTTTGGAAACACTCTTTTTGTGGAAACTGTAAGTGGATATTTGGATAGCTCTAATGATTTCGTTGGAAACGGGAATATCATCATCTAAAATCTAGACAGAAGCCCTCTCAGAAACTACTTTGTGATATCTGCATTCAAGTCACAGAGTTGAACATTCGCTTTCTTAGAGCACGTTGGAAACACACTTTTTGTAGTGTCTGGAAGTGGACATTTGGAGCGCTTTGATGCCTTTGGTGAAAAAGGGAATGTCTTCCCATAAAAACTAGACAGAAGCATTCTCAGAAACTTGTTTGTGATGTGTGTACCCAGCCAAAGGAGTTGAACATTTCTATTGATAGAGCAGTTTTGAAACACTCTTGTTGTGGAAAATGCAGGTGGATATTTGGATAGCTTGGAGGATTTCGTTGGAAGCGGGAATTCAAATAAAAGGTAGACAGCAGCATTCTCAGAAATTTCTTTCTGATGTCTGCATTCAACTCATAGAGTTGAAGATTCCCTTTCATAGAGCAGGTTTGAAACACTCGTTCTGGAGTATCTGGATGTGGACATTTGGAGCGCTTTGATGCCTACGGTGGAAAAGTAAATATCTTCCCATAAAAACGACACAGAAGGATTCTGAGAAACAAGTTTGTGATGTGTGTACTCAGCTAACAGAGTGGAACCTTTCTTTTTACAGAGCAGCTTTGAAACTCTATTTTTGTGGATTCTGCAAATGGATATTTAGATTGCTTTAATGATATCGCTGGAAAAGGGAATATGGTCATACAAAATCTAGACAGAAGCATTCTCACAAACTTCTTTGTGACGTGTGACCTCAACTAACAGAGTTGAACCTTTCTTTTGATGCAGCAGTTTGGAAACACTGTTTTTGTAGCAACTGTAAGTGGATATTTGGATAGCTCTAACGATTTCGTTGGAAACGGGAATATCATCATCTAAAATCTAGACAGAAGCACTATTAGAAACTACTTGGTGATATCTGCATTCAAGTCACAGAGTTGAACATTCCCTTACTTTGAGCACGTTTCAAACACTCTTTTGGAAGAATCTGGAAGTGGACATTTGGAGCGCTTTGATGCCTTTGGTGAAAAGGAAACGTCTTCCAATAAAAGCCAGACCGAAGCATTCTCAGAAACTTGTTTGTGATGTGTGTACTCAACTAAAAGAGTTGAACCTTTCTATTGATAGAGCAGTTTTGAAACACTCTTTTTGTGGATTCTGCAAGTGGATATTTGGATTGCTTTGAGGATTTCGTTGGAAGCGGGAATTCGTATAAAAACTAGACAGCAGCATTCCCAGAAATTTCTTTCTGATATTTCCATTCAACTCATAGAGATGAACATGGCCTTTCATAGAGCAGGTTTGAAACACTCTTTTTGTAGTTTGTGGAAGTGGACATTTCGATCGCCTTGACGCCTACGGTGAAAAAGGAAATATCTTCCCATAAAAAATAGACAGAAGCATTCTCAGAAACTTGTTGGTGATATGTGTCCTCAACTAACAGAGTTGAACTTTGCCATTGATAGAGAGCAGTTTTGAAACACTCTTTTTGTGGAATCTGCAAGTGGATATTTGGATAGCTTGGAGGATTTCGTTGGAAGCGGGAATTCACATAAAAGGTAGACAGCAGCATTCTCAGCAAATTTCTTTCTGATGTCTGCATTCAACTCATAGAGTTGAAGATTCCCTTTCATAGAGCAGGTTTGAAACACTCTTTCTGGAGTATCTGGATGTGGACATTTGGAGCGCTTTGATGCCTACGGTGAAAAAGTATAATCTTCCCATAAAAACGAGACAGAAGGATTCTGAGAAACAAGTTTGTGATGTGTGTACTCAGCTAACAGAGTGGAACCTCTCTTTTGATGCAGCAGTTTGGAAACACTCTTTTTGTAGAAACTGTAAGTGGATATTTGGATAGCTCTAATGATTTCGTTGGAAACGGGAATATCATCATCTAAAATCTAGACAGAAGCCCTCTCAGAAACTACTTTGTGATATCTGCATTCAAGTCACAGGGTTGAACATTCGCTTTCTTAGAGCACGTTTGAAACACTCTTTTTGTAGTGTATGGAAGTGGACATTTGGAGCGCTTTGATGCCTTTGGTGAAAAAGGGAACGTCTTCCCATAAAAACTAGACAGAAGCATTCTCAGAAACTTGTTTGTGATGTGTGTACCCAGCCAAAGGAGTTGAACATTTCTATTGATAGAGCAGTTTTGAAACACTTGTTGTGGAAAATGCAGGTGGATATTTGGATAGCTTGGAGGATTTCGTTGGAAGCGTTAATTCAAATAAAAGGTAGACAGCAGCATTCTGAGAAATTTCTTTCTGATGTCTGCATTCAACTCATAGAGTTGAAGATTCCCTTTCATAGAGCAGGTTTGAAACACTCGTTCTGGAGTATCTGGATGTGGACATTTGGAGCGCTTTGATGCCTACGGTGGAAAAGTAAATATCTTCCCATAAAAACGAGACAGAAAGATTCTCAGAAACAAGTTTGTGATGTGTGTACTCAGCTAACAGAGTGGAACCTTTCTTTTTACAGAGCAGCTTTGAAACTCTATTTTTGTGGATTCTGCAAATTGATATTTAGATTGCTTTAACGATATCGTTGGAAAAGGGAATATCGTCATACAAAATCTAGACAGAAGCATTCTCACAAACTTCTTTGTGATGTGTGTCCTCAACTAACAGAGTTGAACCTTTCTTTTGATGCAGCAATTTGGAAACACCCTTTTGGTAGAAACTGTAACTGGATATTTGGATAGCTCTAACGATTTCGTTGGAAACGGGAATATCATCATCAAAAGGTAGACAGAAGCACTATTAGAAACTACTTGGTGATATCTGCATTCAAGTCACAGAGTAGAACATTCCCTTACTTCGAGCACGTTTGAAACACTCTTTTGGAAGAATCTGGAAGTGGACATTTGGAGCGCTTTGATGCCTTTGGTGAAAAGGAAACGTCTTCCAATAAAAGCCAGACAGAAGCATTCTCAGAAACTTGTTCGTGATATGTGTACTCAACTAAAAGAGTTGAACCTTTCTATTGATAGCGCAGTTTTGAAACACTCTTTTTGTGGATTCTGCAAGTGGATATTTGGATTGCTTTGAGGATTTCGTTGGAAGCGGGAATTCATATAAAAACTAGACAGCAGCATTCCCAGAAATTTCTTTCGGATATTTCCATTCAACTCATAGAGATGAACATGGCCTTTCATAGAGCAGGTTTGAAACACTCTTTTTGTAGTTTGTGGAAGTGGACGTTTCGATCGCCTTGACGCCTACGGTGAAAAAGGAAATATCTTCCCATAAAAAATAGACAGAAGCATTCTCAGAAACTTGTTGGTGATATGTGTCCTCAACTAACAGAGTTGAACTTTGCCATTGATAGAGAGCAGTTTTGAAACACTCTTTTTGTGGAATCTGCAAGTGGATATTTGGATAGCTTGGAGGATTTCGTTGGAAGCGGGAATTCAAATAAAAGGTAGACAGCAGCATTCTCAGAAATTTCTTTCTGATGTCTGCATTCAACTCATAGAGTTGAACATTCCCTTTCATAGAGCAGGTTTGAAACACTCTTTCTGGAGTATCTGGATGTGGACATTTGGAGCGCTTTGATGCCTACGGTGAAAAAGTAAATATCTTCCCATAAAAAGCGAGACAGAAGGATTCTCAGAAACAAGTTTGTGATGTGTGTACTCAGCTAACAGAGTGGAACCTCTCTTTTGATGCAGCAGTTTGGAAACACTCTTTTTGTAGAAACTGTAAGTGGATATTTGGATAGCTCTAATGATTCCGTTGGAAACGGGAATATCATCATCTAAAATCTAGACAGAAGCCCTCTCAGAAACTACTTTGTGATATCTGCATTCAAGTCACAGTAGTTGAACATTCGCTTTCTTAGGGCACGTTGGAAACACTCTTTTTGTAGTGTCTGGAAGTGGACATTTGGAGCGCTTTGATGCCTTTGGTGAAAAAGGGAACGTCTTCCCATAAAAACTAGACAGAAGCATTCTCAGAAACTTGTTTGTGATGTGTGTACCCAGCCAAAGGAGTTGAACATTTCTATTGATAGAGCAGTTTTGAAACACTCTTGTTGTGGAAAATGCAGGTGGATATTTGGATAGCTTGGAGGATTTCGTTGGAAGCGGGAATTCAAATAAAAGGTAGACAGCAGCATTCTCAGAAATTTCTTTCTAATGTCTGCATTCAACTCATAGAGTTGAAGATTCCCTTTCATAGAGCAGGTTTGAAACACTCTTTCTGGAGTATCTGGATGTGGACATTTGGAGCGCTTTGATGCCTACGGTGAAAAAGTAAATATCTTCCCATAAAAACGAGACAGAAGGATTCTGAGAAACAAGTTTGTGATGTGTGTACTCAGCTAACAGAGTGGAACCTTTCTTTTTACAGAGCAGCTTTGAAACTCTATTTTTGTGGATTCTGCAAATGGATATTTAGATTGCTTTAATGATATCGCTGGAAAAGGGAATATGGTCATACAAAATCTAGACAGAAGCATTCTCACAAACTTCTTTGTGATGTGTGTCCTCAACTAACAGAGTTGAACCTTTCTTTGGATGCAGCAGTTTGGAAACACTCTTTTTGTAGAAACTGTAAGTGGATATTTGGATAGCTCTAACGATTTCGTTGGAAACGGGAATATCATCATCTAAAATCTAGACAGAAGCACTATTAGAAACTACTTGGTGATATCTGCATTCAAGTCACAGAGTTGAACATTCCCTTACTTTGAGCACGTTTCAAACACTCTTTTGGAAGAATCTGGAAGTGGACATTTGGAGCGCTTTGATGCCTTTGGTGAAAAGGAAACGTCTTCCAATAAAAGCCAGACAGAAGCATTCTCAGAAACTTGTTCGTGATGTGTGTACTCAACTAAAAGAGTTGAACCTTTCTATTGATAGAGCAGTTTTGAAACACTCTTTTTGTGGATTCTGCAAGTGGATATTTGGATTGCTTTGAGGATTTCGTTGAAAGCGGGAATTCGTATAAACACTAGACAGCAGCATTCCCAGAAATTTCTTTCGGATATTTCCATTCAACTCATAGAGATGAACATGGCCTTTCATAGAGCAGGTTTGAAACACTCTTTTTGTAGTTTGTGGAAGTGGACATTTCGATCGCCTTGACGCCTACGGTGAAAAAGGAAATATCTTCCCATAAAAAATAGACAGAAGCATTCTCAGAAACTTGTTGGTGATATGTGTCCTCAACTAACAGAGTTGAACTTTGCCATTGATAGAGAGCAGTTTTGAAACACTCTTTTTGTGGAATCTGCAAGTGGATATTTGGATAGCTTGGAGGATTTCGTTGGAAGCGGGAATTCAAATAAAAGGTAGACAGCAGCATTCTCAGAAAATTTCTTTCTGATGTCTGCATTCAACTCATAGAGTTGAAGATTCCCTTTCATAGAGCAGGTTTGAAACACTCTTTCTGGAGTATCTGGATGTGGACATTTGGAGCGCTTTGATACCTACGGTGTAAAAGTAAATATCTTCCCATAAAAACGAGACAGAAGGATTCTGAGAAACAAGTTTGTGATGTGTGTACTCAGCTAACAGAGTGGAACCTCTCTTTTGATGCAGCAGTTTGGAAACACTCTTTTTGTAGAAACTGTAAGTGGATATTTGGATAGCTCTAATGATTTCGTTGGAAACGGGAATATCATCATCTAAAATCTAGACAGAAGCCCTCTCAGAAACTACTTTTTGATATCTGCATTCAAGTCACAGAGTTGAACATTCGCTTTCTTAGAGCACGTTTGAAACACTCTTTTTGTAGTGTCTGGAAGTGGACATTTGGAGCGCTTTGATGCCTTTGGTGAAAAAGGGAACGTCTTCCCATAAAAACTAGACAGAAGCATTCTCAGAAACTTGTTTGTGATGTGTGTACCCAGCTAAAGGAGTTGAACATTTCTATTGATAGAGCAGTTTTGAAACACTCTTTTTGTGGAAAATGCAAGTGGATATTTGGATAGCTTGGAGGATTTCGTTGGAAGCGGCAATTCAAATAAAAGGTAGACAGCAGCATTCTCAGAAATTTCTTTCTGATGTCTGCATTCAACTCATAGAGTTGAAGATTCCCTTTCATAGAGCAGGTTTGAAACACTCTTTCTGGAGTATCTGGATGTGGACATTTGGAGCGCTTTGATGCCTACGGTGAAAAAGTAAATATCTTCCCATAAAAACGAGACAGAAGGATTCTGAGAGACAAGTTTGTGATGTGTGTACTCAGCTAACAGAGTGGAACTTTTCTTTTTACAGAGCAGCTTTGAAACTCTATTTTTGTGGATTCTGCAAATGGATATTTAGATTGCTTTAACGATATCGTTGGAAAAGGGAATATCGTCATACAAAATCTGGACAGAAGCATTCTCACAAACTTCTTTGTGATGTGTGTCCTCAACTAACAGAGTTGAACCTTTCTTTTGATGCAGCAGTTTGGAAACACTCTTTTTGTAGAAACTGTAAGTGGATATTTGGATAGCTCTAACGATTTCATTGGAAACGGGAATATCATCATCTAAAATCTAGACAGAAGCACTATTAGAAACTACTTGGTGATATCTGCATTCAAGTCACAGATTTGAACATTCCCTTACTTTGAGCACGTTTGAAACACTCTTTTGGAAGAATCTGGAAGTGGACATTTGGAGCGCTTTGATGCCTTTGGTGAAAAGGAAACGTCTTCCAGTAAAAGCCAGACAGAAGCATTCTCAGAAACTTCTTTGTGATGTGTGTACTCAACTAAAAGAGTTGAACCTTTCTATTGATAGAGCAGTTTTGAAACACTCTTTTTGTGGATTCTGCAAGTGGATATTTGGATTGCTTTGAGGATTTCGTTGGAAGCGGGAATTCGTATAAAAACTAGACAGCAGCATTCCCAGAAATTTCTTTCGGATATTTCCATTCAACTCATAGAGATGAACATGGCCTTTCATAGAGCAGGTTTGAAACACACTTTTTGTAGTTTGTGGAAGTGGACATTTCGATCGCCTTGACGCCTACGGTGAAAAAGGAAATATCTTCCCATAAAAAATAGACAGAAGCATTCTCAGAAACTTGTTGGTGATATGTGTCCTCAACTAACAGAGTTGAACTTTGCCATTGATAGAGAGCAGTTTTGAAACACTCTTTTTGTGGAATCTGCAAGTGGATATTTGGATAGCTTGGAGGATTTCGTTGGAAGCGGGAATTCAAATAAAAGGTAGACAGCCAGCATTCTCAGAAATTTCTTTCTGATGTCTGCATTCAACTCATAGAGTTGAAGATTCCCTTTCATAGAGCAGGTTTGAAACACTCTTTCTGGAGTATCTGGATGTGGACATTTGGAGCGCTTTGATGCCTACGGTGAAAAAGTAAATATCTTCCCATAAAAACGAGACAGAGGATTCTGAGAAACAAGTTTGTGATGTGTGTACTCAGCTAACAGAGTGGAACCTCTCTTTTGATGCAGCAGTTTGGAAACACTCTTTTTGTAGAAACTGTAAGTGGATATTTGGATAGCTCTAATGATTTCGTTGGAAACGGGAATATCATCATCTAAAATCTAGACAGAAGCACTCTCAGAAACTACTTTGTGATATCTGCATTCAAGTCACAGAGTTGAACATTCGCTTTCTTAGAGCACGTTTGAAACACTCTTTTTGTAGTGTCTGGAAGTGGACATTTGGAGCGCTTTGATAACTTTGGTGAAAAAGGGAATGTCTTCCCATAAAAACTAGACAGAAGCATTCTCAGAAACTTGTTTGTGATGTGTGTACCCAGCCAAAGGAGTTGAACATTTCTATTGATAGAGCAGTTTTGAAACACTCTTGTTGTGGAAAATGCAAGTGGATATTTGGATAGCTTGGAGGATTTCGTTGGAAGCGGGAATTCAAATAAAAGGTAGACAGCAGCATTCTCAGAAATTTCTTTCTGATGTCTGCATTCAACTCATAGAGTTGAAGATTCCCTTTCATAGAGCAGGTTTGAAACACTCGTTCTGGAGTATCTGGATGTGGACATTTGGAGCGCTTTGATGCCTACGGTGGAAAAGTAAATCTCTTCCCATAAAAACGAGACAGAAGGATTCTGAGAAACAAGTTTGTGATGTGTGTACTCAGCTAACAGAGTGGAACCTTTCTTTTTACAGAGCAGCTTTGAAACTCTATTTTTGTGGATTCTGCAAATTGGTATTTAGATTGCTTTAACGATATCGTTGGAAAAGGGAATATCGTCATACAAAATCTAGACAGAAGCATTCTCACAAACTTCTTTGTGATGTGTGTCCTCAACTAACAGAGTTGAACCTTTCTTTTGATGCAGCAATTTGGAAGCACCCTTTTGGTAGAAACTGTAACTGGATATTTGGATAGCTACTAACGATTTCGTTGGAAACGGGAATATCATCATCTAAAATGTAGACAGAAGCACTATTAGAAACTACTTGGTGATATCTGCATTCAAGTCACAGAGTTGAACATTCCCTTACTTTGAGCACGTTTCAAACACTCTTTTGGAAGAATCTGGAAGTGGACATTTGGAGCGCTTTGATGCCTTTGGTGAAAAGGAAACGTCTTCCAATAAAAGCCAGACAGAAGCATTCTCAGAAACTTGTTTGTGATGTGTGTACTCAACTAAAAGAGTTGAACCTTTCTATTGATAGAGCAGTTTTGAAACACTCTTTTTGTGGATTCTGCAAGTGGATATTTGGATTGCTTTGAGGATTTCGTTGGAAGCGGGAATTCATATAAAAACTAGACAGCAGCATTCCCAGAAATTTCTTTCGGATATTTCCATTCAACTCATAGAGATTAACATGGCCTTTCATAGAGCAGGTTTGAAACACTCTTTTTGTAGTTTGTGGAAGTGGACATTTCGATCGCCTTGACGCCTACGGTGAAAAAGGAAATATCTTCCCATAAAAAATAGACAGAAGCATTCTCAGAAACTTGTTGGTGATATGTGTCCTCAACTAACAGAGTTGAACTTTGCCATTGAGAGAGCAGTTTTGAAACACTCTTTTTGTGGAATCTGCAAGTGGATATTTGGATAGCTTGGAGGATTTCGTTGGAAGCGGGAATTCAAATAAAAGGTAGACAGCAGCATTCTCAGAAATTTCTTTCTGATGTCTGCATTCAACTCATAGAGTTGAACATTCCCTTTCATAGAGCAGGTTTGAAACACTCTTTCTGGAGTATCTGGATGTGGACATTTGGAGCGCTTTGATGCCTACGGTGAAAAAGTAAATATCTTCCCATAAAAACGAGACAGAAGGATTCTGAGAAACAAGTTTGTGATGTGTGTACTCAGCTAACAGAGTGGAACCTCTCTTTTGATGCAGCAGTTTGGAAACACTCTTTTTGTAGAAACTGTAAGTGGATATTTGGATAGCTCTAATGATTTCCTTGGAAACGGGAATATCATCATCTAAAATCTAGACAGAAGCCCTCTCAGAAACTACTTTGTGATATCTGCATTCAAGTCACAGAGTTGAACATTCGCTTTCTTAGAGCACGTTTGAAACACTCTTTTTGTAGTGTCTGGAAGTGGACATTTGGAGCGCTTTGATGGCTTTGGTGAAAAAGGGAACGTCTTCCCATAAAAACTAGACAGAAGCATTCTCAGAAACTTGTTTGTGATGTGTGTACCCAGCCAAAGGAGTTGAACATTTCTTTTGATAGCGCAGTTTTGAAACACTCTTTTTGTGGATTCTGCAAGTGGATATTTGGATTGCTTTGAAGATTTCGTTGGAAGCGGGAATTCGTATAAACACTAGACAGCAGCATTCTCAGAAAATTTCTTTCTGATGTCTGCATTCAACTCATAGAGTTGAAGATTCCCTTTCATAGAGCAGGTTTGAAACACTCTTTCTGGAGTATCTGGATGTGGACATTTGGAGCGCTTTGATGCCTACGGTGAAAAAGTAAATATCTTCCCATAAAAACGAGACAGAAGGATTCTCAGAAACAAGTTTGTGATGTGTGTACTCAGCTAACAGAGTGGAACCTTTCTTTTTACAGAGCAGCTTTGAAACTCTATTTTTGTGGATTCTGCAAATTGATATTTAGATTGCTTTAACGATATTGTTGGAAAAGGGAATATCGTCATACAAAATCTAGACAGAAGCATTCTCACAAACTTCTTTGTGATGTGTGTCCTCAACTTACAGAGTTGAACCTTTCTTTTGATGCAGCAGTTTGGAAACACTCTTTTTGTAGAAACTGTAAGTGGATATTTGGATAGCTCTAACGATTTCGTTGGAAACGGGAATATCATCATCTAAAATCTAGACAGAAGCACTATTAGAAACTACTTGGTGATATCTGCATTCAAGTCACAGAGTAGAACATTCCCTTACTTCGACCACGTTTGAAACACTCTTTTGGAAGAATCTGGAAGTGGACATTTGGAGCGCTTTGATGCCTTTGGTGAAAAGGAAACGTCTTCCAATAAAAGCCAGACAGAAGCATTCTCAGAAACTTGTTTGTGATGTGTGTACTCAACTAAAAGAGTTGAACCTTTCTATTGATAGAGCAGTTTTGAAACACTCTTTTTGTGGATTCTGCAAGTGGATATTTGGATTGCTTTGAGGATTTCGTTGGAAGCGGGAATTCGTATAAAAACTAGACAGCAGCATTCCCAGAAATTTCTTTCGGATATTTCCATTCGACTCATAGAGATGAACATGGCCTTTCATAGAGCAGGTTTGAAACACTCTTTTTGTAGTTTGTGGAAGTGGACATTTCGATCGCCTTGACGCCTACGGTGAAAAAGGAAATATCTTCCCATAAAAAATAGACAGAAGCATTCTCAGAAACTTGTTGGTGATATGTGTCCTCAACTAACAGAGTTGAACTTTGCCATTGATAGAGAGCAGTTTTGAAACACTCTTTTTGTGGAATCTGCAAGTGGATATTTGGATAGCTTGGAGGATTTCGTTGGAAGCGGGAATTCAAATAAAAGGTAGACAGCAGCATTCTCAGGAAATTTCTTTCTGATGTCTGCATTCAACTCATAGAGTTGAAGATTCCCTTTCATAGAGCAGGTTTGAAACACTCTTTGTGGAGTATCTGGATGTGGACATTTGGAGCGCTTTGATGCCTACGGTGAAAAAGTAAATATCTTCCCATAAAAACGAGACAGAAGGATTCTGAGAAACAAGTTTGTGATGTGTGTACTCAGCTAACAGAGTGGAACCTCTGTTTTGATTCAGCAGTTTGGAAACACTCTTTTTGTAGAAACTGTAAGTGGATATTTGGATAGCTCTAATGATTTCGTTGGAAAAGGGAATATCATCATCTAAAATCTAGACAGAAGCCCTCTCAGAAACTACTTTGTGATATCTGCATTCAACTCACAGAGTTGAACATTCGGTTTCTTAGAGCACGTTTGAAACACTCTTTTTGTAGTGTCTGGAAGTGGACATTTGGAGCGCTTTGATGCCTTTGGTGAAAAAGGGAATGTCTTCCCATAAAAACTAGACAGAAGCATTCTCAGAAACTTGTTTGTGATGTGTGTACCCAGCCAAAGGAGTTGAACATTTCTATTGATAGAGCAGTTTTGAAACGCTCTTTTTGTGGAAAATGCAGGTGGATATTTGGATAGCTTGGAGGATTTCGTTGGAAGCGGGAATTCAAATAAAAGGTAGACAGCAGGATTCTCAGAAACAAGTTTGTGATGTGTGTACTCAGCTAACAGAGTGGAACCTTTCTTTTTACAGAGCAGCTTTGAAACTCTATTTTTGTGGATTCTGCAAATTGATATTTAGATTGCTTTAATGATATCGTTGGAAAAGGGAATATGGTCATACAAAATCTAGACAGAAGCATTCTCACAAACTTCTTTGTGATGTGTGTCCTCAACTAACAGAGTTGAACCTTTCTTTTGATGCAGCAGTTTGGAAACGCTCTTTTTGTAGAAACTGTAAGTGGATATTTGGATAGCTCTAACGATTTTGTTGGAAACGGGAATATCATTATCTAAAATCTAGACAGAAGCACTCTCAGAAACTACTTTTTGATATCTGCATTCAAGTCATAGAGTTGAACATTCGCTTTCTTAGAGCACTTTTGAAACACTCTTTTTGTAGTATCTGGAATTGGACATTTGGAGCTCTTTGATGCCTTTGGTGAAAAAGGAAATGTCATCCCATAAAAACTAGACAGAAGCATTCTCAGAAACTTGTTTGTGATGTGTGTACCTCAACTAAAAGAGTTGAACCTTTCTATTGATAGAGCAGTTTTGAAACACTCTTTTTGTGGATTCTGCAAGTGGATATTTGGATTGCTTTGAGGATTTCGTTGGAAGCGGGAATTCATATAAAAACTAGACAGCAGAAATCTCAGAAACTTGTTTGTGATGTGTATCCTCAACTGACAGAGTTGAACCTTGCCATTGATAGAGCAGTTTTGAAACACTCTTTTTGTGGAATCTGCAAGGGGATATTTGGATAGCCTGGAGGATTTCGTTGGAAGCGGGAATTCAAATAAAAGGTAGACAGCAGCATTCTCAGAAACTTGTTGGTGATATGTGTCCTCAACTAACAGAGTTGAACTTTGCCATTGATAGAGAGCAGTTTTGAAACACTCTTTTTGTGGAATCTGCAAGTGGATATTTGGATAGCTTGGAGGATTTCGTTGGAAGCGGGAATTCAAATAAAAGGTAGACAGCAGAGCATTCTCAGAAATTTCTTTCTGATGTCTGCATTCAACTCATAGAGTTGAAGATTCCCTTTCATAGAGCACGTTTGAAACACTCTTTCTGGAGTATCTGGATGTGGACATTTGGAGCGCTTTGATGCCTACGGTGAGAAAGTAAATATCTTCCCATAAAAACGAGACAGAAGGATTCTGAGAAACAAGTTTGTGATGTGTATACTCAGCTAACAGAGTGGAACCTCTCTTTTGATGCAGCAGTTTGGAAACACTCTTTTTGTAGAAACTGTAAGTGGATATTTGGATAGCTCTAATGATTTCGTTGGAAACGGGAATATCATCATCTAAAATCTAGACAGAAGCCCTCTCAGAAACTACTTTGTGATATCTGCATGCAAGTCACAGAGTTGAACATTCGCTTTCTTAGAGCACGTTGGAAACACTCTTTTTGTAGTGTCTGGAAGTGGACATTTGGAGCGCTTTGATGCCTTTGGTGAAAAAGGGAATGTCTTCCCATAAAAACTAGACAGAAGCATTCTCAGAAACTTGTTTGTGATGTGTGTACCCAGCCAAAGGAGTTGACCATTTCTATTGATAGAGCAGTTTTGAAACACTCTTGTTGTGGAAAATGCAGGTGGATATTTGGATAGCTTGGAGGATTTCTTTGGAAGCGGGAATTCAAATAAAAGGTACACAGCAGCATTCTCAGAAATTTCTTTCTGATGTCTGCATTCAACTCATAGAGTTGAAGATTCCCTTTCATAGAGCAGGTTTGAAACAGTCTTTCTGGAGTATCTGGATGTGGACATTTGGAGCGCTTTGATGCCTACGGTGAAAAAGTAACTATCTTCCCATAAAAACGAGACAGAAGGATTCTCAGAAACAAGTTTGTGATGTGTGTACTCAGCTAACAGAGTGGAACCTTTCTTTTTACAGAGCAGCTTTGAAACTCTATTTTTGTGGATTCTGCAAATTGATATTTAGTTTGCTTTAACGATATCGTTGGAAAAGGGAATATCGTCATACAAAATCTAGACAGAAGCATTCTCACAAACTTCTTTGTGATGTGTGTCCTCAACTAACAGAGTTGAACCTTTCTTTTGATGCAGCAGTTTGGAAACACCCTTTTGGTAGAAACTGTAACTGGATATTTGGATAGCTCTAACGATTTCGTTGGAAACGGGAATATCATCATCTAAAATCTAGACAGAAGCACTATTAGAAACTACTTGGTGATATCTGCATTCAAGTCAAAGAGTTGAACATTCCCTTACTTTGAGCACGTTTGAAACACTCTTTTGGAAGAATCTGGAAGTGGACATTTGGTGCGCTTTGATGCCTTTGGTGAAAAGGAAACGTCTTCCAATAAAAGCCAGACAGAAGCATTCTCAGAAACTTGTTCTTGATGTGTGTACTCAACTAAAAGAGTTGAACCTTTCTATTGATAGAGCAGTTTTGAAACACTCTTTTTGTGGATTCTGCAAGTGGATATTTGGATTGCTTTGAGGATTTCGTTGGAAGCGGGAATTCGTATAACAACTAGACAGCAGCATTCCCAGAAATTTCTTTCGGATATTTCCATTCAACTCATAGAGATGAACATGGCCTTTCATAGAGCAGGTTTGAAACACTCTTTTTGTAGTTTGTGGAAGTGGACATTTCGATCGCCTTGACGCCTACGGTGAAAAAGGAAATATCTTCCCATAAAAAATAGACAGAAGCATTCTCAGAAACTTGTTGGTGATATGTGTCCTCAACTAACAGAGTTGAACTTTGCCATTGATAGCAGTTTTGAAACACTCTTTTTGTGGAATCTGCAAGTGGATATTTGGATAGCTTGGAGGATTTCGTTGGAAGCGGGAATTCAAATAAAAGGTAGACAGCAGCATTCTCAGAAATTTCTTTGTGATGTTTGCATTCAACTCATAGAGTTGAACATTCCCTTTCATAGAGCAGGTTTGAAACACTCTTTCTGTACTATCTGGATGTGGACATTTGGAACGCTTTGATGCCTACGGTGAAAAAGTAAATATCTTCCCATAAAAGCTAGACAGAAGGATTCTGAGAAACAAGTTTGTGATGTGTGTACTCAGCTAACAGAGTGGAACCTCTCTTTTGATGCAGCAGTTAGGAAACACTCTTTTTGTAGAAACTGTAAGTGGATATTTGGATAGCTCTAATGATTTCGTTGGAAACGGGAATATCATCATCTAAAATCTAGACAGAAGCCCTCTCAGAAACTACTTTGTGATATCTGCATTCAAGTCACAGAGTTGAACATTCGCTTTCTTAGAGCACGTTGGAAACACTCTTTTTGTAGTGTCTGGAAGTGGACATTTGGAGCGCTTTGATGCCTTTGGTGAAAAAGGGAACGTCTTCCCATAAAAACTAGACAGAAAGCATTCTCAGAAACTTGTTTGTGATGTGTGTACCCAGCTAAAGGAGATGAACATTTCTATTGATAGAGCAGTTTTGAAACACTCTTTTTGTGGAAAATGCAAGTGGATATTTGGATAGCTTGGAGGATTTCGTTGGAAGCGGGAATTCAAATAAAAGGTAGACAGCAGCATTCTCAGAAATTTCTTTCTGATGTCTGCATTCAACTCATAGAGTTGAAGATTCCCTTTCATAGAGCAGGTTTGAAACACTGTTTCTGGAGTATCTGGATGTGGACATTTGGAGCGCTTTGATGCCTACGGTGAAAAAGTAAATATCTTCCCATAAAAACGAGACAGAAGGATTCTCAGAAACAAGTTTGTAATGTGTGTACTCAGCTAACAGAGTGGAACCTTTCTTTTTACAGAGCAGCTTTGAAACTCTATTTTTGTGGATTCTGCAAATGGATATTTAGATTGCTTTAACGATATCGTTGGAAAAGGGAATATCGTCATACAAAATCTGGACAGAAGCATTCTCACAAACTTCTTTGTGATGTGTGTCCTCAACTAACAGAGTTGAACCTTTCTTTTGATGCAGCAATTTGGAAACACCCTTTTGGTAGAAACTGTAACTGGATATTTGGATAGCTCTAACGATTTCGTTGGAAACGGGAATATCATCATCTAAAATGTAGACAGAAGCACTATTAGAAACTACTTGGTGATATCTGCATTCAAGTCACAGAGTTGAACATTCGCTTTCTTAGAGCACGTTTGAAACACTCTTTTTGTAGTGTCTGGAAGTGGACATTTGGAGCGCTTTGATGCCTTTGGTGAAAAAGGGAACGTCTTCCCATAAAAACTAGACAGAAGCATTCTCAGAAACTTGTTTGTGATGTGTGTACTCAACTAAAAGAGTTGAACCTTTCTATTGAAAGAGCAGTTTTGAAACACTCTTTTTGTGGATTCTGCAAGTGGATATTTGGATTGCTTTGAGGATTTCGTTGGAAGCGGGAATTCGTATAAAAACTAGACAGCAGCATTCCCAGGAAATTTCTTTCGGATATTTCCATTCGACTCATAGAGATGAACATGGCCTTTCATAGAGCAGGTTTGAAACACTCTTTTTGTAGTTTGTGGAAGTGGACATTTCGATCGCCTTGACGCCTACGGTGAAAAAGGAAATATCTTCCCATAAAAAATAGACAGAAGCATTCTCAGAAACTTCTTGGTGATATGTGTCCTCAACTAACAGAGTTGAACTTTGCCATTGATAGAGAGCAGTTTTGAAACACTCTTTTTGTGGAATCTGCAAGTGGATATTTGGATAGCTTGGAGGATTTCGTTGGAAGCGGGAATTCAAATTAAAGGTAGACAGCAGCATTCTCAGTAAATTTCTTTCTGATGTCTGCATTCAACTCATAGAGTTGAAGATTCCCTTTCATAGAGCAGGTTTGAAACACTCGTTCTGGAGTATCTGGATGTGGACATTTGGAGCGCTTTGATGCCTACGGTGGAAAAGTAAATATCTTCCCATAAAAACGAGACAGAAGGATTCTCAGAAACAAGTTTGTGATGTGTGTACTCAGCTAACGGAGTGGAACCTTTCTTTTTACAGAGCAGCTTTGAAACTCTATTTTTCTGGATTCTGCAAATTGATATTTAGATTGCTTTAACGATATCGTTGGAAAAGGGAATATCGTCATACAAAATCTAGACAGAAGCACTCTCAGAAACTACTTTGTGATATCTGCATTCAAGTCACAGAGTTGAACATTCGCTTTCTTAGAGCACGTTTGAAACACTCTTTTTGTAGTGTCTGGAAGTGGACATTTGGAGCGCTTTGATTCCTTTGGTGAAAAAGGGAATGTCTACCCATAAAAACTAGACAGAAGCATTCTCAGAAACTTGTTTGTGATGTGTGTACCCAGCCAAAGGAGTTGAACATTTCTATTGATAGAGCAGTTTTGAAACGCTCTTTTTGTGGAAAATGCAGGTGGATATTTGGATAGCTTGGAGGATTTCGTTGGAAGCGGGAATTCAAATAAAAGGTAGACAGGAGCATTCTCAGAAATTACTTTCTGATGTCTGCATTCAACTCATAGAGTTGAAGATTCCCTTTCATAGAGCAGGTGTGAAACACTCTTTCTGTAGTATCTGGATGTGGACATTTGTTGCGCTTTGATACCTACTGTGAAAAAGTAAATATCTTCCCATAAAAACTAGACAGAAGGATTCTCAGAAACAAGTTTGTGATGTGTGTACTCAGCTAACAGAGTGGATACTTTCTTCTTACAGAGCAGCTTTGAAACTCTATTTCTGTGGATTCTGCAAATTGATATTTGGGTTGATTTAGCGACATCGTTGGAAAAGGGAATATCTTCATACAAAATCCAGACAGAAAGCATTCTCACAAACTTCTTTGTGATGTGTGTCCTCAACTAACAGAGTTGAACTTTTCTTTTGATGCAGCAGTTTGGAAACACTGTTTTTGTAGAAACTGTAAGTGGATATTTGGATAGCTCTAACGATTTCGTTGGAAACGGGAATATCATCATCTAAAATCTAGACAGAAGCACTATTAGAAACTACTTGGTGATATCTGCATTCAAGTCACAGAGTAGAACATTCCCTTACTTCGAGCACGTTTGAAACACTCTTTTGGAAGAATCTGGAAGTGGACATTTGGAGCGCTTTGATGTCTTTGGTGAAAAGGAAACGTCTTCCAATAAAAGCCAGACAGAAGCATTCTCAGTAAACTTGTTGGTGATGTGTGTACTCAACTAAAAGAGTTGAACCTTTCTATTGATAGAGCAGTTTTGAAACACTCTTTTTGTGGATTCTGCAAGTGGATATTTGGATTGCTTTGAGGATTTCGTTGGAAGCGGGAATTCGTATAAACACTAGACAGCAGCATTCCCAGAAATTTCTTTCGGATATTTCCATTCAACTCATAGAGATGAACATGGCCTTTCATAGAGCAGGTTTGAAACACTCTTTTTGTAGTTTGTGGAAGTGGACATTTCGATCGCCTTGACGCCTACGGTGAAAAAGGAAATATCTTCCCATAAAAAATAGACAGAAGCATTCTCAGAAACTTGTTGGTGATATGTGTCCTCAACTAACAGAGTTGAACTTTGCCATTGATAGAGAGCAGTTTTGAAACACTCTTTTTGTGGAATCTGCAAGTGGATATTTGGATAGCTTGGAGGATTTCGTTGGAAGCGGGAATTCAAATAAAAGGTAGACAGCAGCATTCTCAGAAATTTCTTTCTGATGTCTGCATTCAACTCATAGAGTTGA
The DNA here is from genome assembly GCF_000001405.40 of Homo sapiens. NCBI lineage: Eukaryota > Metazoa > Chordata > Mammalia > Primates > Hominidae > Homo > Homo sapiens. Next base: position 12,748,098 of record NC_000021.9, read on the forward strand.
GCATTCCCTTTCATAGGGCAGGTTTGAAATACTCTTTCTGTAGTATCTGGTTGTGGACATTTGGAGCGCTTTGATGCCTACGGTGAAAAAGTAAATATCTTCCCATAAAAACGAGACAGAAGGATTCTGAGAAACAAGTTTGTGATGTGTGTACTCAGCTAACAGAGTGGAACCTCTCTTTTGATGCAGTAGTTTGGAAACACTCTTTTTGTAGAAACTGTAAGTGGATATTTGGATAGCTCTAATGATTTCGTTGGAAACGGGAATATCATCATCTAAAATCTAGACAGAAGCACTCTCAGAAACTACTTTGTGATATCTGCATTCAAGTCACAGAGTTGAACATTCGCTTTCTTAGAGCACGTTTGAAACACTCTTTTTGTAGTGTCTGGAAGTGGACATTTGGAGTGCTTTGATTCCTTTGGTGAAAAAGGGAATGTCTACCCATAAAAACTAGACAGAAGCATTCTCAGAAACTTGTTTGTGATGTGTGTACCCAGCTAAAGGAGTTGAACGTTTCTATTGATAGAGCAGTTTTGAAACACTCTTTTTGTGGAAAATGCTAGTGGATATTTCGATAGCTTGGAGGATTTCCTTGGAAGCGGGAATTCAAATAAAAGGTAGACAGCAGCATTCTCAGAAATTTCTTTCTGATGTCTGCATTCAACTCATAGAGTTGAAGATTCCCTTTCATAGAGCAGGTTTGAAACACTCGTTCTGGAGTATCTGGATGTGGACATTTGGAGCGCTTTGATGCCTACGGTGGAAAAGTAAATATCTTCCCATAAAAACGAGACAGAAGGATTCTCAGAAACAAGTTTGTGATGTGTGTACTCAGCTAACAGAGTGGAACCTTTCTTTTTACAGAGCAGCTTTGAAACTCTATTTTTGTGGATTCTGCAAATGGATATTTAGATTGCTTTAACGATATCGTTGGAAAAGAGAATATCGTCATACAAAATCTGGACAGAAGCATTCTCACAAACTTCTTTGTGACGTGTGTCCTCAACTAACAGAGTTGAACCTTTCTTTTGATGCAGCAGTTTGGAAACACTGTTTTTGTAGCAACTGTAAGTGGATATTTGGATAGCTCTAACGATTTCGTTGGAAACGGGAATATCATCATCTAAAATCTAGACAGAAGCACTATTAGAAACTACTTGGTGATATCTGCATTCAAGTCACAGAGTGGAACATTCCCTTACTTTGAGCACGTTTCAAACACTCTTTTGGAAGAATCTGGAAGTGGACATTTGGAGCGCTTTGATGCCTTTGGTGAAAAGGAAACGTCTTCCAATAAAAGCCAGACAGAAGCATTCTCAGAAACTTGTTTGTGATGTGTGTACTCAACTAAAAGAGTTGAACCTTTCTATTGATAGAGCAGTTTTGAAACACTCTTTTTGTGGATTCTGCAAGTGGATATTTGGATTGCTTTGAGGATTTCGTTGGAAGCGGGAATTCGTATAAAAACTAGACAGCAGCATTCCCAGAAATTTCTTTCGGATATTTCCATTCAACTCATAGAGATGAACATCGCCTTTCATAGAGCACGTTTGAAACACTCTTTTTGTAGTTTGTGGAAGTGGACATTTGGATCGCCTTGACGCCTACGGTGAAAAAGGAAATATCTTCCCATAAAAAATAGACAGAAGCATTCTCAGAAACTTGTTGGTGATATGTGTCCTCAACTAACAGAGTTGAACTTTGCCATTGATAGAGAGCAGTTTTGAAACACTCTTTTTGTGGAATCTGCAAGTGGATATTTGGATAGCTTGGAGGATTTTGTTGGAAGCGGGAATTCAAATAAAAGGTAGACAGCAGCATTCTCAGAAATTTCTTTCTGATGTCTGCATTCAACTCATAGAGTTGAAGATTCCCTTTCATAGAGCAGGTTTGAAACACTCTTTCTGGAGTATCTGGATGTGGACATTTGGAGCGCTTTGATGCCTACGGTGAAAAAGTAAATATCTTCCCATAAAAACGAGACAGAAGGATTCTGAGAAACAAGTTTGTGATGTGTGTACTCAGCTAACAGAGTGGAACCTCTCTTTTGATGCAGCAGTTTGGAAACACTCTTTTTGTAGAAACTGTAAGTGGATATTTGGATAGCTCTAATGATTTCGTTGGAAACGGGAATATCATCATCTAAAATCTAGACAGAAGCCCTCTCAGAAACTACTTTGTGATATCTGCATTCAAGTCACAGAGTTGAACATTCACTTTCTTAGAGCACGTTTGAAACACTCTTTTTGTAGTGTCTGGAAGTGGACATTTGGAGCGCTTTGATGCCTTTGGTGAAAAAGGGAACGTCTTCCCATAAAAACTAGACAGAAGCATTCTCAGAAACTTGTTTGTGATGTGTGTACCCAGCCAAAGGAGTTGAACATTTCTATTGATAGAGCAGTTTTGAAACACTCTTTTTGTGGAAAATGCAGGTGGATATTTGGATAGCTTGGAGGATTTCGTTGGAAGCGGGAATTCAAATAAAAGGTAGACAGCAGCATTCTCAGAAATTTCTTTCTGATGTCTGCATTCAACTCATAGAGTTGAACATTCCCCTTTCATAGAGCAGGTTTGAAACACTCTTTCTGGAGTATCTGGATGTGGACATTTGGAGCCCTTTGATGCCTACGGTGAAAAAGTAAATATCTTCCCATAAAAACGAGACAGAAGGATTCTGAGAGACAAGTTTGTGATGTGTGTACTCAGCTAACAGAGTGGAACCTTTCTTTTTACAGAGCAGCTTTGAAACTCTATTTTTGTGGATTCTGCAAATGGATATTTAGATTGCTTTAATGATATCGTTGGAAAAGGGAATATCGTCATACAAAATCTGGACAGAAGCATTCTCACAAACTTCTTTGTGATGTGTGTCCTCAACTAACAGAGTTGAACCTTTCTTTTGATGCAGCAATTTGGAAACACCCTTTTGGTAGAAACTGTAACTGGATATTTGGATAGCTCTAACGATTTCGTTGGAAACGGGAATATCATCATCTAAAATGTAGACAGAAGCACTATTAGAAACTACTTGGTGATATCTGCATTCAAGTCACAGAGTTGAACATTCCCTTACTTTCGAGCACGTTTGAAACACTCTTTTGGAAGAATCTGGAAGTGGACATTTGGAGCGCTTTGATGCCTTTGGTGAAAAGGAAACGTCTTCCAATAAAAGCCAGACAGAAGCATTCTCAGAAACTTGTTTGTGATGTGTGTACTCAACTAAAAGAGTTGAACCTTTCTATTGATAGAGCAGTTTTGAAACACTCTTTTTGTGGATTCTGCAAGTGGATATTTGGATTGCTTTGAGGATTTCGTTGGAAGCGGGAATTCATATAATAACTAGACAGCAGCATTACCAGAAATTTCTTTCGGATATTTCCATTCAACTCATAGAGAAGAACATGGCCTTTCATAGAGCAGGTTTGAAACACTCTTTTTGTAGTTTGTGGAAGTGGACATTTCGATCACCTTGACGCCTACGGTGAAAAAGGAAATATCTTCCCATAAAAAATAGACAGAAGCATTCTCAGAAACTTGTTGGTGATATGTGTCCTCAACTAACAGAGTTGAACTTTGCCATTGATAGAGAGCAGTTTTGAAACACTCTTTTTGTGGAATATGCAAGTGGATATTTGGATAGCTTGGAGGATTTCGTTGGAAGCGGGAATTCAAATAAAAGGTAGACAGCAAGCATTCTCAGAAATTTCTTTGTGATGCTTGCATTCAACTCATAGAGTTGAACATTCCCTTTCATACAGCAGGTTTGAAACACTCTTTCTGTACTATCTGCATGTGGACATTTGGAACTCTTTGATGCCTACGGTGAAAAAGTAAATATCTTCCCATAAAAACTAGACAGAAGGATTCTGAGAAACAAGTTTGTGATGTGTGTACTCAGCTAACAGAGGTGGAACCCCTCTTTTGATGCAGCAGTTTGGAAACACTCTTTTTGTAGAAACTGTAAGTGGATATTTGGATAGCTCTAATGATTTCGTTGGAAACGGGAATATCATCATCTAAAATCTAGACAGAAGCACTATTAGAAACTACTTGGTGATATCTGCATTCAAGTCACAGAGTTGAACATTCCCTTACTTCGACCACGTTTGAAACACTCTTTTTGTAGTGTCTGGAAGTGGACATTTGGAGCGCTTTGATGCCTTTGGTGAAAAAGGGAATGTCTTCCCATAAAAACTAGACAGAAGCATTCTCAGAAACTTGTTTGTGATGTGTGTACCCAGCCAAAGGAGTTGAACATTTCTATTGATAGAGCAGTTTTGAAACACTCTTTTTGTGGAAAATGCAGGTGGATATTTGGATAGCTTGGAGGATTTCGTTGGAAGAGGGAATTCAAATAAAAGGTAGACAGCAGCATTCTCAGAAATTTCTTTCTGATGTCTGCATTCAACTCATAGAGTTGAAGATTCCCTTTCATAGAGCAGGTTTGAAACACTCTTTCTGGAGTATCTGGATGTGGACATTTGGAGCGCTTTGATGCCTACGGTGAAAAAGTAAATATCTTCCCATAAAAACGAGACAGAAGGATTCTCAGAAACAAGTTTGTGATGTGTGTACTCAGCTAACAGAGTGGAACCTTTCTTTTTACAGAGCAGCTTTGAAACTCTAGTTTTGTGGATTCTGCAAATTGATATTTAGATTGCTTTAACGATATCGTTGGAAAAGGGAATATCGTCATACAAAATCTAGACAGAAGCATTCTCACAAACTTCTTTGTGATGTGTGTCCTCAACTAACAGAGTTGAACCTTTCTTTTGATGCAGCAATTTGGAAACACCCTTTTGGTAGAAACTGTAACTGGATATTTGGATAGCTCTAACGATTTCGTTGGAAACGGGAATATCATCATCTAAAATGTAGACAGAAGCACTATTAGAAACTACTTGGTGATATCTGCATTCAAGTCACAGAGTAGAACATTCCCTTACTTCGAGCACGTTTGAAACACTCTTTTGGAAGAATCTGGAAGTGGACATTTGGAGCGCTTTGATGCCTTTGGTGAAAAGGAAACGTCTTCCAATAAAAGCCAGACAGAAGCATTCTCAGAAACTTGTTTGTGATGTGTGTACTCAACTAAAAGAGTTGAACCTTTCTATTGATAGAGCAGTTTTGAAACACTCTTTTTGTGGATTCTGCAAGTGGATATTTGGATTGCTTTGAGGATTTCGTTGGAAGCGGGAATTCGTATAAAAACTAGACAGCAGCATTCCCAGAAATTTCTTTCAGATATTTCCATTCGACTCATAGAGATGAACATGGCCTTTCATAGAGCAGGTTTGAAACACTCTTTTTGTAGTTTGTGGAAGTGGACATTTCGATCGCCTTGACGCCTACGGTGAAAAAGGAAATATCTTCCCATAAAAAATAGACAGAAGCATTCTCAGAAACTTGTTGGTGATATGTGTCCTCAACTAACAGAGTTGAACTTTGCCATTGATAGAGAGCAGTTTTGAAACACTCTTTTTCCTGAATCTGCAAGTGGATATTTGGATAGTTTGGAGGATTTCGTTGGAAGCGGGAATTCAAATAAAAGGTAGACAGCAGGATTCTGAGAAACAAGTTTGTGATGTGTGTACTCAGCTAACAGAGTGGAACCTCTGTTTTGATACAGCAGTTTGGAAACACTCTTTTTGTAGAAACTGTAAGTGGATATTTGGATAGCTCTAATGATTTCGTTGGAAAAGGGAATATCATCATCTAAAATCTAGACAGAAGCCCTCTCAGAAACTACTTTGTGATATCTGCATTCAAGTCACAGAGTTGAACATTCGCTTTCTTAGAGCACGTTGGAAACACTCTTTTTGTAGTGTCTGGAAGTGGACATTTGGAGCGCTTTGATGCCTTTGGTGAAAAAGAGAATGTCTTCCCATAAAAACTAGACAGAAGCATTCTCAGAAACTTGTTTGTGATGTGTGTACCCAGCCAAAGGAGTTGAACATTTCTATTGATAGAGCAGTTTTGAAACGCTCTTTTTGTGGAAAATGCAGGTGGATATTTGGATAGCTTGGAGGATTTCGTTGGAAGCGGGAATTCAAATAAAAGGTAGACAGCAGCATTCTCAGAAATTTCTTTCTGATGTCTGCATTCAACTCATAGAGTTGAAGATTCCCTTTCATAGAGCAGGTTTGAAACAGTCTTTCTGGAGTATCTGGATGTGGACATTTGGAGTGCTTTGATGCCTACGGTGAAAATGTAAATATCTTCCCATAAAAACGAGACAGAAGGATTCTGAGAAACAAGTTTGTGATGTGTGTACTCAGCTAACAGAGTGGAACCTTTCTTTTTACAGAGCAGCTTTGAAACTCTATTTTTGTGGATTCTGCAAATGGATATTTAGATTGCTTTAACGATATCGCTGGAAAAGGGAATATCGTCATACAAAATCTAGACAGAAGCATTCTCACAAACTTCTTTGTGATGTGTGTCCTCAACTAACAGAGTTGAACCTTTCTTTTGATGCAGCAATTTGGAAACACCCTTTTGGTAGAAACTGTAACTGGATATTTGGATAGCTCTAACGATTTCGTTGGAAACGGGAATATCATCATCTAAAATCTAGACAGAAGCACTATTAGAAACTACTTGGTGATATCTGCATTCAAGTCACAGAGTTGAACATTCCCTTACTTTGAGCACGTTTGAAACACTCTTTTGGAAGAATCTGGAAGTGGACATTTGGAGCGCTTTGATGATGCCTTTGGTGAAAAGGAAACGTCTTCCAATAAAAGCCAGACAGAAGCATTCTCAGAAACTTGTTTGTGATGTGTGTACTCAACTAAAAGAGTTGAACCTTTCTATTGATAGAGCAGTTTTGAAACACTCTTTTTGTGGATTCTGCAAGTGGATATTTGGATTGCTTTGAGGATTTCGTTGTAAGCGGGAATTCGTATAAAAACTAGACAGCAGCATTCCCAGAAATTTCTTTCGGATATTTCCATTCGACTCATAGAGATGAACATGGCCTTTCATAGAGCAGGTTTGAAACACTCTTTTTGTAGTTTGTGGAAGTGGACATTTCGATCGCCTTGACGCCTACGGTGAAAAAGGAAATATCTTCCCATAAAAAATAGACAGAAGCATTCTCAGAAACTTGTTGGTGATATGTGTCCTCAACTAACAGAGTTGAACTTTGCCATTGATAGAGAGCAGTTTTGAAACACTCTTTTTGTGGAATCTGCAAGTGGATATTTGGATAGCTTGGAGGATTTCGTTGGAAGCGGGAATTCAAATAAAAGGTAGACAGCAGGATTCTCAGAAACAAGTTTGTGATGTGTGTACTCAGCTAACAGAGTGGAACCTCTCTTTTGATGCAGCAGTTTGGAAACACTCTTTTTGTAGAAACTGTAAGTGGATATTTGGATAGCTCTAATGATTTCGTTGGAAACCGGAATATCATCATCTAAAATCTAGACAGAAGCCCTCTCAGAAACTACTTTGTGATATCTGCATTCAAGTCACAGAGTTGAACATTCGCTTTCTTAGAGCACGTTTGAAACACTCTTTTTGTAGTGTCTGGAAGTGGACATTTGGAGCGCTTTGATGTCTTTGGGGAAAAAGGGAATGTCTTCCCATAAAAACTAGACAGAAGCATTCTCAGAAACTTGTTTGTGATGTGTGTACCCAGCCAAAGGAGTTGAACATTTCTATTGATAGAGCAGTTTTGAAACACTCTTTTTGTGGAAAATGCAGGTGGATATTTGGATAGCTTGGAGGATTTCGTTGGAAGCGGGAATTCAAATAAAAGGTAGACAGCAGGATTCTCAGAAACAAGTTTGTGATGTGTGTACTCAGCTAACAGAGTGGAACCTTTCTTTTTACAGAGCAGCTTTGAAACTCTATTTTTGTGGATTCTGCAAATTGATATTTAGATTGCTTTAACGATATCGTTGGAAAAGGGAATATCGTCATACAAAATCTAGACAGAAGCATTCTCACAAACTTCTTTGTGATGTGTTTCCTCAACTAACAGAGTTGAACCTTTCTTTTGATGCAGCAATTTGGAAACACCCTTTTGGTAGAAACTGTAACTGGATATTTGGATAGCTCTAACGATTTTGTTGGAAACGGGAATATCATCATCTAAAATCTAGACAGAAGCACTATTAGAAACTACTTGGTGATATCTGCATTCAAGTCACAGAGTTGAACATTCCCTTACTTTGAGCACGTTTCAAACACTCTTTTGGAAGAATCTGGAAGTGGACATTTGGAGCGCTTTGATGCCTTTGGTGAAAAGGAAACGTCTTCCAATAAAAGCCAGACAGAAGCATTCTCAGAAACTTGTTTGTGATGTGTGTACTCAACTAAAAGAGTTGAACCTTTCTATTGATAGAGCAGTTTTGAAACACTCTTTTTGTGGATTCTGCAAGTGGATATTTGGATTGCTTTGAGGATTTCGTTGGAAGCGGGAATTCGTATAACAACTAGACAGCAGCATTCCCAGAAATTTCTTTCGGATATTTCCATTCAACTCATAGAGATGAACATGGCCTTTCATAGAGCAGGTTTGAAACACTCTTTTTTGTAGTTTGTGGAAGTGGACATTTCGATCGCCTTGACGCCTACGGTGAAAAAGGAAATATCTACCCATAAAAAATAGACAGAAGCATTCTCAGAAACTTGTTGGCGATATGTGTCCTCAACTAACAGAGTTGAACTTTGCCATTGATAGAGAGCAGTTTTGAAACACTCTTTTTCCTGAATCTGCAAGTGGATATTTGGATAGCTTGGAGGATTTCGTTGGAAGCGGGAATTCAAATAAAAGGTAGACAGCAGCATTCTCAGAAATTTCTTTCTGATGTCTGCATTCAACTCATAGAGTTGAAGATTCCCTTTCATAGAGCAGGTTTGAAACACTCTTTCTGGAGTATCTGGATGTGGACATTTGGAGCGCTTTGATGCCTACGGTGAAAAAGTAAATATCTTCCCAGAAAAACGAGACAGAAGGATTCTCAGAAACAAGTTTGTGATGTGTGTACTCAGCTAACAGAGTGGAACCTCTCTTCTGATGCAACAGTTTGGAAACACTCTTTTTGTAGAAACTGTAAGTGGATATTTGGATAGCTCTAATGATTTCGTTGGAAACGGGAATATCATCATCTAAAATCTAGACAGAAGCCCTCTCAGAAACTACTTTGTGATATCTGCATTCAAGTCACAGAGTTGAACATTCGCTTTCTTAGAGCACGTTTGAAACACTCTTTTTGCAGTGTCTGGAAGTGGACATTTGGAGCGCTTTGATGCCTTTGGTGAAAAAGGGAATGTCTTCCCATAAAAACTAGACAGAAGCATTCTCAGAAACTTGTTTGTGATGTGTGTACCCAGCCAAAGGAGTTGAACATTTCTATTGATAGAGCAGTTTTGAAACACTCTTGTTGTGGAAAATGCAGGTGGATATTTGGATAGCTTGGGGGATTTCGTTGGAAGCGGGAATTCAAATAAAAGGTAGACAGCAGCATTCTCAGAAATTTCTTTCTGATGTCTGCATTCAACTCATAGAGTTGAAGATTCCCTTTCATAGAGCAGGTTTGAAACACTCGTTCTGGAGTATCTGGATGTGGACATTTGGAGCGCTTTGATGCCTACGGTGGAAAAGTAAATATCTTCCCATAAAAACGAGACAGAAGGATTCTCAGAAACAAGTTTGTGATGTGTGTACTCAGCTAACAGAGTGGAACCTTTCTTTTTACAGAGCAGCTTTGAAACTCTATTTTTGTGGATTCTGCAAATTGATATTTAGATTGCTTTAACGATATCATTGGAAAAGGGAATATGGTCATACAAAATCTAGACAGAAGCATTCTCACAAACTTCTTTGTGATGTGTGTCCTCAACTAACAGAGTTGAACCTTTCTTTTGATGCAGCAATTTGGAAACACCCTTTTGGTAGAAACTGTAACTGGATATTTGGATAGCTCTAACGATTTCGTTGGAAACGGGAATATCATCATCTAAAATGTAGACAGAAGCACTATTAGAAACTACTTGGTGATATCTGCATTCAAGTCACAGAGTAGAACATTCCCTTACTTCGAGCACGTTTGAAACACTCTTTTGGAAGAATCTGGAAGTGGACATTTGGAGCGCTTTGATGCCTTTGGTGAAAAGGAAACGTCTTCCAATAAAAGCCAGAAAGAAGCATTCTCAGAAACTTGTTCGTGATGTGTGTACTCAACTAAAAGAGTTGAACCTTTCTATTGATAGAGCAGTTTTGAAACACTCTTTTTGTGGATTCTGCAAGTGGATATTTGGATTGCTTTGAGGATTTCGTTGGAAGCGGGAATTCGTATAAGCACTAGACAGCAGCATTCCCAGAAATTTCTTTCGGATATTTCCATTCAACTCATAGAGATGAACATGGCCTTTCATAGAGCAGGTTTGAAACACTCTTTTTGTAGTTTGTGGAAGTGGACATTTCGATCGCCTTGACGCCTACGGTGAAAAAGGAAATATCTTCCCATAAAAAATAGACAGAAGCATTCTCAGAAACTTGTTGGTGATATGTGTCCTCAACTAACAGAGTTGAACTTTGCCATTGATAGAGAGCAGTTTTGAAACACTCTTTTTGTGGAATCTGCAAGCGGATATTTGGATAGCTTGGAGGATTTCGTTGGAAGCGGGAATTCAAATAAAAGGTAGACAGCAGCATTCTCAGAAATTTCTTTCTGATGTCTGCATTCAACTCATAGAGTTGAACATTCCCTTTCATAGGGCAGGTTTGAAATACTCTTTCTGTAGTATCTGGATGTGGACATTTGGAGCGCTTTGATGCCTACGGTGAAAAAGTAAATATCTTCCCATAAAAACGAGACAGAAGGATTCTGAGAAACAAGTTTGTGATGTGTGTACTCAGCTAACAGAGTGGAACCTCTGTTTTGATGCAGCAGTTTGGAAACACTCTTTTTGTAGAAACTGTAAGTGGATATTTGGATAGCTCTAATGATTTCTTTGGAAACGGGAATATCATCATCTAAAATCTAGACAGAAGCACTCTCAGAAACTACTTTGTGATATCTGCACTCAAGTCACAGAGTTGAACATTCGCTTTCTTAGAGCACGTTTGAAACACTCTTTTTGTAGTGGCTGGAAGTGGACATTTGGAGCGCTTTGATGCCTTTGGTGAAAAAGGGAATGTCTTCCCATAAAAACTAGGCAGAAGCATTCTCAGAAACTTGTTTGTGATGTGTGTACCCAGCCAAAGGAGTTGAACATTTCTATTGATACAGCAGTTTTGAAACACTCTTGTTGTGGAAAATGCAGGTGGATATTTGGATAGCTTGGAGGATTTCGTTGGAAGCGGGAATTCAAATAAAAGCTAGACAGCAGCATTCTCAGAAATTTCTTTCTGATGTCTGCATTCAACTCATAGAGTTGAAGATTCCCTTTCATAGAGCAGGTTTGAAACACTCGTTCTGGAGTATCTGGATGTGGACATTTGGAGCGCTTTGATGCCTACGGTGGAAAAGTAAATATCTTCCCATAAAAACGAGACAGAAGGATTCTCAGAAACAAGTTTGTGATGTGTGTACTCAGCTAACAGAGTGGAACCTTTCTTTTAACAGAGCAGCTTTGAAACTCTAGTTTTGTGGATTCTGCAAATTGATATTTAGATTGCTTTAACGATATCGTTGGAAAAGGGAATATCCTCATACAAAATCTAGACAGAAGCATTCTCACAAACTTCTTTGTGATGTGTGTCCTCAACTAACAGAGTTGAACCTTTCTTTTGATGCAGCAATTTGGAAACACCCTTTTGGTAGAAACTGTAACTGGATATTTGGATAGCTCTAACGATTTCGTTGGAAACGGGAATATCATCATCTAAAATCTAGACAGAAGCACTATTAGAAACTACTTGGTGATATCTGCATTCAAGTCACAGAGTTGAACATTCCCTTACTTTGAGCACGTTTGAAACACTCTTTTGGAAGAATCTGGAAGTGGACATTTGGAGCGCTTTCATGCCTACGGTGGAAAAGTAAATATCTTCCCATAAAAACGAGACAGAAGCATTCTCAGAAACTTGTTTGTGATGTGTGTACTCAACTAAAAGAGTTGAACCTTTCTATTGATAGAGCAGTTTTGAAACACTCTTTTTGTGGATTCTGCAAGTGGATATTTGGATTGCTTTGAGGATTTCGTTGGAAGCGGGAATTCGTATAAAAACTAGACAGCAGCATTCCCAGAAATTTCTTTCGGATATTTCCATTCGACTCATAGAGATGAACATGGCCTTTCATAGAGCAGGTTTGAAACACTCTTTTTGTAGTTTGTGGAAGTGGACATTTCGATCGCCTTGACGCCTACGGTGAAAAAGGAAATTCTTCCCATAAAAAATAGACAGAAGCATTCTCAGAAACTTGTTGGTGATATGTGTCCTCAACTAACAGAGTTGAACTTTGCCATTGATAGAGAGCAGTTTTGAAACACTCTTTTTGTGGAATCTGCAAGTGGATATTTGGATAGCTTGGAGGATTTCGTTGGAAGCGGGAATTCAAATAAAAGGTAGACAGCAGCATTCTCAGAAATTTCTTTCTGATGTCTGCATTCAACTCATAGAGTTGAAGATTCCCTTTCATAGAGCAGGTTTGAAACACTCTTTCTGGAGTATCTGGATGTGGACATTTGGAGCGCTTTGATGCCTACGGTGAAAAAGTAAATATCTTCCCATAAAAACGAGAAAGAAGCATTCTCACAAACTTCTTTGTGATGTGTGTCCTCAACTAACAGAGTTGAACCTTTCTTTTGATTCAGCAGTTTGGAAACACTCTTTTTGTAGAAACTGTAAGTGGATATTTGGATAGCTCTAACGATTTCGTTGGAAACGGGAATATCATCATCTAAAATCTAGACAGAAGCACTATTAGAAACTACTTTGTGATATCTGCATTCAAGTCACAGAATTGAACATTCGCTTTCTTAGAGCACGTTGGAAACACTCTTTTTGTAGTGTCTGGAAGTGGACATTTGGAGCGCTTTGATGCCTTTGGTGAAAAAGGGAATGTCTTCCCATAAAAACTAGACAGAAGCATTCTCAGAAACTTGTTTGTGATGTGTGTACCCAGCCAAAGGAGTTGAACATTTCTATTGATAGAGCAGGTTTGAAACACTCTTTTTGTGGAAAATGCAGGTGGATATTTGGATAGCTTGGAGGATTTCGTTGGAAGCGGGAATTCAAATAAAAGGTAGACAGCAGCATTCTCAGAAATTTCTTTCTGATGTCTGCATTCAACTCATAGAGTTGAAGATTCCCTTTCATAGAGCAGGTTTGAAACACTCGTTCTGGAGTATCTGGATGTGGACATTTGGAGCGCTTTGATGCCTACGGTGGAAAAGTAAATATCTTCCCATAAAAACGAGACAGAAGGATTCTCAGAAACAAGTTTGTGATGTGTGTACTCAGCTAACAGAGTGGAACCTTTCTTTTTACAGAGCAGCTTTGAAACTCTATTTTTGTGGATTCTGCAAATTGATATTTAGGTTGCCTTAACGATATCGTTGGAAAAGGGAATATCGTCATACAAAATCTAGACAGAAGCATTCTCACAAACTTCTTTGTGATGTGTGTCCTCAACTAACAGAGTTGAACCTTTCTTTTGATGCAGCAGTTTGGAAACACTCTTTTTGTAGAAACTGTAAGTGGATATTTGGATAGCTCTAACGATTTCGTTGGAAACGGGAATATCATCATCTAAAATCTAGACAGAAGCACTATTAGAAACTACTTGGTGATATCTGCATTCAAGTCACAGAGTTGAACATTCCCTTACTTTGAGCACGTTTGAAACACTCTTTTGGAAGAATCTGGAAGTGGACATTTGGAGCGCTTTGATGCCTTTGGTGAAAAGGAAACGTCTTCCAATAAAAGCCAGACAGAAGCATTCTCAGAAACTTGTTTGTGATGTGTGTACCCAGCCAAAGGAGTTGAACATTTCTATTGATAGAACAGTTTTGAAATACTCTTTTTGTGGAAAATGCAGGTGGATATTTGGATACCTTGGAGGATTTCGTTGGAAGCGGGAATTCAAATAAAAGGTAGACAGCCAGCATTCCCAGGAAATTTCTTTCGGATATTTCCATTCAACTCATAGCAGGATGAACATGGCCTTTCATAGAGCAGGTTTGAAACACTCTTTTTGTAGTTTGTGGAAGTGGACATTTCGATCGCCTTGACGCCTACGCTGAAAAAGGAAATATCTTCCCATAAAAAATAGACAGAGCATTCTCAGAAACTTGTTGGTGATATGTGTCCTCAACTAACAGAGTTGAACTTTGCCATTGATAGAGAGCAGTTTTGAAACACTCTTTTTGTGGAATCTGCAAGTGGATATTTGGATAGCTTGGAGGATTTCGTTGGAAGCGGGAATTCAAATAAAAGGTAGACAGCAGCATTCTCAGAAATTTCTTTCTGATGTCTGCATTCAACTCATAGAGTTGAAGATTCCCTTTCATAGAGCATGTTTGAAACACTCTTTCTGGAGTATCTGGATGTGGACATTTGGAGCGCTTTGATGCCTACGGTGAAAAAGTAAATATCTTCCCATAAAAACGAGACAGAAGGATTCTGAGAAACAAGTTTGTGATGTGTGTACTCAGCTAACAGAGTGGAACCTCTCTTTTGATGCAGCAGTTTGGAAACACTCTTTTTGTAGAAACTGTAAGTGGATATTTGGATAGCTCTAATGATTTCGTTGGAAACGGGAATATCATCATCTAAAATCTAGACAGAAGCCCTCTCAGAAACTGCTTTGTGATATCTGCATTCAAGTCACAGAGTTGAACATTCGCTTTCTTAGAGCACGTTTGAAACACTCTTTTTGTAGTGTCTGGAAGTGGACATTTGGAGCGCTTTGATGCCTTTGGTGAAAAGGGGAATGTCTTCCCATAAAAACTAGACAGAAGCATTCTCAGAAACTTGTTTGTGATGTGTGTACCCAGCCAAAGGAGTTGAACATTTCTATTGATAGAGCAGTTTTGAAACGCTCTTTTTGTGGAAAATGCAGGAGGATATTTGGATAGCTTGGAGGATTTCGTTGGAAGCGGGAATTCAAATAAAATTTAGACAGCAGCATTCTCAGAAATTTCTTTCTGATGTCTGCATTCAACTCATAGAGTTGAAGATTCCCTTTCATAGAGCAGGTTTGAAACACTCTTTGTGGAGTATCTGGATGTGGACATTTGGAGCGCTTTGATGCCTACGGTGAAAAAGTAAATATCTTCCCATAAAAACGAGACAGAAGGATTCTGAGAAACAAGTTTGTGATGTGTGTACTCAGCTAACAGAGTGGAACCTTTCTTTTTACAGAGCAGCTTTGAAACTCTATTTTTGTGGATTCTGCAAATGGATATTTAGATTGCTTTAACGATATCGTTGGAAAAGGGAATATCGTCATACAAAATCTAGACAGAAGCATTCTCACAAACTTCTTTCTGATGTGTGTCCTCAACCAACAGAGTTGAACCTTTCTTTTGATGCAGCAGTTTGGAAACACTCTTTTTGTAGAAACTGTAAGTGGATATTTGGATAGCTCTAACGATTTCGTTGGAAACGGGAATATCATCATCTAAAATCTAGACAGAAGCACTATTAGAAACTACTTGGTGATATCTGCATTCAAGTCACAGAGTTGAACATTCCCTTACTTTGAGCACGTTTGAAACACTCTTTTGGAAGAATCTGGAAGTGGACATTTGGAGCGCTTTGATGCCTTTGGTGAAAAGGAAACGTCTTCCAATAAAAGCCAGACAGAAGCATTCTCAGAAACTTGTTCGTGATGTGTGTACTCAACTAAAAGAGTTGAACCTTTCTATTGATAGAGCAGTTTTGAAACACTCTTTTTGTGGATTCTGCAAGTGGATATTTGGATTGCTTTGAGGATTTCGTTGGAAGCGTGAATTCGTATAAACACTAGACAGCAGCATTCCCAGAAATTTCTTTCGGATATTTCCATTCAACTCATAGAGATGAACATGGCCTTTCATAGAGCAGGTTTGAAACACTCTTTTTGTAGTTTGTGGAAGTGGACATTTCGATCGCGTTGACGCCTACGGTGAAAAAGGAAATATCTTCCCATAAACAATAGACAGAAGCATTCTCAGAAACTTGTTGGTGATATGTGTCCTCAACTAACAGAGTTGAACTTTGCCATTGATAGAGAGCAGTTTTGAAACACTCTTTTTGTGGAATCTGCAAGTGGATATTTGGATAGCTTGGAGGATTTCGTTGGAAGCGGGAATTCAAATAAAAGGTAGACAGCAGCATTCTCAGAAATTTCTTTCTGATGTCTGCATTCAACTCATAGAGTTGAAGATTCCCTTTCATAGAGCAGGTTTGAAACACTCTTTCTGGAGTATCCGGATGTGGACATTTGGAGCGCTTTGATGCCTACGGTGAAAAAGTAAATATCTTCCCATAAAAACGAGACAGAAGGATTCTGAGAAACAAGTTTGTGATGTCTGTACTCGGCTAACAGAGTGGAACCTCTCTTTTGATGCAGCAGTTTGGAAACACTCTTTTTGTAGAAACTGTAAGTGGATATTTGGATAGCTCTAATGATTTCGTTGGAAACGGGAATATCATCATCTAAAATCTAGACAGAAGCACTCTCAGAAACCACTTTGTGATATCTGCATTCAAGTCACAGAGTTGAACATTCGCTTTCTTAGAGCACGTTTGAAACACTCTTTTTGTAGTGTCTGGAAGTGGACATTTGGAGCGCTTTGATGGCTTTGGTGAAAAAGGGAACGTCTTCCCATAAAAACTAGACAGAAGCATTCTCAGAAACTTGTTTGTGATGTGTGTACCCAGCCAAAGGAGTTGAACGTTTCTATTGATAGAGCAGTTTTGAAACACTCTTGTTGTGGAAAATGCAAGTGGATATTTGGATAGCTTGGAGGATTTCGTTGGAAGCGGGAATTCAAATAAAAGGTAGACAGCAGCATTCTCAGAAATTTCTTTCTGATGTCTGCATTCAACTCATAGAGTTGAAGATTCCCTTTCATAGAGCAGGTTTGAAACACTCTTTCTGGAGTATCTGGATGTGGACATTTGGAGCGCTTTGATGCCTACGGTGAAAAAGTAAATATCTTCCCATAAAAACGAGACAGAAGGATTCTCAGAAACAAGTTTGTGATGTGTGTACTCAGCTAAAAGAGTGGAACCTTTCTTTTTACAGAGCAGCTTTGAAACTCTATTTTTGTGGATTCTGCAAATTGATATTTAGATTGCTTTAACGATATCGTTGGAAAAGGGAATATCGTCATACAAATTCTAGACAGAAGCATTCTCACAAACTTCTTTGTGATGTGTGTCCTCAACTAACAGAGTTGAACCTTTCTTTTGATGCAGCAGTTTGGAAACACTCTTTTTGTAGAAACTGTAAGTGGATATTTGGATAGCTCTAACGATTTCGCTGGAAACGGGAATATCGTCATCTAAAATCTAGACAGAAGCACTATTAGAAACTACTTGGTGATATCTGCATTCAAGTCACAGAGTTGAACATTCCCTTACTTTGAGCACGTTTCAAACACTCTTTTGGAAGAATCTGGAAGTGGACATTTGGAGCGCTTTGATGCCTTTGGTGAAAAGGAAACGTCTTCCAATAAAAGCCAGACAGAAGCATTCTCAGAAACTTGTTGGTGATGTGTGTACTCAACTAAAAGAGTTGAACCTTTCTATTGATAGAGCAGTTTTGAAACACTCTTTTTGTGGATTCTGCAAGTGGATATTTGGATTGCTTTGAGGATTTCGTTGGAAGCGGGAATTCATATAAAAACTAGACAGCAGCATTCCCAGAAATTTCTTTCGGATATTTCCATTCAACTCATAGAGATGAACATCGCCTTTCATAGAGCAGGTTTGAAACACTCTTTTTGTAGTTTGTGGAAGTGGACATTTCGATCGCCTTGACGCCTACGGTGAAAAAGGAAATATCTTCCCATAAGAAAATAGACAGAAGCATTCTCAGAAACTTGTTGGTGATATGTGTCCTCAACTAACAGAGTTGAACTTTGCCATTGATAGAGAGCAGTTTTGAAACACTCTTTCTGTGGAATCTGCAAGTGGATATTTGGATAGCTTGGAGGATTTCGTTGGAAGTGGGAATTCAAATAAAAGGTAGACAGCAGCATTCTCAGAAATTTCTTTCTGATGTCTGCATTCAACTCATAGAGTTGAAGATTCCCTTTCATAGAGCAGGTTTGAAACACTCTTTCTCGAGTATCTGGATGTGGACATTTGGAGCGCTTTGGTACCTTCGGTGAGAAAGTAAATATCTTCCCATAAAACCGAGACAGAAGGATTCTGAGAAACAAGTTTGTGATGTGTGTACTCAGCTAACAGAGTGGAACCTCTCTTTTGATGCAGCAGTTTGGAAACACTCTTTTTGTAGAAACTGTAAGTGGATATTTGGATAGCTCTAATGATTTCGTTGGAAACGGGAATATCATCATCTAAAATCTAGACAGAAGCCCTTTCAGAAACTACTTTGTGATATCTGCATTCAAGTCACAGAGTTGAACATTCGGTTTCTTAGAGCACGTTTGAAACACTCTTTTTGTAGTGTCTGGAAGTGGACATTTGGAGCGCTTTGATGCCTTTGGTGAAAAAGGGAATGTCTTCCCATAAAAACTAGACAGAAGCATTCTCAGAAACTTCTTTGTGATGTGTGTACCCAGCCAAAGGAGTTGAACATTTCTATTGATAGAGCAGTTTTGAAACACTCTTGTTGTGGAAAATGCAGGTGGATATTTGGATAGCTTGGAGGATTTCGTTGGAAGCGGGAATTCAAATAAAAGGTAGACAGCAGCATTCTCAGAAATTTCTTTCTGATGTCTGCATTCAACTCATAGAGTTGAAGATTCCCTTTCATAGAGCAGGTTTGAAACACTCGTTCTGGAGTATCTGGATGTGGACATTTGGAGCGCTTTGATGCCTACGGTGGAAAAGTAAATATCTTCCCATAAAAACGAGACAGAAGGATTCTGAGAAACAAGTTTGTGATGTGTGTACTCAGCTAACAGAGTGGAACCTTTCTTTTTACAGAGCAGCTTTGAAACTCTATTTTTGTGGATTCTGCAAATGGATATTTAGATTGCTTTAACGATATCGTTGGAAAAGGGAATATCGTCATACAAAATCTGGACAGAAGCATTCTCACAAACTTCTTTGTGATGTGTGTCCTCAACTAACAGAGTTGAACCTTTCTTTTGATGCAGCAATTTGGAAACACCCTTTTGGTAGAAACTGTAACTGGATATTTGGATAGCTCTAACGATTTCGTTGGAAACGGGAATATCATCATCTAAAATCTAGACAGAAGCACTATTAGAAACTACTTGGTGATATCTGCATTCAAGTCACAGAGTAGAACATTCCCTTACTTCGACCACGTTTGAAACACTCTTTTAGAAGAATCTGGAAGTGGACATTTGGAGCGCTTTGATGCCTTTGGTGAAAAGGAAACGTCTTCCAATAAAAGCCAGACAGAAGCATTCTCAGAAACTTGTTTCTGATGTGTGTACTCAACTAAAAGAGTTGAACCTTTCTATTGATAGAGCAGTTTTGAAACACTCTTTTTGTGGATTCTGCAAGTGGATATTTGGATTGCTTTGAGGATTTCGTTGGAAGCGGGAATTCGTATAAAAACTAGACAGCAGCATTCCCAGAAATTTCTTTCGGATATTTCCATTCAACTCATAGAGATGAACATGGCCTTTCATAGAGCAGGTTTGAAACACTCTTTTTGTAGTTTGTGGAAGTGGACATTTCGATCGCCTTGACGCCTACGGTGAAAAAGGAAATATCTTCCCATAAAAAATAGACAGAAGCATTCTCAGAAACTTGTTTGTGATATGTGTCCTCAACTAACAGAGTTGAACTTTGCCATTGATAGAGAGCAGTTTTGAAACACTCTTTTTGTGGAATCTGCAAGTGGATATTTGGATAGCTTGGAGGATTTCGTTGGAAGCGGGAATTCAAATAAAAGGTAGACAGCAGCATTCTCAGAAATTTCTTTCTGATGTCTGCATTCAACTCATAGAGTTGAAGATTCCCTTTCATAGAGCAGGTTTGAAACACTCTTTCTGGAGTATCTGGATGTGGACATTTGGAGCGCTTTGAGGCCTACGGTGAGAAAGTAAATATCTTCCAATAAAAACGAGAGAGAAGGATTCTGAGAAACAAGTTTGTGATGTGTGTACTCAGCTAACAGAGTGGAACCTCTCTTTTGATGCAGCAGTTTGGAAACACTCTTTTTGTAGAAACTGTAAGTGGATATTTGGATAGCTCTAATGATTTCGTTGGAAACGGGAATATCATCATCTAAAATCTAGACAGAAGCCCTCTCAGAAACTACTTTGTGATATCTGCATTCAAGTCACAGAGTTGAACATTCGCTTTCTTAGAGCACGTTTGAAACACTCTTTTTGTAGTGTCTGGAAGTGGACATTTGGAGCGCTTTGATGTCTTTGGTGAAAAAGGGAATGTCTACCCATAAAAACTAGACAGAAGCATTCTCAGAAACTTGTTTGTGATGTGTGTACCCAGCCAAAGGAGTTGAACATTTCTATTGATAGAGCAGTTTTGAAACACTCTTGTTGTGGAAAATGCAGGTGGATATTTGGATAGCTTGGAGGATTTCGTTGGAAGCGGGAATTCAAATAAAAGGTAGACAGCAGCATTCTCAGAAATTTCTTTCTGATGTCTGCATTCAACTCATAGAGTTGAAGATTCCCTTTCATAGAGCAGGTTTGAAACACTCGTTCTGGAGTATCTCGATGTGGACATTTGGAGCGCTTTGATGCCTACGGTGGAAAAGTAAATATCTTCCCATAAAAACGAGACAGAAAGGATTCTCAGAAACAAGTTTGTAATGTGTGTACTCAGCTAACAGAGTGGAACCTTTCTTTTTACAGAGCAGCTTTGAAACTCTATTGTTGTGGATTCTGCAAATTGATATTTAGATTGCTTTAACGATATCGTTGGAAAAGGGAATACCGTCATACAAAATCTAGACAGAAGCATTCTCACAAACAGCTTTGAGATGTGTGTCCTCAACTAACAGAGTTGAACTTTTCTTTTGATGCAGCAGTTTCGAAACACCCTTTTGGTAGAAACTGTAAGTGGATATTTGGATAGCTCTAACGATTTCGTTGGAAACGGGAATATCATCATCTAAAATCTAGACAGAAGCACTATTAGAAACTACTTGGTGATATCTGCATTCAAGTCACAGAGTTGAACATTCCCTTACTTTGAGCACGTTTGAAACACTCTTTTGGAAGAATCTGGAAGTGGACATTTGGAGCGCTTTGATGCCTTTGGTGAAAAGGAAACGTCTTCCAATAAAAGCCAGACAGAAGCATTCTCAGAAACTTGTTCGTGATGTGTGTACTCAACTAAAAGAGTTGAACCTTTCTATTGATAGAGCAGTTTTGAAACACTCTTTTTGTGGATTCTGCAAGTGGATATTTGGATTGCTTTGAGGATTTCGTTGGAATCGGGAATTCGTATAAAAACTAGACAGCAGCATTGCCAGAAATTTCTTTCGGATATTTCCATTCAACTCATAGAGATGAACATGGCCTTTCATAGAGCAGGTTTGAAACACTCTTTTTGTAGTTTGTGGAAGTGGACATTTCGATCGCCTTGACGCCTACGGTGAAAAAGGAAATATCTTCCCATAAAAAATAGACAGAAGCATTCTCAGAAACTTGTTGGTGATATGTGTCCTCAACTAACAGAGTTGAACTTTGCCATTGATAGAGAGCAGTTTTGAAACACTCTTTTTGTGGAATCTGCAAGTGGATATTTGGATAGCTTGGAGGATTTCGTTGGAAGCGGGAATTCAAATAAAAGGTAGACAGCAGCATTCTCAGAAATTTCTTTGTGATGTTTGCATTCAACTCATAGAGTTGAACATTCCCTGTCATAGAGCAGGTTTGAAACACTCTTTCTGTACTATCTGGATGTGGACATTTGGAACGCTTTGATGCCTACGGTGAAAAAGTAAATATCTTCCCATAAAAGCTAGACAGAAGGATTCTGAGAAACAAGTTTGTGATGTGTGTACTCAGCTAACAGAGTGGAACCTCTCTTTTGATGCAGCAGTTTGGAAACACTCTTTTTGTAGAAACTGTAAGTGGATATTTGGATAGCTCTAATGATTTCGTTGGAAACCGGAATATCATCATCTAAAATCTAGACAGAAGCCCTCTCAGAAACTACTTTGTGATATCTGCATTCAAGTCACAGAGTTGAACATTCGCTTTCTTAGAGCACGTTGGAAACACTCTTTTTGTAGTGTCTGGAAGTGGACATTTGGAGCGCTTTGATGCCTTTGGTGAGAAAGGGAACGTCTTCCCATAAAAACTAGACAGAAGCATTCTCAGAAACTTGTTTGTGATGTGTGTACCCAGCCAAAGGAGTTGAACATTTCTATTGATAGAGCAGGTTTGAAACACTCTTTTTGTGGAAAATGCAAGTGGATATTTGGATAGCTTGGAGGATTTCGTTGGAAGCGGGAATTCAAATAAAAGGTAGACAGCAGCATTCTCAGAAATTTCTTTCTGATGTCTGCATTCAACTCATAGAGTTGAAGATTCCCTTTCATAGAGCAGGTTTGAAACACTCGTTCTGGAGTATCTGGATGTGGACATTTGGAGCGCTTTGATGCCTACGGTGGAAAAGTAAATATCTTCCCATAAAAACGAGACAGAAGGATTCTCAGAAACAAGTTTGTGATGTGTGTACTCAGCTAACAGAGTGGAACCTTTATTTTTACAGAGCAGCTTTGAAACTCTATTTTCGTGGATTCTGCAAATTGATATTTAGATTGCTTTAACGATATCGTTGGAAAAGGGAATATCGTCATACAAAATCTAGACAGAAGCATTCTCACAAACTTCTTTGTGATGTGTGTCCTCAACTAACAGAGTTGAACCTTTCTTTTGATGCAGCAATTTGGAAACACCCTTTTGGTAGAAACTGTAACTGGATATTTGCTTAGCTCTAACGATTTCGTTGGAAACGGGAATATCATCATCTGAAATCTAGACAGAAGCACTATTAGAAACTACTTGGTGATATCTGCATTCAAGTCACGGAGTTGAACATTCCCTTACTTTGAGCACGTTTCAAACACTCTTTTGGAAGAATCTGGAAGTGGACATTTGGAGCGCTTTGATGCCTTTGGTGAAAAGGAAACATCTTCCAATAAAAGCCAGACAGAAGCATTCTCAGAAACTTGTTTGTGATGTGTGTACTCAACTAAAAGAGTTGAACCTTTCTATTGATAGAGCAGTTTTGAAACACTCTTTTTGTGGATTCTGCAAGTGGATATTTGGATTGCTTTGAGGATTTCGTTGGAAGCGGGAATTCGTATAAAAACTAGACAGCAGCATTCCCAGAAATTTCTTTCGGATATTTCCATTCGACTCATAGAGATGAACATGGCCTTTCATAGAGCAGGTTTGAAACACTCTTTTTGTAGTTTGTGGAAGTGGACATTTCGATCGCCTTGACGCCTACGGTGAAAAAGGAAATATCCTTCCCATAAAAAATAGACAGAAGCATTCTCAGAAACTTGTTAGTGATATGTGTCCTCAACTAACAGAGTTGAACTTTGCCATTGATAGAGAGCAGTTTTGAAACACTCTTTTTGTGGAATCTGCAAGTGGATATTTGGATAGCTTGGAGGATTTCGTTGGAAGCGGGAATTCAAATAAAAGGTAGACAGCAGCATTCTCAGAAATTTCTTTCTGATGTCTGTATTCAACTCATAGAGTTGAACATTCCCTTTCATAGGGCAGGTTTGAAATACTCTTTCTGTAGTATCTGGATGTGGACATTTGGAGCGCTTTGAGGCCTACGATGAAAAAGTAAATATCTTCCCATAAAAACGAGACAGAAAGGATTCTGAGAAACAAGTTTGTGATGTGTGTACTCAGCTAACAGAGTGGAACCTCTCTTTTGATGCAGCAGTTTGGAAACACTCTTTTTGTAGAAACTGTAAGTGGATATTTGGATAGCTCTAATGATTTCGTTGGAAACGGGAATATCATCATCTAAAATCTAGACAGAGCCCTCTCAGAAACTACTTTGTGATATCTGCATTCAAGTCACAGAGTTGAACATTCGCTTTCTTAGAGCACGTTTGAAACACTCTTTTTATAGTGTCTGGAAGTGGACATTTGGAGCGCTTTGATGCCTTTGGTGAAAAAGGGAATGTCTTCCCATAAAAAATAGACAGAAGCATTCTCAGAAACTTGTTTGTGATGTGTGTACCCAGCTAAAGGAGTTGAACATTTCTATTGATAGAGCAGTTTTGAAACACTCTTTTTGTGGAAAATGCAAGTTGATATTTGGATAGCTTGGAGGATTTCGTTGGAAGCGGGAATTCAAATAAAAGGTAGACAGCAGCATTCTCAGAAATTTCTTTCTGATGTCTGCATTCAACTCATAGAGTTGAAGATTCCCTTTCATAGAGCAGGTTTGAAACACTCGTTCTGGAGTATCTGGATGTGGACATTTGGAGCGCTTTGATGCCTACGGTGGAAAAGTAAGTATCTTCCCATAAAAACGAGACAGAAGGATTCTGAGAAACAAGTTTGTGATGTGTGTACTCAGCTAACAGAGTGGAACCTTTCTTTTTACAGAGCAGCTTTGAAACTCTATTTTTGTGGATTCTGCAAATGG
Organism: Homo sapiens; assembly: GCF_000001405.40. Taxonomy (NCBI): domain Eukaryota; kingdom Metazoa; phylum Chordata; class Mammalia; order Primates; family Hominidae; genus Homo; species Homo sapiens. The sequence continues at coordinate 12,772,816 of NC_000021.9, forward strand.
ATATTTAGATTGCTTTAACGATATCGCTGGAAAAGGGAATATGGTCATACAAAATCTAGACAGAAGCATTCTCACAAACTTCTTTGTGATGTGTGTCCTCAACTAACAGAGTTGAACCTTTCTTTTGATGCAGCAGTTTGGAAACACTGTTTTTGTAGAAACTGTAAGTGGATATTTGGATAGCTCTAACGATTTCGTTGGAAACGGGAATATCATCATCTAAAATCTAGACAGAAGCACTATTAGAAACTACTTGGTGATATCTGCATTCAAGTCACAGAGTTGAAGATTCCCTTACTTTGAGCACGTTTGAAACACTCTTTTGGAAGAATCTGGAAGTGGACATTTGGAGCGCTTTGATGCCTTTGGTGAAAAGGAAACGTCTTCCAATAAAAGCCAGACAGAAGCATTCTCAGAAAGTTGTTTGTGATGTGTGTACTCAACTAAAAGAGTTGAACCTTTCTATTGATAGAGCTGTTTTGAAACACTCTTTTTGTGGAATCTGCAAGTGGATATTTGGATTGCTTTGAGCATTTCGTTGGAAGCGGGATTTCATATAAAAACTAGACAGCAGCATTCCCAGAAATTTCTTTCGGATATTTCCATTCAACTCATAGAGATGAACATGGCCTTTCATAGAGCAGGTTTGAAACACTCTTTTTGTAGTTTGTGGAAGTGGACATTTCGATCGCCTTGACTCCTACGCTGAAAAAGGAAATATCTTCCCATAAAAAATAGACAGAAGCATTCTCAGAAACTCGTTGGTGATATGTGTCCTCAACTAACAGAGTTGAACTTTGCCATTGATAGAGAGCAGTTTTGAAACACTCTTTTTGTGGAATCTGCAAGTGGATATTTGGATAGCTTGGAGGATTTCGTTGGAAGCGGGAATTCAAATAAAAGGTAGACAGCAGCATTCTCAGAAATTTCTTTCTGATGTCTGCATTCAACTCATAGAGTTGAACATTCCCTTTCATAGAGCAGGTTTGAAATACTCTTTCTGTGGTATCTGGATGTGGACATTTGGAGCGCTTTGAGGCCTACGGTGAAAAAGTAAATATCTTCCCATAAAAACGAGACAGAAGGATTCTGAGAAACAAGTTTGTGATGTGTGTACTCAGCTAACAGAGTGGAACCTCTCTTTTGATGCAGCAGTTTGGAAACACTCTTTTTGTAGAAACTGTAAGTGGATATTTGGATAGCTCTAATGATTTCGTTGGAAACGGGAATATCATCATCTAAAATCTAGACAGAAGCCGTCTCAGAAACTACTTTGTGATATCTGCATTCAAGTCACAGAGTTGAACATTCGGTTTCTTAGAGCACGTTTGAAACACTCTTTTTGTAGTGTCTGGAAGAGGACATTTGGAGCGCTTTGATGCCTTTGGTGAAAAAGGGAATGTCTTCCCATAAAAACTAGACAGAAGCATTCTCAGAAACTTGTTTGTGATGTGTGTACCCAGCCAAAGGAGTTGAACATTTCTATTGATAGAGCAGTTTTGAAACACTCTTTTTGTGGAAAATGCAGGTGGATATTTGGATAGCTTGGAGGATTTCGTTGGAAGCGGGAATTCAAATAAAAGGTAGACAGCAGCATTCTCAGAAATTTCTTTCTGATGTCTGCATTCAACTCATAGAGTTGAAGATTCCCTTTCATAGAGCAGGTTTGAAACACTCGTTCTGGAGTATCTGGATGTGGACATTTGGAGCACTTTGATGCCTACGGTGGAAAAGTAAATATCTTCCCATAAAAACGAGACAGAAGGATTCTCAGAAACAAGTTTGTGATGTGTGTACTCAGCTAACAGAGTGGAACCTTTCTTTTTACAGAGCAGCTTTGAAACTCTATTTTTGTGGATTCTGCAAATTGATATTTAGATTGCTTTAACGATATCGTTGGAAAAGGGAATATCGTCATACAAAATCTAGACAGAAGCATTCTCACAAACTTCTTTGTGATGTGTGTCCTCAACTAACAGAGTTGAACCTTTCTTTTGATGCAGCAATTTGGAAACACCCTTTTGGTAGAAACTGTAACTGGATATTTGGATAGCTCTAACGATTTCGTTGGAAACGGGAATATCATCATCTAAAATGTAGAGAGAAGCACTATTAGAAACTACTTGGTGATATCTGCATTCAAGTCACAGAGTTGAACATTCCCTTACTTTGAGGACGTTTGAAACACTCTTTTGGAAGAATCTGGAAGTGGACATTTGGAGCGCTTTGATGCCTTTGGTGAAAAGGAAACGTCTTCCAATAAAAGCCAGACAGAAGCATTCTCAGAAACTTGTTCGTGATGTGTGTACTCAACTAAAAGAGTTGAACCTTTCTATTGATAGAGTAGTTTTGAAACACTCTTTTTGTGGATTCTGCAAGTGGATATTTGGATTGCTTTGAGGATTTCGTTGGAAGCGGGAATTCGTATAAACACTAGACAGCAGCATTCCCAGAAATTTCTTTCGGATATTTCCATTCAACTCATAGAGATGAACATGGCCTTTCATAGAGCAGGTTTGAAACACTCTTTTTGTAGTTTGTGGAAGTGGACATTTCGATCGCCTTGACGCCTACGGTGAAAAAGGAAATATCTTCCCATAAAAAATAGACAGAAGCATTCTCAGAAACTTGTTGGTGATATGTGTCCTCAACTAACAGAGTTGAACTTTGCCATTGGTAGAGAGCAGTTTTGAAACACTCTTTTTGTGGAATCTGCAAGTGGATATTTGGATAGCTTGGAGGATTTCGTTGGAAGCGGGAATTCAAATAAAAGGTAGACAGCAGCATTCTCAGAAATTTCTTTCTGATGTCTGCATTCAACTCATAGAGTTGAACATTCCCTTTCATAGAGCAGGTTTGAAACACTCTTTCTGGAGTATCTGGATGTGGACATTTGGAGCGCTTTGATGCCTACGGTGAAAAAGTAAATATCTTCCCATAAAAACGAGACAGAAGGATTCTGAGAAACAAGTTTGTGATGTGTGTACTCAGCTAACAGAGTGGAACCTCTCTTTTGATGCAGCAGTTTGGAAACACTCTTTTTGTAGAAACTGTAAGTGGATATTTGGATAGCTCTAACGATTTCGTTGGAAACGGGAATATCATCATCTAAAATCTAGACAGAAGCACTATTAGAAACTACTTGGTGTTATCTGCATTCATGTCACAGAGTAGAACATTCCCTTACTTCGAGCACGTTTGAAACACTCTTTTGGAAGAATCTGGAAGTGGACATTTGGAGCGCTTTGATGCCTTTGGTGAAAAGGAAACGTCTTCCAATAAAAGCCAGACAGAAGCATTCTCAGAAACTTGTTTGTGATGTGTGTACCCAGCAAAAGGAGTTGAACATTTCTATTGATAGAGCAGTTTTGAAACACTCTTTTTGTGGAAAATGCAGGTGGATATTTGGATAGCTTGGAGGATTTCGTTGGAAGCGGGAATTCAAATAAAAGGTAGACAGCAGCATTCTCAGAAATTTCTTTCTGATGTCTGCATTCAACTCATAGAGTTGAAGATTCCCTTTCATAGAGCAGGTTTGAAACACTCGTTCTGGAGTATCTGGATGTGGACATTTGGAGCGCTTTGATGCCTACGGTGGAAAAGTAAATATCTTCCCATAAAAACGAGACAGAAGGATTCTCAGAAACAAGTTTGTGATGTGTGTACTCAGCTAACAGAGTGGAACCTTTCTTTTAACAGAGCAGCTTTGAAACTCTAGTTTTGTGGATTCTGCAAATTGATATTTAGATTGCTTTAACGATATCGTTGGAAAAGGGAATATCGTCATACAAAATCTAGACAGAAGCATTCTCACAAACTTCTTTGTGATGTGTGTCCTCAACTAACAGAGTTGAACCTTTCTTTTGATGCAGCAATTTGGAAACACCCTTTTGGTAGAAACTGTAACTGGATATTTGGATAGCTCTAACGATTTCGTTGGAAACGGGAATATCATCATCTAAAATCTAGACAGAAGCACTATTAGAAACTACTTGGTGATATCTGCATTCAAGTCACAGAGTTGAACATTCCCTTACTTTGAGCACGTTTCAAACACTCTTTTGGAAGAATCTGGAAGTGGACATTTGGAGCTGCTTTGATGCCTTTGGTGAAAAGGAAACGTCTTCCAATAAAAGCCAGACAGAAGCATTCTCAGAAACTTGTTTGTGATGTGTGTACTCAACTAAAAGAGTTGAACCTTTCTATTGATAGAGCAGTTTTGAAACACTCTTTTTGTGGATTCTGCAAGTGGATATTTGGATTGCTTTGAGGATTTCGTTGGAAGCGGGAATTCGTATAAAAACTAGACAGCAGCATTCCCAGGAATTTCTTTCGGATATTTCCATTCAACTCATAGAGATGAACATGGCCTTTCATAGAGCAGGTTTGAAACACACTTTTTGTAGTTTGTGGAAGTGGACATTTCAATCGCCTTGATGCCTACGGTGAAAAAGGAAATATCTTCCCATAAAAAATAGAGAGAAGCATTCTCAGAAACTTGTTGGTGATATGTGTCCTCAACTAACAGAGTTGAACTTCGCCATTGATAGAGAGCAGTTTTGAGACACTCTTTTTGTGGAATCTGCAAGTGGATATTTGGATAGCTTGGAGGATTTCGTTGGAAGCAGGAATTCAAATAAAAGGTAGACAGCCAGCATTCTCAGAAATTTCTTTCTGATGTCTGCATTCAACTCATAGAGTTGAACATTCTCTTTCATAGAGCAGGTTTGAAACACTCTTTCTGGAGTATCTGGATGTGGACATTTGGAGCGCTTTGATGCCTACGGTGAAAAAGTAAATATCTTCCCATAAAAACGAGACAGTAAGGATTCTCAGAATCAAGTTTGTGATGTGTGTACTCAGCTAACAGAGTGGAACCTCTCTTTTGATGCAGCAGTTTGGAAACACTCTTTTTGTAGAAACTGTAAGTGGATATTTAGATAGCTCTAATGATTTCGTTGGAAACGGGAATATCATCATCTAAAATCTAGACAGAAGCACTATTAGAAACTACTTTGTGATATCTGCATTCAAGTCACAGAGTTGAACATTCGCTTTCTTAGAGCACGTTGGAAACACTCATTTTGTAGTGTCTGGAAGTGGACATTTGGAGCGCTTTGATGCCTTTGGTGAAAAAGGAAACGTCTTCCAATAAAAGCCAGACAGAAGCATTCTCAGAAACTTGTTTGTGATGTGTGTACCCAGCCAAAGGAGTTGAACATTTCTATTGATAGAGCAGTTTTGAAACGCTCTTTTTGTGGAAAATGCAGGTGGATATTTGGATAGCTTGGAGGATTTCGTTGGAAGCGGGAATTCAAATAAAAGGTAGACAGCAGCATTCTCAGAAATTTCTTTCTCATGTCTGCATTCAACTCATAGAGTTGAAGATTCCCTTTCATAGAGCAGGTTTGAAACACTCTTTCTGGAGTATCTGGATGTGGACATTTGGAGCGCTTTGATGCCTACGGTGAAAAAGTAAATATCTTCCCATAAAAACGAGACAGAAGGATTCTGAGAGACAAGTTTGTGATGTGTGTACTCAGCTAACAGAGTGGAACCTTTCTTTTTACAGAGCAGCTTTGAAACTCTATTTTTGTGGATTCTGCAAATGGATATTTAGATTGCTTTAATGATATCGTTGGAAAAGGGAATATCGTCATACAAAATCTGGACAGAAGCATTCTCACAAACTTCTTTGTGATGTGTGTCCTCAACTAACAGAGTTGAAACTTTCTTTTGATGCAGCAGTTTGGAAACACTCTTTTTGTAGAAACTGTAAGTGGATATTTGGATAGCTCTAACGATTTCGTTGGAAACGGGAATATCATCATCTAAAATCTAGACAGAAGCACTATTAGAAACTACTTGGTGATATCTGCATTCAAGTCACAGAGTTGAACATTCCCTTACTTTGAGCACGTTTGAAACACTCTTTTGGAAGAATCTGGAAGTGGACATTTGGAGCGCTTTGATGCCTTTGGTGAAAAGGAAACGTCTTCCAATAAAAGCCAGACAGAAGCATTCTCAGAAACTTGTTCGTGGTGTGTGTACTCAACTAAAAGAGTTGAACCTTTCTATTGATAGAGCAGTTTTGAAACACTCTTTTTGTGGATTCTGCAAGTGGATATTTGGATTGCTTTGAGGATTTCGTTGGAAGCGGGAATTCGTATAAACACTAGACAGCAGCATTCCCAGAATTTTCTTTCGGATATTTCCATTCAACTCATAGAGATGAACATGGCCTTTCATATTGAAACACTCTTTTTGTAGTTTGTGGAAGTGGACAGTTCGATCGCCTTGACGCCTACGGTGAAAAAGGAAATATCTTCCCATAAAAAATAGACAGAAGCATTCTCAGAAACTTGTTGGTGATATGTGTCCTCAACTAACAGAGTTGAACTTTGCCATTGATAGAGAGCAGTTTTGAAACACTCTTTTTGTGGAATCTGCAAGTGGATATTTGGATAGCTTGGAGGATTTCGTTGGAAGCGGGAATTCAAATAAAAGGTAGACAGCAGGATTCTGAGAAACAAGTTTGTGATGTGTGTACTCAGCTAACAGAGTGGAACCTCTCTTTTGATGCAGCAGTTTGGAAACACTCTTTTTGTAGAAACTGTAAGTGGATATTTGGATAGCTCTAATTATTTCGTTGGAAACGGGAATATCATCATCTAAAATCTAGACAGAAAGCACTCTCAGGAAACTACTTTGTGATATCTGCATTCAAGTCACAGAGTTGAACATTCGCTTTCTTAGAGCACGTTTGAAACACTCTTTTTGTAGTGTCTGGAAGTGGACATTTGGAGCGCTTTGATGGCTTTGGTGAAAAAGGGAACGTCTTCCCATAAAAACTAGACAGAAGCATTCTCAGAAACTTGTTTGTGATGTGTGTACCCAGCCAAAGGAGTTGAACGTTTCTATTGATAGAGCAGTTTTGAAACACTCTTGTTGTGGAAAATGCAAGTGGATATTTGGATAGCTTGGAGGATTTCGTTGGAAGCGGGAATTCAAATAAAAGGTAGACAGCAGCATTCTCAGAAATTTCTTTCTGATGTCTGCATTCAACTCATAGAGTTGAAGATTCCCTTTCATAGAGCAGGTTTGAAACACTCGTTCTGGAGTATCTGGATGTGGACATTTGGAGCGCTTTCGATGCCTACGGTGGAAAAGTAAATATCTTCCCATAAAAACGAGACAGAAGGATTCTCAGAAACAAGTTTGTGATGTGTGTACTCAGCTAACAGAGTGGAACCTTTCTTTTTACAGAGCAGCTTTGAAACTCTATTTTTGTGGATTCTGCAAATTGATATTTAGATTGCTTTAACGATATCGTTGGAAAAGGGAATATGGTCATACAAAATCTAGACAGAAGCATTCTCACAAACTTCTTTGTGATGTGTGTCCTCAACTAACAGAGTTGAACCTTTCTTTTGATGCAGCAATTTGGAAACACCCTTTTGGTAGAAACTGTAAGTGGATATTTGGATAGCTCTAACGATTTCGTTGGAAACGGGAATATCATCATCTAAAATCTAGACAGAAGCACTATTAGAAACTACTTGGTGATATCTGCATTCAAGTCTCAGAGTTGAACATTCCCTTACTTCGAACACGTTTGAAACACTCTTTTGGAAGAATCTGGAAGTGGACATTTGGAGCGCTTTGATGCCTTTGGTGAAAAGGAAACGTCTTCCAATAAAAGCCAGACAGAAGCATTCTCAGAAACTTGTTTGTGATGTGTGTACTCAACTAAAAGAGTTGAACCTTTCTATTGATAGAGCAGTTTTGAAACACTCTTTTTGTGGATTCTGCAAGTGGATATTTGGATTGCTTTGAGGATTTCGTTGGAAGCGGGAATTCGTATAAAAACTAGACAGCAGCATTCCCAGAAATTTCTTTCGGATATTTCCATTCGACTCATAGAGATGAACATGGCCTTTCATAGAGCAGGTTTGAAACACTCTTTTTGTAGTTTGTGGAAGTGGACATTTCGATCGCCTTGACGCCTACGGTGAAGAAGGAAATATCTTCCCATAAAAAATAGACAGAAGCATTCTCAGAAACTTGTTGGTGATATGTGTCCTCAACTAACAGAGTTGAACTTTGCCATTGATAGAGAGCAGTTTTGAAACACTCTTTTTGTGGAATCTGCAAGTGGATATTTGGATAGCTTGGAGGATTTCGTTGGAAGCGGGAATTCAAATAAAAGGTAGACAGCAGCATTCTCAGAAATTTCTTTCTGATGTCTGCATTCAACTCATAGAGTTGAAGATTCCCTTTCATAGAGCAGGTTTGAAACACTCTTTCTGGAGTATCTGGATGTGGACATTTGGAGCGCTTTGATGCCTACGGTGAAAAAGTAAATATCTTCCAATAAAAACGAGACAGAAGGATTCTGAGAAACAAGTTTGTGATGTGTGTACTCAGCTAACAGAGTGGAACCTCTCTTTTGATGCAGCAGTTTGGAAACACTCTTTTTGTAGAAACTGTAAGTGGATATTTGGATAGCTCTAATGATTTCGTTGGAAACGGGAATATCATCATCTAAAATCTAGACAGAGGCACTCTCAGAAACTACTGTGTGATATCTGCATTCAAGTCACAGAGTTGAACATTCGCTTTCTTAGAGCACGTTTGAAACACTCTTTTTGTAGTGTCTGGAAGTGGACATTTGGAGCGCTTTGATTCCTTTGGTGAAAAAGGGAATGTCTACCCATAAAAACTAGACAGAAGCATTCTCAGAAACTTGTTTGTGATGTGTGTACCCAGCCAAAGGAGTTGAACATTTCTATTGATAGAGCAGTTTTGAAACACTCTTGTTGTGGAAAATGCAGGTGGATATTTGGATAGCTTGGAGGATTTCGTTGGAAGCGGGAATTCAAATAAAAGGTAGACAGCAGCATTATCAGAAATTTCTTTCTGATGTCTGCATTCAACTCATAGAGTTGAAGATTCCCTTTCATAGAGCAGGTTTGAAACACTCGTTCTGGAGTATCTGGATGTGGACATTTGGAGCGCTTTGATGCCTACGGTGGAAAAGTAAATATCTTCCCATAAAAACGAGACAGAAGGATTCTGAGAGACAAGTTTGTGATGTGTGTACTCAGCTAACAGAGTGGAACCTTTCTTTTTACAGAGCAGCTTTGAAACTCTATTTTTGTGGATTCTGCAAATGGATATTTAGATTGCTTTAACGATATCGTTGGAAAAGGGAATATCGTCATACAAAATCTGGACAGAAGCATTCTCACAAACTTCTTTGTGATGTGTGTCCTCAACTAACAGAGTTGAACCTTTCTTTTGATGCAGCAGTTTGGAATCACCCTTTTGGTAGAAACTGTAACTTGATATTTGGATAGCTCTAACGATTTCGTTGGAAACGGGAATATCATCATCTAAAATCTAGACAGAAGCACTATTAGAAACTACTTGGTGATATCTGCATTCAAGTCACAGAGTTGAACATTCCCTTACTTTGAGCACGTTTCAAACACTCTTTTGGAAGAATCTGGAAGTGGACATTTGGAGCGCTTTGATGCCTTTGGTGAAAAGGAAACGTCTTCCAATAAAAGCCAGACAGAAGCATTCTCAGGAAACTTGTTTGTGATGTGTGTACTCAACTAAAAGAGTTGAACCTTTCTATTGATAGAGCAGTTTTGAAACACTCTTTTTGTGGATTCTGCAAGTGGATATTTGGATTGCTTTGAGGATTTCGTTGGAAGCGGGAATTCGTATAACAACTAGACAGCAGCATTCCCAGAAATTTCTTTCGGATATTTCCATTCAACTCATAGAGATGAACATGGCCTTTCATAGAGCAGGTTTGAAACACTCTTTTTGTAGTTTGTGGAAGTGGACATTTCGATCGCCTTGACGCCTACGGTGAAAAAGGAAATATCTTCCCATAAAAAATAGACAGAAGCATTCTCAGAAACTTGTTGGTGATATGTGTCCTCAACTAACAGAGTTGAACTTTGCCATTGATAGAGAGCAGTTTAGAAACACTCTTTTTGTGGAATCTGCAAGTGGATATTTGGATAGCTTGGAGGATTTCGTTGGAAGCGGGAATTCAAATAAAAGGTAGACAGCAGCATTCTCAGAAATTTCTTTCTGATGTCTGCATTCAACTCATAGAGTTGAAGATTCCCTTTCATAGAGCAGGTTTGAAACACTCTGGAGTATCTGGATGTGGACATTTGGAGCGCTTTGATGCCTACGGTGAAAAAGTAAATATCTTCCCATAAAAACGACACAGAAGGATTCTCAGAAACAAGTTTGTGATGTGTGTACTCAGCTAACAGAGTGGAACCTCTCTTTTGATGCAGCAGTTTGGAAACACTCTTTTTGTAGAAACTGTAAGTGGATATTTGGATAGCTCTAATGATTTCGTTGGAAACGGGAATATCATCATCTAAAATCTAGACAGAAGCACTCTCAGAAACTACTTTGTGATATCTGCATTCAAGTCACAGAGTTGAACGTTCGCTTTCTTAGAGCACGTTTGAAACACTCTTTTTGTAGTGTCTGGAAGTGGACATTTGGAGTGCTTTGATTCCTTTGGTGAAAAAGGGAATGTCTACCCATAAAAACTAGACAGAAGCATTCTCAGAAACTTGTTTGTGATGTGTGTACCCAGCCAAAGGAGTTGAACATTTCTATTGATAGAGCAGTTTTGAAACACTCTTGTTGTGGAAAATGCAGGTGGATATTTGGATAGCTTGGAGGATTTCGTTGGAAGCGCGAATTCAAATAAAAGGTAGACAGCAGCATTCTCAGAAATTTCTTTCTGATGTCTGCATTCAACTCATAGAGTTGAAGATTCCCTTTCATAGAGCAGGTTTGAAACACTCGTTCTGGAGTATCTGGATGTGGACATTTGGAGCGTTTGATGCCTACGGTGGAAAAGTAAATATCTTCCCATAAAAACGAGACAGAAGGATTCTGAGAAACAAGTTTGTGATGTGTGTACTCAGCTAACAGAGTGGAACCTTTCTTTTTACAGAGCAGCTTTGAAACTCTATTTTTGTGGATTCTGCAAATGGATATTTAGATTGCTTTAACGATATCGTTGGAAAAGGGAATATCGTCATACAAAATCTAGACAGAAGCATTCTCACAAACTTCTTTGTGATGTGTGTCCTCAACTAACAGAGTTGAACCTTTCTTTTGATGCAGCAGTTTGGAAACACTCTTTTTGTAGAAACTGTAAGTGGATATTTGGATAGCTCTAACGATTTCGTTGGAAACGGGAATATCATCATCTAAAATCTAGACAGAAGCACTATTAGAAACTACTTGGTGATATCTGCATTCAAGTCACAGAGTTGAACATTCCCTTACTTTGAGCACGATTGAAACACTCTTTTGGAAGAATCTGGAAGTGGACATTTGGAGCGCTTTGATGCCTTTGGTGAAAAGGAAACGTCTTCCAATAAAAGCCAGACAGAAGCATTCTCAGAAACTTGATCGTGATGTGTGTACTCAACTAAAAGAGTTGAACCTTTCTATTGATAGAGCAGTTTTGAAACACTCTTTTTGTGGATTCTGCAAGTGGATATTTGGATTGCTTTGAGGATTTTGTTGGAAGCGGGAATTCGTATAAACACTAGACAGCAGCATTCCCAGAAATTTCTTTTGGATATTTCCATTCAACTCATAGAGATGAACATGGCCTTTCATATTGAAACACTCTTTTTGTAGTTTGTGGAAGTGGACATTTCGATCGCCTTGACGCCTACGGTGAAAAAGGAAATATCTTCCCATAAAAAATAGACAGAAGCATTCTCAGAAACTTGTTGGTGATATGTGTCCTCAACTAACAGAGTTGAACTTTGCCATTGATAGAGAGCAGTTTTGAAACACTCTTTTTGTGGAAAATGCAGGTGGATATTTGGATAGCTTGGAGGATTTCGTTGGAAGCGGGAATTCAAATAAAAGGTAGACAGCAGCATTCTCAGAAATTTCTTTCTGATGTCTGCATTCAACACATAGAGTTGAAGATTCCCTTTCATAGAGCAGGTTTGAAACACTCTTTCTGGAGTATCTGGATGTGGACATTTGGAGCGCTTTGATGCCTACGGTGAAAAAGTAAATATCTTCCCATAAAAACGAGACAGAAGGATTCTGAGAAACAAGTTTGTGATGTGTGTACTCAGCTAACAGAGTGGAACCTCTCTTTTGATGCAGCAGTTTGGAAACACTCTTTTTGTAGAAACTGTAAGTGGATATTTGGATAGCTCTAATGATTTCGTTGGAAACGGGAATATCATCATCTAAAATCTAGACAGAAGCCCTCTCAGGAAACTACTTTGTGATATCTGCATTCAAGTCACAGAGTTGAACATTCACTTTCTTAGAGCACGTTTGAAACACTCTTTTTGTAGTGTCTGGAATTGGACATTTGGAGCGCTTTGATGCCTTTGGTGAAAAAGGGAACGTCTTCCCATAAAAACTAGACAGAAGCATTCTCAGAAACTTGTTTGTGATGTGTGTACCCAGCCAAAGGAGTTGAACATTTCTATTGATAGAGCAGTTTTGAAACACTCTTTTTGTGGAAAATGCAGGTGGATATTTGGATAGCTTGGAGGATTTCGTTGGAAGCGGGAATTCAAACAAAAGGTAGACAGCAGCATTCTCAGAAATTTCTTTCTGATGTCTGCATTCAACTCATAGAGTTGAAGATTCCCTTTCATAGAGCAGGTTTGAAACACTCTTTCTGGAGTATCTGGATGTGGACATTTGGAGCGCTTTGATGCCTACGGTGAAAAAGTAAATATCTTCCCATAAAAACGAGACAGAAGGATTCTGAGAGACAAGTTTGTGATGTGTGTACTCAGCTAACAGAGTGGAACCTTTCTTTTTACAGAGCAGCTTTGAAACTCTATTTTTGTGGATTCTGCAAATGGATATTTAGATTGCTTTAACGATATCGTTGGAAAAGGGAATATCGTCATACAAAATGCTGGACAGAAGCATTCTCACAAACTTCTTTGTGACGTGTGTCCTCAACTAACAGAGTTGAACCTTTCTTTTGATGCAGCAGTTTGGAAACACTGTTTTTGTAGCAACTGTAAGTGGATATTTGGATAGCTCTAACGATTTCGTTGGAAACGGGAATATCATCATCTAAAATCTAGACAGAAGCACTATTAGAAACTACTTGGTGATATCTGCATTCAAGTCACAGAGTAGAACATTCCCTTACTTCGAGCACGTTTGAAACACTCTTTTGGAAGAATCTGGAAGTGGACATTTGGAGCGCTTTGATGCCTTTGGTGAAAAGGAAACGTCTTCCAATAAAAGCCAGACAGAAGCATTCTCAGAAACTTGTTTGTGATGTGTGTACTCAACTAAAAGAGTTGAACCTTTCTATTGATAGAGCAGTTTTGAAACACTCTTTTTGTGGATTCTGCAAGTGGATATTTGGATTGCTTTGAGGATTTCGTTGGAAGCGGGAATTCGTATAAACACTAGACAGCAGCATTCCCAGAAATTTCTTTCGGATATTTCCATTCAACTCATAGAGATGAACATGGCCTTTCATAGAGCAGGTTTGAAACACTCTTTTTGTAGTTTGTGGAAGTGGACATTTCGATCGCCTTGACGCCTACGGTGAAAAAGGAAATATCTTCCCATAAAAATAGACAGAAGCATTCTCAGAAACTTGTTGGTGATATGTGTCCTCAACTAACAGAGTTGAACTTTGCCATTGATAGAGAGCAGTTTTGAAACACTCTTTTTGTGGAATCTGCAAGTGGATATTTGGATAGCTTGGAGGATTTCGTTGGAAGCGGGAATTCAAATAAAAGGTAGACAGCAGCATTCTCAGAAATTTCTTTGTGATGTCTGCATTCAACTCATAGAGTTGAAGATTCCCTTTCATAGAGCAGGTTTGAAACACTCGTTCTGGAGTATCTGGATGTGGACATTTGGAGCGCTTTGATGCCTACGGTGGAAAAGTAAATATCTTCCCATAAAAACGAGACAGAAGGATTCTGAGAAACAAGTTTGTGATGTGTGTACTCAGCTAACAGAGTGGAACCTCTCTTCTGATGCAGCAGTTTGGAAACACTCTTTTTGTAGAAACTGTAAGTGGATATTTGGATAGCTCTAATGATTTCGTTGGAAATGGGAATATCATCAACTAAAATCTAGACAGAAGCCCTCTCAGAAACTACTTTGTGATATCTGCATTCAAGTCACAGAGTTGAACATTCGCTTTCTTAGAGCACGTTGGAAACACTCTTTTTATAGTGTCTGGAAGTGGACATTTGGAGCGCTTTGATGCCTTTGGTGAAAAAGGGAATGTCTTCCCATAAAAACTAGACAGAAGCATTCTCAGAAACTTGTTTGTGATGTGTGTACCCAGCCAAAGGAGTTGAACATTTCTATTGATAGAGCAGTTTTGAAACACTCTTTTTGTGGAAAATGCAGGTGGATATTTGGATAGCTTGGAGGATTTCGTTGGAAGCGGGAATTCAAATAAAAGGTAGACAGCAGCATTCTCAGAAATTTCTTTCTGATGTCTGCATTCAACTCATAGAGTTGAAGATTCCCTTTCATAGAGCAGGTTTGAAACACTCTTTCTGGAGTATCTGGATGTGGACATTTGGAGCGCTTTGATGCCTACGGTGAAAAAGTAAATATCTTCCCATAAAAACGAGACAGAAGGATTCTCAGAAACAAGTTTGTGATGTGTGTACTCAGCTAACAGAGTGGAACCTTTCTTTTTACAGAGCAGCTTTGAAACCCTATTTTTGTGGATTCTGCAAATGGATATTTAGATTGCTTTAATGATATCGCTGGAAAAGGGAATATGGTCATACAAAATCTAGACAGAAGCATTCTCACAAACTTCTTTGTGATGTGTGTCCTCAACTAACAGAGTTGAACCTTTCTTTTGATGCAGCAATTTGGAAACACCCTTTTGGTAGAAACTGTAACTGGATATTTGGATAGCTCTAACGATTTCGTTGGAAACGGGAATATCATCATCAAAAGGTAGACAGAAGCACTATTAGAAACTACTTGGTGATATCTGCATTCAAGTCACAGAGTTGAACATTCCCTTACTTTGAGCACGTTTCAAACACTCTTTTGGAAGAATCTGGAAGTGGACATTTGGAGCGCTTTGATGCCTTTGGTGAAAAGGAAACGTCTTCCAATAAAAGCCAGACAGAAGCATTCTCAGAAACTTGTTTGTGATGTGTGTACTCAACTAAAAGAGTTGAACCTTTCTATTGATAGAGCAGTTTTGTAACACTCTTTTTGTGGATTCTGCAAGTGGATATTTGGATTGCTTTGAGGATTTCGTTGGAAGCGGGAATTCGTATAAAAACTAGACAGCCAGCATTCCCAGAAATTTCTTTCGGATATTTCCATTCAACTCATAGAGATG
Organism: Homo sapiens; assembly: GCF_000001405.40. Taxonomy (NCBI): domain Eukaryota; kingdom Metazoa; phylum Chordata; class Mammalia; order Primates; family Hominidae; genus Homo; species Homo sapiens. The sequence continues at coordinate 12,788,213 of NC_000021.9, forward strand.
AACATGGCCTTTCATAGAGCAGGTTTGAAACACTCTTTTTGTAGTTTGTGGAAGTGGACATTTCGATCGCCTTGACGCCTACGGTGAAAAAGGAAATATCTTCCCATAAAAAATAGACAGAAGCATTCTCAGAAACTTGTTGGTGATATGTGTCCTCAACTAACAGAGTTGAACTTTGCCATTGATAGAGAGCAGTTTTGAAACACTCTGTTTGTGGAATCTGCAAGTGGATATTTGGATAGCTTGGAGGATTTCGTTGGAAGCGGGAATTCAAATAAAAGGTAGACAGCAGCATTCTCAGAAATTTCCTTCTGATGTCTGCATTCAACTCATAGAGTTGAAGATTCCCTTTCATAGAGCAGGTTTGAAACACTCTTTCTGGAGTATCTGGATGTGGACATTTGGAGCGCTTTGATGCCTACGGTGAAAAAGTAAATATCTTCCCAGAAAAACGAGACAGAAGGATTCTGAGAAACAAGTTTGTGATGTGTGTACTCAGCTAACAGAGTGGAACCTCTCTTTTGATGCAGCAGTTTGGAAACACTCTTTTTGTAGAAACTGTAAGTGGATATTTGGATAGCTCTAATGATTTCGTTGGAAACGGGAATATCATCATCTAAAATCTAGACAGAAGCCCTCTCAGAAACTACTTTGTGATATCTGCATTCAAGTCACAGAGTTGAACATTCGCTTTCTTAGAGCACGTTGGAAACACTCTTTTTGTAGTGTCTGGAAGTGGACATTTGGAGTGCTTTGATGCCTTTGGTGAAAAAGGGAATGTCTTCCCATAAAAACTAGACAGAAGCATTCTCAGAAACTTGTCTGCGATGTGTGTACCCAGCTAAAGGAGTTGAACATTTCTATTGATAGAGCAGTTTTGAAACACTCTTTTTGTGAAAAATGCAAGTGGATATTTGGATAGCTTGGAGGATTTCGTTGGAAGCGGGAATTCAAATAAAAGGTAGACAGCAGCATTCTCAGAAAATTTCTTTCTGATGTCTGCATTCAACTCATAGAGTTGAAGATTCCCTTTCATAGAGCAGGTTTGAAACACTCTTTCTGGAGTATCTGGATGTGGACATTTGGAGCGCTTTGATGCCTACGGTGAAAAAGTAAATATCTTCCCATAAAAACGAGACAGAAGGATTCTGAGAAACAAGTTTGTGATGTGTGTACTCAGCTAACAGAGTGGAACCTTTCTTTTTACAGAGCAGCTTTGAAACTCTATTTTTGTGGATTCTGCAAATTGATATTTAGATTGCTTTAACGATATCGTTGGAAAAGGGAATATCGTCATACAAAATCTAGACAGAAGCATTCTCACAAACTTCTTTGTGATGTGTGTCCTCAACTAACAGAGTTGAACCTTTCTTTTGATGCAGCAGTTTGGAAACACTCTTTTTGTAGAAACTAAGTGGATATTTGGATAGCTCTAACGATTTCGTTGGAAACGGGAATATCATCATCTAAAATCTAGACAGAAGCACTATTAGAAACTACTTGGTGATATCTGCATTCAAGTCACAGAGTTGAACATTCCCTTACTTTGAGCACGTTTCAAACACTCTTTTGGAAGAATCTGGAAGTGGACATTTGGAGCGCTTTGATGCCTTTGGTGAAAAGGAAACGTCTTCCAATAAAAGCCAGACAGAAGCATTCTCAGAAACTTGTTTGTGATGTGTGTACTCAACTAAAAGAGTTGAACCTTTCTATTGATAGAGCAGTTTTGAAACACTCTTTTTGTGGATTCTGCAAGTGGATATTTGGATTGCTTTGAGGATTTCGTTGGAAGCGGGAATTCGTATAAAAACTAGACAGCAAGCATTCCCAGAAATTTCTTTCGGATATTTCCATTCAACTCATAGAGATGAACATCGCCTTTCATAGAGCAGGTTTGAAACACTCTTTTTGTAGTTTGTGGAAGTGGACATTTCGATCGCCTTGACGCCTATGGTGAAAAAGGAAATATCTTCCCATAAAAAATAGACAGAAGCATTCTCAGAAACTTGTTGGTGATATGTGTTCTCAACTAACAGAGTTGAACTTTGCCATTGATAGAGAGCAGTTTTGAAACACTCTTTTTGTGGAATCTGCAAGTGGATATTTGGATAGCTTGGAGGATTTCGTTGGAAGCGGGAATTCAAATAAAAGGTAGACAGCAGCATTCTCAGAAATTTCTTTCTGATGTCTGCATTCAACTCATAGAGTTGAAGATTCCCTTTCATAGAGCAGGTTTGAAACACTCTTTCTGGAGTATCTGGATGTGGACATTTGGAGCGCTTTGATGCCTACGGTGGAAAAGTAAATATCTTCCCATAAAAACGAGACAGAAGGATTCTCAGAAACAAGTTTGTGATGTGTGTACTCAGCTAACAGAGTGGAACCTCTCTTCTGATGCAGAAGTTTGGAAACACTCTTTTTGTAGAAACTGTAAGTGGATATTTGGATAGCTCTAATGATTTCGTTGGAAACGGGAATATCATCATCTAAAATCTAGACAGAAGCCCTCTCAGAAACTACTTTGTGATATCTGCATTCAAGTCACAGAGTTGAACATTCGCTTTCTTAGAGCACGTTTGAAACACTCTTTTTGTAGTGTCTGGAAGTGGACATTTGGAGCGCTTTGATTCCTTTTGTGAAAAAGGGAATGTCTACCCATAAAAACTAGACAGAAGCATTCTCAGAAACTTGTTTGTGATGTGTGTACCCAGCCAAAGGAGTTGAACATTTCTATTGATAGAGCAGTTTTGAAACACTCTTGTTGTGGAAAATGCAGGTGGATATTTGGATAGCTTGGAGGATTTCGTTGGAAGCGGGAATTCAAATAAAAGGTAGACAGCAGCATTCTCAGAAATTTCTTTCTGATGTCTGCATTCAACTCATAGAGTTGAAGATTCCCTTTCCTAGAGCAGGTTTGAAACACTCTTTCTGGAGTATCTGGATGTGGACATTTGGAGCGCTTTGATGCCTACGGTGAAAAAGTAAATATCTTCCCATAAAAACGAGACAGAAGGATTCTCAGAAACAAGTTTGTGATGTGTATACTCAGCTAACAGAGTGGAACCTTTCTTTTTACAGAGCAGCTTTGAAACTCTATTTTTGTGGATTCTGCAAATTGATATTTAGATTGCTTTAACGATATCGTTGGAAAAGGGAATATCGTCATACAAAATCTAGACAGAAGCATTCTCAGAAACTTCTTTGTGATGTGTGTCCTCAACTAACAGAGTTGAACCTTTCTTTTGATGCAGCAGTTTGGAAACACTCTTTTTGTAGAAACTGTAAGTGGATATTTGGATAGCTCTAACGATTTCATTTGAAACGGGAATATCATCATCTAAAATCTAGACAGAAGCAGTATTAGCAACTACTTGGTGATATCTGCATTCAAGTCAGAGAGTAGAACGTTACCATAGTTTGAGCACGTTTGAAACACTCTTTTTGTAGAATCTGGAATTGGACATTTGGAGCGCTTTGATGCCATTGGTGAAAAGGAAACGTCTTCCCATAAAAGCTAGACAGAAGCATTCTCAGAAACTTGTTTGTGATGTGTGTACTCAACTAAAAGAGTGGAACCTTTCTATTGATAGAGCAGTTTTGAAACACTCTTTTTGTGGATTCTGCAAGTGGATATTTGGATTGCTTTGAGGATTTCGTTGGAAGCGGGAATTCGTATAAAAACTAGACAGCAGCATTCCCAGAAATTTCTTTCGGATATTTCCATTCAACTCATAGAGATGAACATGGCCTTTCATAGAGCAGGTTTGAAACACTCTTTTTGTAGTTTGTGGAAGTGGACATTTCGATCGCCTTGACGCCTACGGTGAAAAAGGAAATATCTTCCCATAAAAAATAGACAGAAGCATTCTCAGAAACTTGTTGGTGATATGTGTCCTCAACTAACAGAGTTGAACTTTGCCATTGATAGAGAGCAGTTTTGAAACACTCTTTTTGTGGAATCTGCAAGTGGATATTTGGATAGCTTGGAGGATTTCGTTGGAAGCGGGAATTCAAATAAAAGGTAGACAGCAGCATTCTCAGAAATTTCTTTCTGATGTCTGCATTCAACTCATAGAGTTGAAGATTCCCTTTCATAGAGCAGGTTTGAAACACTCTTTCTGGAGTATCTGGATGTGGACATTTGGAGCGCTTTGATGCCTACGGTGAAAAAGTAAATATCTTCCCATAGAAACGAGACAGAAGGATTCTGAGAAACAAGTTTGTGATGTGTGTACTCAGCTAACAGAGTGGAACCTCTCTTTTGATGCAGCAGTTTGGAAACACTCTTTTTGTAGAAACTGTAAGTGGATATTTGGATAGCTCTAATGATTTCGTTGGAAACGGGAATATCATCATCTAAAATCTAGACAGAAGTCCTCTCAGAAACTACTTTGTGATATCTGCATTCAAGTCACAGAGTTGAACATTCGCTTTCTTAGAGCACGTTGGAAACACTCTTTTTGTAGTGTCTGGAAGTGGACATTTGGAGCGCTTTGATGCCTTTGGTGAAAAAGGGAATGTCTTCCCATAAAAACTAGACAGAAGGATTCTCAGAAACTTGTTTGTGATGTGTGTACCCAGCTAAAGGAGTTGAACATTTCTATTGATAGAGCAGTTTTGAAACACTCTTTTTGTGGAAAATGCAAGTGGATATTTGGATAGGTTGGAGGATTTCGTTGGAAGCGGGAATTCAAATAAAAGGTAGACAGCAGCATTCTCAGAAATTTCTTTCTGATGTCTGCATTCAACTCATAGAGTTGAAGATTCCCTTTCATAGAGCAGGTTTGAAACACTCTTTCTGGAGTATCTGGATGTGGACATTTGGAGCGCTTTGATGCCTACGGTGAAAAAGTAAATATCTTCCCATAAAAACGAGACAGAAGGATTCTGAGAGACAAGTTTGTGATGTGTGTACTCAGCTAACAGAGTGGAACCTTTCTTTTTACAGAGCAGCTTTGAAACTCTATTTTTGTGGATTCTGCAAATGGATATTTAGATTGCTTTAATGATATCGCTGGAAAAGGGAATATGGTCATACAAAATCTAGACAGAAGCATTCTCACAAACTTCTTTGTGATGTGTGTCCTCAACTAACAGAGTTGAACCTTTCTTTTGATGCAGCAGTTTGGAAACACTCTTTTTGTAGAAACTGTAAGTGGATATTTGGATAGCTCTAACGATTTCGTTGGAAACGGGAATATCATCATCTAAAATCTAGACAGAAGCACTATTAGAAACTACTTGGTGATATCTGCATTCAAGTCACAGAGTTGAACATTCCCTTACGTTGAGCACGTTTGAAACACTCTTTTGGAAGAATCTGGAAGTGGACATTTGGAGCGCTTTGATGCCTTTGGTGAAAAGGAAACGTCTTCCAATAAAAGCCAGACAGAAGCATTCTCAGAAACTTGTTTGTGATGTGTGTACTCAACTAAAAGAGTTGAACCTTTCTATTGATAGAGCAGTTTTGAAACACTCTTTTTGTGGATTCTGCAAGTGGATATTTGGATTGCTTTGAGGATTTCGTTGGAAGCGGGAATTCGTATAAAAACTAGACAGCAGCATTCCCAGAAATTTCTTTCGGATATTTCCATTCGACTCATAGAGATGAACATGGCCTTTCATAGCAGCAGGTTTGAAACACTCTTTTTGTAGTTTGTGGAAGTGGACATTTCGATCGCCTTGACGCCTACGGTGAAAAAGGAAATATCTTCCCATAAAAAATAGACAGAAGCATTCTCAGAAACTTGTTTGTGATGTGTGTACCCAGCCAAAGGAGTTGAACATTTCTATTGATAGAGCAGTTTTGAAACACTCTTGTTGTGGAAAATGCAGGTGGATATTTGGATAGCTTGGAGGATTTCGTTGTAAGCGGGAATTCAAATAAAAGGTAGACAGCAGCATTCTCAGAAATTTCTTTCTGATGTCTGCATTCAACTCATAGAGTTGAACATTCCCTTTCATAGAGCAGGTTTGAAACAGTCTTTCTGGAGTATCTGGATGTGGACATTTGGAGCGCTTTGATGCCTACGGTGAAAAAGTAAATATCTTCCCATAAAAACGAGACAGAAGGATTCTGAGAAACAAGTTTGTGATGTGTGTACTCAGCTAACAGAGTGGAACCTCTCTTTTGATGCAGCAGTTTGGAAACACTCTTTTTGTAGAAACTGTAATTGGATATTTGGATAGCTCTAATGATTTCGTTGGAAACGGGAATATCATCATCTAAAATCTAGACAGAAGCCCTCTCAGAAACTACTTTGTGATATCTGCATTCAAGTCACAGAGTTGAACATTCGCTTTCTTAGGGCACGTTGGAAACACTCTTTTTGTAGTGTCTGGAAGTGGACATTTGGAGCGCTTTGATGCCTTTGGTGAAAAAGGGAACGTCTTCCCATAAAAACTAGACAGAAGCATTCTCAGAAACTTGTTTGTGATGTGTGTACCCAGCTAAAGGAGTTGAACATTTCTATTGATAGAGCAGTTTTGAAACACTCTTTTTGTGGAAAATGCAAGTGGATATTTGGATAGCTTGGAGGATTTCGTTGGAAGCGGGAATTCAAATAAAAGGTAGACAGCAGGATTCTCAGAAACAAGTTTGTGATGTGTGAACTCAGCTAACAGAGTGGAACCTTTCTTTTTACAGAGCAGCTTTGAAACTCTATTTTTGTGGATTCTGCAAATTGATATTTAGATTGCTTTAACGATATCGTTGGAAAAGGGAATATGGTCATACAAAATCTAGACAGAAGCATTCTCACAAACTTCTTTGTGATGTGTGTCCTCAACTAACAGAGTTGAACCTTTCTTTTGATGCAGCAATTTGGAAACACCCTTTTGGTAGAAACTGTAACTGGACATTTGGATAGCTCTAACGATTTCGTTGGAAACGGGAATATCATCATCTAAAATCTAGACAGAAGCACTATTAGAAACTACTTGGTGATATCTGCATTCAAGTCACAGAGTAGAACATTCCCTTACTTCGAGCACGTTTGAAACACTCTTTTGGAAGAATCTGGAAGTGGACATTTGGAGCGCTTTGATGCCTTTGGTGAAAAGGAAACGTCTTCCAATAAAAGCCAGACAGAAGCATTCTCAGAAACTTGTTTGTGATGTGTGTACCCAGCCAAAGGAGTTGAACATTTCTATTGATAGAGCAGTTTTGAAACACTCTTGTTTTGGAAAATGCAGGTGGATATTTGGATAGCTTGGAGGATTTCGTTGGAAGCGGGAATTCAAATAAAAGGTAGACAGCAGCATTCCCAGAAATTTCTTTCGGATATTTCCATTCGACTCATAGAGATGAACATGGCCTTTCATAGAGCAGGTTTGAAACACTCTTTTTGTAGTTTGTGGAAGTGGACATTTCGATCGCCTTGACGCCTACGGTGAAAAAGGAAATATCTTCCCATAAAAAATAGACAGAAGCATTCTCAGAAACTTGTTGGTGATATGTGTCCTCAACTAACAGAGTTGAACTTTGCCATTGATAGAGAGCAGTTTTGAAACACTCTTTTTGTGGAATCTGCAAGTGGATATTTGGATAGCTTGGAGGATTTCGTTGGAAGCGGGAATTCAAATAAAAGGTAGACAGCAGCATTCTCAGAAATTTCTTTCTGATCTCTGCATTCAACTCATAGAGTTGAAGATTCCCTTTCATAGAGCAGGTTTGAAACACTCTTTCTGGAGTATCTGGATGTGGACATTTGGAGCGCTTTGATGCCTACGGTGAAAAAGTAAATATCTTCCCATAAAAACGAGACAGAAGGATTCTGAGAAACAAGTTTGTGATGTGTGTACTCAGCTAACAGAGTGGAACCTCTCTTTTGATGCAGCAGTTTGCAAACACTCTTTTTGTAGAAACTGTAAGTGGATATTTGGATAGCTCTAATGATTTCGTTGGAAACGGGAATATCATCATCTAAAATCTAGACAGAAGCACTCTCAGAAACTACTGTGTGATATCTGCATTCAAGTCACAGAGTTGAACATTCGCTTTCTTAGAGCACGTTTGAAACACTCTTTTTGTAGTGTCTGGAAGTGGACATTTGGAGCGCTTTGATGCCTTTGGTGAAAAAGGGAATGTCTACCCATAAAAACTAGACAGAAGCATTCTCAGAAACTTGTTTGTGATGTGTGTACCCAGCCAAAGGAGTTGAACATTTCTATTGATAGAGCAGTTTTGAAACACTCTTGTTGTGGAAAATGCAGGTGGATATTTGGATAGCTTGGAGGATTTCGTTGGAAGCGGGAATTCAAATAAAAGGTTGACAGCGGCATTCTCAGAAATTTCTTTCTGATGTCTGCATTCAACTCATAGAGTTGAAGATTCCCTTTCATAGAGCAGGTTTGAAACACTCTTTCTGGAGTATCTGGATGTGGACATTTGGAGCGCTTTGATGCCTACGGTGAAAAAGTAAATATCTTCCCATAAAAACGAGACAGAAGGATTCTGAGAAACAAGTTTGTGATGTGTGTACTCAGCTAACAGAGTGGAACCTTTCTTTTTACAGAGCAGCTTTGAAACTCTATTTTTGTGGATTCTGCAAATGGATATTTAGATTGCTTTAATGATATCGCTGGAAAAGGGAATATGGTCATACAAAATCTAGACAGAAGCACTCTCACAAACTTCTTTGTGATGTGTGTCCTCAACTAACAGAGTTGAACCTTTCTTTTGATGCAGCAATTTGGAAACACCCTTTTGGTAGAAACTGTAACTGGATATTTGGATAGCTCTAACGATTTCGTTGGAAACGGGAATATCATCATCTAAAATGTAGACAGAAGCACTATTAGAAACTACTTGGTGATATCTGCATTCAAGTCACAGAGTTGAACATTCCCTTACTTCGAGCACGTTTGAAACACTCTTTTGGAAGAATCTGGAAGTGGACATTTGGAGCGCTTTGATGCCTTTGGTGAAAAGGAAACGTCTTCCAATAAAAGCCAGACAGAAGCATTCTCAGAAACTTGTTCGTGATGTGTGTACTCAACTAAAAGAGTTGAACCTTTCTATTGATAGAGCAGTTTTGAAACACTCTTTTTGTGGATTCTGCAAGTGGATATTTGGATTGCTTTGAGGATTTCGTTGGAAGCGGGAATTCATATAAAAACTAGACAGCAGCATTCCCAGAAATTTCTTTCGGATATTTCCATTCAACTCATAGAGATGAACATGGCCTTTCATAGAGCAGGTTTGAAACACTCTTTTTGTAGTTTGTGGAAGTGGACATTTCGATCGCCTTGACGGCTACGGTGAAAAAGGAAATATCTTCCCATAAAAAATAGACAGAAGCATTCTCAGAAACTTGTTGGTGATATGTGTCCTCAACTAACAGAGTTGAACTTTGCCATTGATAGAGAGCAGTTTTGAAACACTCTTTTTGTGGAATCTGCAAGTGGATATTTGGATAGCTTGGAGGATTTCGTTGGAAGCGGGAATTCAAATAAAAGGTAGACAGCAGGATTCTGAGAAACAAGTTTGTGATGTGTGTACTCAGCTAACAGAGTGGAACCTCTCTTTTGATGCAGCAGTTTGGAAACACTCTTTTTGTAGAAACTGTAAGTGGATATTTGGATAGCTCTAATGATTTCGTTGGAAACGGGAATATCATCATCTAAAATCTAGACAGAAGCCCTCTCAGAAACTACTTTGTGATATCTGCATTCAAGTCACAGAGTTGAACATTCGCTTTCTTAGAGCACGTTTGAAACACTCTTTTTGTAGTGTCTGGAAGTGGACATTTGGAGCGCTTTGATGCCTTTGTGAAAAAGGGAACGTCTTCCCATAAAAACTAGACAGAAGCATTCTCAGAAACCTGTTTGTGATGTGTGTACCCAGCCAAAGGAGTTGAACATTTCTATTGATAGAGCAGTTTTGAAACGCTCTTTTTGTGGAAAATGCAGGTGGATATTTGGATAGCTTGGAGGATTTCGTTGGAAGCGGGAATTCAAATAAAAGGTAGACAGCAGCATTCTCAGAAATTTCTTTCTGATGTCTGCATTCAACTCATAGAGTTGAAGATTCCCTTTCATAGAGCAGGTTTGAAACACTCTTTCTGGAGTATCTGGATGTGGACATTTGGAGCGCTTTGATGCCTACGGTGAAAAAGTAAATATCTTCCCATAAAAACGAGACAGAAGGATTCTGAGAGACAAGTTTGTGATGTGTGTACTCAGCTAACAGAGTGGAACCTTTCTTTTTACAGAGCAGCTTTGAAACTCTATTTTTGTGGATTCTGCAAATGGATATTTAGATTGCTTTAATGATATCGTTGGAAAAGGGAATATGGTCATACAAAATCTAGACAGGATAAGCATTCTCACAAACTTCTTTGTGATGTGTGTCCTCAACTAACAGAGTTGAACCTTTCTTTTGATGCAGCAATTTGGAAACACCCTTTTGGTAGAAACTGTAACTGGATATTTGGATAGCTCTAACGATTTCGTTGGAAACGGGAATATCATCATCTAAAATCTAGACAGAAGCACTATTAGAAACTACTTGGTGATATCTGCATTCAAGTCACAGAGTTGAACATTCCCTTACTTCGACCACGTTTGAAACACTCTTTTGGAAGAATCTGGAAGTGGACATTTGGAGCGCTTTGATGCCTTTGGTGAAAAGGAAACGTCTTCCAATAAAAGCCAGACAGAAGCATTCTCAGAAACTTGTTCGTGATGTGTGTACTCAACTAAAAGAGTTGAACCTTTCTATTGATAGAGCAGTTTTGAAACACTCTTTTTGTGGATTCTGCAAGTGGATATTTGGATTGCTTTGAGGATTTCCGTTGGAAGCGGGAATTCGTATAAACACTAGACAGCAGCATTCCCAGAAATTTCTTTCGGATATTTCCATTCAACTCATAGAGATGAACATGGCTTTTCATAGAGCAGGTTTGAAACACTCTTTTTGTAGTTTGTGGAAGTGGACATTTCGATCGCCTTGACGCCTACGCTGAAAAAGGAAATATCTTCCCATAAAAAATAGACAGAAGCATTCTCAGAAACTTGTTGGTGATATGTGTCCTCAACTAACAGAGTTGAACTTTGCCATTGATAGAGAGCAGTTTTGAAACACTCTTTTTGTGGAATCTGCAAGTGGATATTTGGATAGCTTGGAGGATTTCGTTGGAAGCGGGAATTCAAATAAAGGGTAGACAGCAGGATTCTGAGAAACAAGTTTGTGATGTGTGTACTCAGCTAACAGAGTGGAACCTCTCTTTTGATGCAGCAGTTTGGAAACACTCTTTTTGTAGAAACTGTAAGTGGATATTTGGATAGCTCTAATGATTTCGTTGGAAACGGGAATATCATCATCTAAAATCTAGACAGAAGCCCTCTCAGAAACTACTTTGTGATATCTGCATTCAAGTCACAGAGTTGAACATTCGCTTTCTTAGAGCACGTTTGAAACACTCTTTTTGTAGTGTCTGGAAGTGGACATTTGGAGCGCTTTGATGACTTTGGTGAAAAAGGGAACGTCTTCCCATAAAAACTAGACAGAAGCATTCTCAGAAACTTGTTTGTGATGTGTGTACCCAGCCAAAGGAGTTGAACATTTCTATTGATAGAGCAGTTTTCAAACACTCTTTTTGTGGAAAATGCAGGTGGATATTTGGATAGCTTGGAGGATTTCGTTGGAAGCGGGAATTCAAATAAAAGGTAGACAGCAGCATTCTCAGAAATTTCTTTCTGATGTCTGCATTCAACTCATAGCAGTTGAAGATTCCCTTTCATAGAGCAGGTTTGAAACACTCTTTCTGGAGTATCTGGATGTGGACATTTGGAGCGCTTTGATGCCTACGGTGAAAAAGTAAATATCTTCCCATAAAAACGAGACAGAAGGATTCTCAGAAACAAGTTTGTGATGTGTGTACTCAGCTAAAAGAGTGGAACCTTTCTTTTTACAGAGCAGCTTTGAAACTCTATTTTTGTGGATTCTGCAAATTGATATTTAGATTGCTTTAACGATATCGTTGGAAAAGGGAATATCGTCATACAAAATCTAGACAGAAGCATTCTCACAAACTTCTTTGTGATGTGTGTCCTCAACTAACAGAGTTGAACCTTTCTTTTGATGCAGCAGTTTGGAAACACTCTTTTTGTAGAAACTGTAAGTGGACATTTGGATAGCTCTAACGATTTCGTTGGAAACGGGAATATCATCATCTAAAATCTAGACAGAAGCATTCTCAGAAACTTGTTGGTGATGTGTGTACTCAACTAAAAGAGTTGAACCTTTCTATTGATAGAGCAGTTTTGAAACACTCTTTTTGTGGATTCTGCAAGTGGATATTTGGATTGCTTTGAGGATTTCGTTGGAAGCGGGAATTCATATAAACACTAGACAGCAGCATTCCCAGAAATTTCTTTCGGATATTTCCATTCAACTCATAGAGATGAACATCGCCTTTCATAGAGCAGGTTTGAAACACTCTTTTTGTAGTTTGTGGAAGTGGACATTTCGATCGCCTTGACGCCTACGGTGAAAAAGGAAATATCTTCCCATAAAAAATAGACAGAAGCATTCTCAGAAACTTGTTGGTGATATGTGTCCTCAACTAACAGAGTTGAACTTTGCCATTGATAGAGAGCAGTTTTGAAACACTCTTTTTGTGGAATCTGCAAGTGGATATTTGGATAGCTTGGAGGATTTCGTTGGAAGCGGGAATTCAAATAAAAGGTAGACAGCAGCATTCTCAGGAATTTCTTTCTGATGTCTGCATTCAACTCATAGAGTTGAAGATTCCCTTTCATAGAGCAGGTTTGAAACACTCTTTCTGGAGTATCTGGATGTGGACATTTGGAGCGCTTTGATGCCTACGGTGAAAAAGTAAATCTCTTCCCATAAAAACGAGACAGAGGATTCTGAGAAACAAGTTTGTGATGTGTGTACTCAGCTAACAGAGTGGAACCTCTCTTTTGATGCAGCAGTTTGGAAACACTCTTTTTGTAGAAACTGTAAGTGGATATTTGGATAGCTCTAATGATTTCGTTGGAAACGGGAATATCATCATCTAAAATCTAGACAGAAGCCCTCTCAGAAACTACTTTGTGATATCTGCATTCAAGTCACAGAGTTGAACATTCGCTTTCTTAGAGCACGTTTGAAACACTCTTTTTGTAGTGTCTGGAAGTGGACATTTGGAGCGCTTTGATGCCTTTGGTGAAAAAGGGAACGTCTTCCCATAAAAACTAGACAGAAGCATTCTCAGAAACTTGTTTGTGATGTGTGTACCCAGCCAAAGGAGTTGAACATTTCTATTGATAGAGCAGTTTTGAAACACTCTTTTTGTGGAAAATGCAAGTGGATATTTGGATAGCTTGGAGGTTTTCGTTGGAAGCGGGAATTCAAATAAAAGGTAGACAGCAGCATTCTCAGAAATTTCTTTCTGATGTCTGCATTCAGCTCATAGAGTTGAAGATTCCCTTTCATAGAGCAGGTTTGAAACACTCTTTCTGGAGTATCTGGTTGTGGACATTTGGAGCGCTTTGATGCCTACGGTGAAAAAGTAAATATCTTCCCATAAAAACGAGACAGAAGGATTCTGAGAAACAAGTTTGTGATGTGTGTACTCAGCTAACAGAGTGGAACCTTTCTTTTTACAGAGCAGCTTTGAAACTCTATTTTTGTGGATTCTGCAAATGGATATTTAGATTGCTTTAATGATATCGCTGGAAAAGGGAATATGGTCATACAAAATCTAGACAGAAGCATTCTCACAAACTTCTTTGTGATGTGTGTCCTCAACTAACAGAGTTGAACCTTTCTTTTGATGCAGCAGTTTGGAAACACTCTTTTTGTAGAAACTGTAAGTGGATATTTGGATAGCTCTAACGATTTCGTTGGAAACGGGAATATCATCATCTAAAATCTAGACAGAAGCACTATTAGAAACTACTTGGTGATATCTGCATTCAAGTCACAGAGTAGAACATTCCCTTACTTCGAGCACGTTTGAAACACTCTTTTGGAAGAATCTGGAAGTGGACATTTGGAGCGCTTTGATGCCTTTGGTGAAAAGGAAACGTCTTCCAATAAAAGCCAGACAGAAGCATTCTCAGAAACTTGTTCGTGATGTGTGTACTCAACTAAAAGAGTTGAACCTTTCTATTGATAGCGCAGTTTTGAAACACTCTTTTTGTGGATTCTGCAAGTGGATATTTGGATTGCTTTGAGGATTTCGTTGGAAGCGGGAATTCATATAAAAACTAGACAGCAGCATTCCCAGAAATTTCTTTCGGATATTTCCATTCAACTCATAGAGATGAACATGGCCTTTCATAGAGCAGGTTTGAAACACTCTTTTTGTAGTTTGTGGAAGTGGACATTTCGATCGCCTTGACGCCTACGGTGAAAAAGGAAATATCTTCCCATAAAAAATAGACAGAAGCATTCTCAGAAACTTGTTGGTGATATGTGTCCTCAACTAACAGAGTTGAACTTTGCGATTGATAGAGAGCAGTTTTGAAACACTCTTTTTGTGGAATCTGCAAGTGGATATTTGGATAGCTTGGAGGATTTCGTTGGAAGCGGGAATTCAAATAAAAGGTAGACAGCAGCATTCTCAGAAATTTCTTTCTGATGTCTGCATTCAACTCATAGAGTTGAAGATTCCCTTTCATAGAGGAGGTTTGAAACACTCTTTCTGGAGTATCTGGACGTGGACATTTGGAGCGCTTTGATGCCTATGGTGAAAAAGTAAATATCTTCCCATAAAAACGAGACAGAAGGATTCTCAGAAACAAGTTTGTGATGTGTGTACTCAGCTAACAGAGTGGAACCTCTCTTTTGATGCAGCAGTTTGGAAATACTCTTTTTGTAGAAACTGTAAGTGGATATTTGGATAGCTCTAATGATTTCGTTGGAAACGGGAATATCATCATCTAAAATCTAGACAGAAGCACTCTCAGAAACTACTTTGTGATATCTGCATTCAAGTCACAGAGTTGAACATTCGCTTTCTTAGAGCACGTTGGAAACACTCTTTTTGTAGTGTCTGGAAGTGGACATTTGGAGCGCTTTGATGCCTTTGGTGAAAAAGGGAATGTCTTCCCATAAAAACTAGACAGAAGCATTCTCAGAAACTTGTTTGTGATGTGTGTACCCAGCTAAAGGAGTTGAACATTTCTATTGATAGAGCAGTTTTGAAACACTCTTTTTGTGGAAAATGCAAGTGGATATTTGGATAGCTTGGAGGATTTCGTTGGAAGCGGGATTTCAAATAAAAGGTAGACAGCAGCATTCTCAGAAATTTCTTTCTGATGTCTGCATTCAACTCATAGAGTTGAAGATTCCCTTTCATAGAGCAGGTTTGAAACACTCTTTCTGGAGTATCTGGATGTGGACATTTGGAGCGCTTTGATGCCTACGGTGAAAAAGTAAATATCTTCCCATAAAAACGAGAGAGAAGGATTCTCAGAAACAAGTTTGCGATGTGTGTACTCAGCTAAAAGAGTGGAACCTTTCTTTTTACAGAGCAGCTTTGAAACTCTATTGTTGTGGATTCTGCAAATTGATATTTAGATTGCTTTAACGATATCGTTGGAAAAGGGAATACCGTCATACAAAATCTAGACAGAAGCATTCTCACAAACTTCTTTGTGATGTGTGTCCTCAACTAACAGAGTTGAACCTTTCTTTTGATGCAGCAATTTGGAAACACCCTTTTGGTAGAAACTGTAAGTGGATATTTGGATAGCTCTAACGATTTCGTTGGAAACGGGAATATCATCATCTAAAATCTAGACAGAAGCACTATTAGAAACTACTTGGTGATATCTGCATTCAAGTCACAGAGTTGAACATTCCCTTACTTTGAGCACGTTTGAAACACTCTTTTGGAAGAATCTGGAAGTGGACATTTGGAGCGCTTTGATGCCTTTGGTGAAAAGGAAACGTCTTCCAATAAAAGCCAGACAGAAGCATTCTCAGAAACTTGTTGGTGATGTATGTACTCAACTAAAAGAGTTGAACCTTTCTATTGATAGAGCAGTTTTGAAACACTCTTTTTGTGGATTCTGCAAGTGGATATTTGGATTGCTTTGAGGATTTCGTTGGAAGCGGGAATTCATATAAAAACAAGACAGCAGCATTCCCAGAAATTTCTTTCGGATATTTCCATTCAACTCATTGAGATGAACATCGCCTTTCATAGAGCAGGTTTGAAACACTCTTTTTGTAGTTTGTGGAAGTGGACATTTCGATCGCCTTGACGCCTACAGTGAAAAAGGAAATATCTTCCCATAAAAAATAGACAGAAGCATTCTCAGAAACTTGTTGGTGATATGTGTCCTCAACTAACAGAGTTGAACTTTGCCATTGATAGAGAGCAGTTTTGAAACACTCTTTTTGTGGAATCTGCAAGTGGATATTTGGATAGCTTGGAGGATTTCGTTGGAAGCGGGAATTCAAATAAAAGGTAGACAGCAGCATTCTCAGAAATTTCTTTCTGATGTCTGCATTCAACTCATAGAGTTGAAGATTCCCTTTCATAGAGCAGGTTTGAAACACTCTTTCTGGAGTATCTGGATGTGGACATTTGGAGCGCTTTGATGTCTACGGTGGAAACGTAAATATCTTCCCATAAAAACGAGACAGAAGGATTCTGAGAAACAAGTTTGTGATGTGTGTACTCAGCTAACAGAGTGGAACCTCTCTTTTGATGCAGCAGTTTGGAAACACTCTTTTTGTAGAAACTGTAAGTGGATATTTGGATAGCTCTAATGATTTCGTTGGAAACGGGAATATCATCATCTAAAATCTAGACAGAAGCCCTCTCAGAAACTACTTTGTGATATCTGCATTCAAGTCACAGAGTTGAACATTCGCTTTCTTAGAGCACGTTGGAAACACTCTTTTTGTAGTGTCTGGAAGTGGACATTTGGAGCGCTTTGTTGCCTTTGGTGAAAAAGGGAACGTCTTCCCATAAAAACTAGACAGAAGCATTCTCAGAAACTTGTTTGTGATGTGTGTACCCAGCCAAAGGGAGTTGAACATTTCTATTGATAGAGCAGTTTTGAAACACTCTTTTTGTGGAAAATGCAAGTGGATATTTGGATAGCTTGGAGGATTTCGTTGGAAGCGGGAATTCAAATAAAAGGTAGACAGCAGCATTCTCAGAAATTTCTTTCTGATGTCTGCATTCAACTCATAGAGTTGAAGATTCCCTTTCATAGAGCAGGTTTGAAACACTCTTTCTGGAGTATCTGGATGTGGACATTTGGAGCGCTTTGATGCCTACGGTGAAAAAGTAAATATCTTCCCATAAAAACGAGACAGAAGGATTCTGAGAAACAAGTTTGTGATGTGTGTACTCAGCTAACAGAGTGGAACCTTTCTTTTTACAGAGCAGCTTTGAAACTCTATTTTTGTGGATTCTGCAAATGGATATTTAGATTGCTTTAATGATATCGTTGGAAAAGGGAATATCGTCATACAAAATACTAGACAGAAGCATTCTCACAAACTTACTTTGTGATGTGTGTCCTCAACTAACAGAGTTGAACCTTTCTTTTGATGCAGCAATTTGGAAACACCCTTTTGGTAGAAACTGTAACTGGATATTTGGATAGCTCTAACGATTTCGTTGGAAAAGGGAATATCATCATCTAAAATGTAGACAGAAAGCACTATTAGAAACTACTTGGTGATATCTGCATTCAAGTCACAGAGTTGAACATTCCCTTACTTTGAGCACGTTTGAAACACTCTTTTGGAAGAATCTGGAAGTGGACATTTGGAGCGCTTTGATGATGCCTTTGGTGAAAAGGAAACGTCTTCCAATAAAAGCCAGACAGAAGCATTCTCAGAAACTTGTTTGTGATGTGTGTACTCAACTAAAAGAGTTGAACCTTTCTATTGATAGAGCAGTTTTGAAACACTCTTTTTGTGGATTCTGCAAGTGGATATTTGGATTGCTTTGAGGATTTCGTTGGAAGCGGGAATTCGTATAAAAACTAGACAGCAGCATTCCCAGAAATTTCTTTCGTATATTTCCATTCAACTCATAGAGATGAACATGGCCTTTCATAGAGCAGGTTTGAAACACTCTTTTTGTAGTTTGTGGAAGTGGACATTTCGATCGCCTTGACGCCTACGGTGAAAAAGGAAATATCTTCCCATAAAAAATAGACAGAAGCATTCTCAGAAACTTGTTGGTGATATGTGTCCTCAACTAACAGAGTTGAACTTTGCCATTGATAGAGAGCAGTTTTGAAACACTCTTTTTGTGGAATCTGCAAGTGGATATTTGGATAGCTTGGAGGATTTCGTTGGAAGCGGGAATTCAAATAAAAGGTAGACAGCAGCATTCTCAGAAATTTCTTTCTGATGTCTGCATTCAACTCATAGAGTTGAAGATTCCCTTTCATAAAGCAGGTTTGAAACACTCTTTCTGGAGTATCTGGATGTGGACATTTGGAGCGCTTTGAGGCCTAAGGTGAGAAAGTAAATATCTTCCCATAAAAACGAGACAGAAAGGATTCTCAGAAACAAGTTTGTGATGTGTGTACTCAGCTAACAGAGTGGAACCTCTCTTTTGATGCAGCAGTTTGGAAACACTCTTTTTGTAGAAACCGTAAGTGGATATTTGGATAGCTCTAATGATTTCGTTGGAAACGGGAATATCATCATCTAAAATCTAGACAGAAGCCCTCTCAGAAACTACTTTGTGATTTCTGCCTTCAAGTCACAGAGTTGAACATTCGCTTTCTTAGAGCACGTTGGAAACACTCTTTTTGTAGTGTCTGGAAGTGGACATTTGGAGCGCTTTGATTCCTTTGGTGAAAAAGGGAATGTCTACCCATAAAAACTAGACAGAAGCATTCTCAGAAACTTGTTTGTGATGTGTGCACCCAGCTAAAGGAGTTGAACATTTCTATTGATAGAGCAGTTTTGAAGCACTCTTTTTGTGGAAAATGCAAGTGGATATTTGGATAGCTTGGAAGATTTCGTTGGAAGCGGGAGTTCAAATAAAAGGTAGACAGCAGCATTCTCAGAAATTTCTTTCTGATTCTGCATTCAACTCATAGAGTTGAAGATTCCTTTTCATAGAGCAGGTTTGAAACACTCGTTCTGGAGTATCTGGATGTGGACATTTGGAGCGCTTTGATGCCTACAGTGGAAAAGTAAATATCTTCCCATAAAAACGAGACAGAAGGTTTCTCAGAAACAAGTTTGTGATGTGTGTACTCAGCTAACAGAGTGGAACCTTTCTTTTTACAGAGCAGCTTTGAAACTCTATTTTTGTGGATTCTGCAAATTGATATTTAGATTGCTTTAACGATATCGTTGGAAAAGGGAATATCGTCATACAAAATCTAGACAGAAGCATTCTCACAAACTTCTTTGTGATGTGTGTCCTCAACTAACAGAGTTGAACCTTTCTTTTGATGCAGCAATTTGGAAACACCCTTTTGGTAGAAACTGTAACTGGATATTTGGATAGCTCTAACGATTTTGTTGGAAACGGGAATATCATCATCTAAAATGTAGACAGAAGCACTATTAGAAACTACTTGGTGATATCTGCATTCAAGTCACAGCAGTTGAACATTCCCTTACTTTGAGCACGTTTGAAACACTCTTTTGGAAGAATCTGGAAGTGGACATTTGGAGCGCTTTGATGCCTTTGGTGAAAAGGAAACGTCTTCCAATACAAGCCAGACAGAAGCATTCTCAGAAACTTGTTTGTGATGTGTGTACTCAACTAAAAGAGTTGAACCTTTCTATTGATAGAGCAGTTTTGAAACACTCTTTTTGTGGATTCTGCAAGTGGATATTTGGATTCCTTTGAGGATTTCGTTGGAAGCGGGAATTCGTATAAAAACTAGACAGCAGCATTCCCAGAAATTTCTTTCGGATATTTCCATTCAACTCATAGAGATGAACATCGCCTTTCATAGAGCAGGTTTGAAACACTCTTTTTGTAGTTTGTGGAAGTGGACATTTCGATCGCCTTGACGCCTACGGTGAAAAAGGAAATATCTTCCCATAAAAAATAGACAGAAGCATTCTCAGAAACTTGTTGGTGATATGTGTCCTCAACTAACAGAGTTGAACTTTGCCATTGATAGAGAGCAGTTTTGAAACACTCTTTTTGTGGAATCTGCAAGTGGATATTTGGATAGCTTGGAGGATTTCGTTGGAAGCGGGAATTCAAATAAAAGGTAGACAGCAGCATTCTCAGAAATTTCTTTCTGATGTCTGCATTCAACTCATAGAGTTGAAGATTCCCTTTCATAGAGCAGGTTTGAAACACTCTTTCTGGAGTATCTGGATGTGGACATTTGGAGTGCTTTGATGCCTACGGTGAAAAAGTAAATATCTTCCCATAAAAACGAGACAGAAGGATTCTGAGAAACAAGTTTGTGATGTGTGTACTCAGCTAACAGAGTGGAACCTCTCTTTTGATGCAGCAGTTTGGAAACACTCTTTTTGTAGAAACTGTAAGTGGATATTTGGATAGCTCTAATGATTTCGTTGGAAACGGGAATATCATCATCTAAAATCTAGACAGAAGCCCTCTCAGAAACTACTTTGTGATATCTGCATTCAAGTCACAGAGTTGAACATTCGCTTTCTTAGAGCACGTTGGAAACACTCTTTTTGTAGTGTCTGGAAGTGGACATTTGGAGCGCTTTGATGCCTTTGGTGAAAAAGGGAATGTCTTCCCATAAAAACCAGACAGAAGCATTCTCAGAAACTTGTTTGTGATGTGTGCACCCAGCTAAAGGAGTTGAACATTTATTGATAGAGCAGTTTTGAAGCACTCTTTTTGTGGAAAATGCAAGTGGATATTTGGATAGCTTGGAGGATTTCGTTGGAAGCGGGAGTTCAAATAAAAGGTAGACAGCAGGATTCTGAGAAACAAGTTTGTGATGTGTGTACTCAGCTAACGGAGTGGAACCTTTCTTTTTACAGAGCAGCTTTGAAACTCTATTTTTGTGGATTCTGCAAATTGATATTTAGATTGCTTTAACGATATCATTGGAAAAGGGAATATCGTCATACAAAATCTAGACAGAAGCATTCTCACAAACTTCTTTGTGATGTGTGTCCTCAACTAACAGTAGTTGAACCTTTCTTTTGATGCAGCAATTTGGAAACACCCTTTTGGTAGAAACTGTAACTGGATATTTGCTTAGCTCTAACGATTTCGTTGGAAACGGGAATATCATCATCTAAAATCTAGACAGAAGCACTATTAGAAACTACTTGGTGATATCTGCATTCAAGTCACAGAGTTGAACATTCCCTTACTTTGAGCACGTTTGAAACACTCTTTTGGAAGAATCTGGAAGTGGACATTTGGAGCGCTTTGATGCCTTTGGTGAAAAGGAAACGTCTTCCAATAAAAGCCAGACAGAAGCATTCTCAGAAACTTGTTTGTGATGTGTGTACTCAACTAAAAGAGTTGAACCTTTCTATTGATAGAGCAGTTTTGAAACACTCTTTTTGTGGATTCTGCAAGTGGATATTTGGATTGGTTGAGGATTTCGTTGGAAGCGGGAATTCGTATAAACACTAGACAGCAGCATTCCCAGAAATTTCTTTCGGATATTTCCATTCGACTCATAGAGATGAACATGGCCTTTCATAGAGCAGGTTTGAAACACTCTTTTTGTAGTTTGTGGAAGTGGACATTTCGATCGCCTTGACGCCTACGGTGAAAAAGGAAATATCTTCCCATAAAAAATAGACAGAAGCATTCTCAGAAACTTGTTGGTGATATGTGTCCTCAACTAACAGAGTTGAACTTTGCCATTGATAGAGAGCAGTTTTGAAACACTCTTTTTGTGGAATCTGCAAGTGGATATTTGGATAGCTTGGAGGATTTCGTTGGAAGCGGGAATTCAAATAAAGGGTAGACAGCAGCATTCTCAGAAATTTCTTTCTGATCTCTGCATTCAACTCATAGAGTTGAACATTCCCTTTCATAGGGCAGGTTTGAAATACTCTTTCTGTAGTATCTGGATGTGGACATTTGGAGCGCTTTGATGCCTACGGTGAAAAAGTAAATATCTTCCCATAAAAACGAGACAGAAGGATTCTGAGAAACAAGTTTGTGATGTGTGTACTCAGCTAACAGAGTGGAACCTCTCTTTTGATGCAGCAGTTTGGAAACACTCTTTTTGTAGAAACTGTAAGTGGATATTTGGATAGCTCTAATGATTTCGTTGGAAACGGGAATATCATCATCTAAAATCTAGACAGAAGCCCTCTCAGAAACTACTTTGTGATATCTGCATTCAAGTCACAGAGTTGAACATTCGCTTTCTTAGAGCACGTTTGAAACACTCTTTTTGTAGTGTCTGGAAGTGGACATTTGGAGGGCTTTGATTCCTTTGGTGAAAAAGGGAATGTCTACCCATAAAAACTAGACAGAAGCATTCTCAGAAACTTGTTTGTGATGTGTGTACCCAGCCAAAGGAGTTGAACATTTCTATTGATAGAGCAGTTTTGAAACACTCTTTTTGTGGAAAATGCAGGTGGATATTTGGATAGCTTGGAGGATTTCGTTGGAAGCGGGAATTCAAATAAAAGGTAGACAGCAGCATTCTCAGAAATTTCTTTCTGATGTCTGCATTCAACTCATAGAGTTGAAGATTCCCTTTCATAGAGCAGGTTTGAAACACTCTTTCTGGAGTATCTGGATGTGGACATTTGGAGCGCTTTGATGCCTACGGTGAAAAAGTAAATATCTTCCCATAAAAACGAGACAGAGGATTCTGAGAGACAAGTTTGTGATGTGTGTACTCAGCTAACAGAGTGGAACCTTTCTTTTTACAGCAGCAGCTTTGAAACTCTATTTTTGTGGATTCTGCAAATGGATATTTAGATTGCTTTAATGATATCGCTGGAAAAGGGAATATGGTCATACAAAATCTAGACAGAAGCATTCTCACAAACTTCTTTGTGATGTGTGTCCTCAACTAACAGAGTTGAACCTTTCTTTTGATGCAGCAGTTTGGAAACACTCTTTTTGTAGAAACTGTAAGTGGATATTTGGATAGCTCTAACGATTTCGTTGGAAACGGGAATATCATCATCTAAAATCTAGACAGAAGCACTATTAGAAACTACTTGGTGATATCTGCATTCAAGTCACAGAGTTGAACATTCCCTTACTTTGGGCACGTTTCAAACACTCTTTTGGAAGAATCTGGAAGTGGACATTTGGAGCGCTTTGATGCCTTTGGTGAAAAGGAAACGTCTTCCAATAAAAGCCAGACTGAAGCATTCTCAGAAACTTGTTCGTGATGTGTGTACTCAACTAAAAGAGTTGAACCTTTCTTTGGATAGCGCAGTTTTGAAACACTCTTTTTGTGGATTCTGCAAGTGGATATTTGGATTGCTTTGAGGATTTCGTTGGAAGCGGGAATTCGTATAAACACTAGACAGCAGCATTCCCAGAAATTTCTTTCGGATATTTCCATTCAACTCATAGAGATGAACATGGCCTTTCATAGAGCAGGTTTGAAACACTCTTTTTGTAGTTTGTGGAAGTGGACATTTCGATCGCCTTGACGCCTACGGTGAAAAAGGAAATATCTTCCCATAAAAAATAGACAGAAGCATTCTCAGAAACTTGTTGGTGATATGTGTCCTCAACTAACAGAGTTGAACTTTGCCATTGATAGAGAGCAGTTTTGAAACACTCTTTTTGTGGAATCTGCAAGTGGATATTTGGATAGCTTGGAGGATTTCGTTGGAAGCGGGAATTCAAATAAAAAGTAGACAGCAGCATTCTCAGAAATTTCTTTCTGATGTCTGCATTCAACTCATAGAGTTGAAGATTCCCTTTCATAGAGCAGGTTTGAAACACTCTTTCTGGAGTATCTGGATGTGGACATTTGGAGCGCTTTGATGCCTACGGTGAAAAAGTAAATATCTTCCCATAAAAACGACACAGAAGGATTCTGAGAAACA
Source organism: Homo sapiens (assembly GCF_000001405.40). Lineage (NCBI taxonomy): Eukaryota > Metazoa > Chordata > Mammalia > Primates > Hominidae > Homo > Homo sapiens. The sequence goes on from NC_000021.9 coordinate 12,812,154, forward strand.
AGTTTGTGATGTGTGTACTCAGCTAACAGAGTGGAACCTCTCTTTTGATGCAGCAGTTTGGAAACACTCTTTTTGTAGAAACTGTAAGTGGATATTTGGATAGCTCTAATGATTTCGTTGGAAACGGGAATATCATCATCTAAAATCTAGAAAGAAGCCCTCTCAGAAACTACTTTGTGATATCTGCATTCAAGTCACAGAGTTGAACATTCGCTTTCTTAGAGCACGTTGGAAACACTCTTTTTGTAGTGTCTGGAAGTGGACATTTGGAGCGCTTTGATGCCTTTGGTGAAAAAGGGAATGTCTTCCCATAAAAAGTAGACAGAAGCATTCTCAGAAACTTGTTTGTGATGTGTGTACCCAGCTAAAGGAGTTGAACATTTCTATTGATAGAGCAGTTTTGAAACACTCTTTTTGTGGAAAATGCAAGTGGATATTTGGATAGCTTGGAGGATTTCGTTGGAAGCGGGAATTCAAATAAAAGGTAGACAGCAGCATTCTCAGAAATTTCTTTCTGATGTCTGCATTCAACTCACAGAGTTGAAGATTCCCTTTCATAGAGCAGGTTTGAAACACTCTTTCTGGAGTATCTGGATGTGGACATTTGGAGCGCTTTGATGCCTACGGTGAAAAAGTAAATATCTTCCCAGAAAAACGAGACAGAAGGATTCTGAGAAACAAGTTTGTGATGTGTGTACTCAGCTAACAGAGTGGAACCTTTCTTTTTACAGAGCAGCTTTGAAACTCTATTTTTGTGGATTCTGCAAATGGATATTTAGATTGCTTTAACGATATCGTTGGAAAAGGGAATATCGTCATACAAAATCTAGACAGAAGCATTCTCACAAACTTCTTTGTGATGTGTGTCCTCAACTAACAGAGTTGAACCTTTCTTTTGATGCAGCAGTTTGGAAACACCCTTTTGGTAGAAACTGTAAGTGGATATTTTGATAGCTCTAACGATTTCGTTGGAAACGGGAATATCATCATCTAAAATCTAGACAGAAGCACTATTAGAAACTACTTGGTGATATCTGCATTCAAGTCAAAGAGTTGAACATTCCCTTACTTTGAGCACGTTTGAAACACTCTTTTGGAAGAATCTGGAAGTGGACATTTGGAGCGCTTTGATGCCTTTGGTGAAAAGGAAACGTCTTCCAATAAAAGCCAGACAGAAGCATTCTCAGAAACTTGTTGGTGATGTGTGTACTCAACTAAAAGAGTTGAACCTTTCTATTGATAGAGCAGTTTTGAAACACTCTTTTTGTGGATTCTGCAAGTGGATATTTGGATTGCTTTGAGGCTTTCGTTGGAAGCGGGAATTCATATAAAAACTAGACAGCAGCATTCCCAGAAATTTCTTTCGGATATTTCCATTCGACTCATAGAGATGAACATGGCCTTTCATAGAGCAGGTTTGAAACACTCTTTTTGTAGTTTGTGGAAGTGGACATTTCGATCGCCTTGACGCCTACGGTGAAAAAGGAAATATCTTCCCATAAAAAATAGACAGAAGCATTCTCAGAAACTTGTTGGTGATATGTGTCCTCAACTAACAGAGTTGAACTTTGCCATTGATAGAGAGCAGTTTTGAAACACTCTTTTTCCTGAATCTGCAAGTGGATATTTGGATAGCTTGGAGGATTTCGTTGGAAGCGGGAATTCAAATAAAAGGTAGACAGCAGCATTCTCAGAAATTTCTTTCTGATGTCTGCATTCAACTCATAGAGTTGAACATTCCCTTTCATAGAGCAGGTTTGAAACACTCGTTCTGGAGTATCTGGATGTGGACATTTGGAGCGCTTTGATGCCTACGGTGAAAAAGTAAATATCTTCCCATAAAAACGAGACAGAAGGATTCTCAGAAACAAGTTTGTGATGTGTGTACTCAGCTAACAGAGTGGAACCTCTCTTTTGATGCAGCAGTTTGGAAACACTCTTTTTGTGGAAACTGTAAGTGGATATTTGGATAGCTCTAATGATTTCGTTGGAAACGGGAATATCATCATCTAAAATCTAGACAGAAGCACTCTCAGAAACTACTTTGTGATATCTGCATTCAAGTCACAGAGTTGAACATTTGCTTTCTTAGAGCACGTTTGAAACACTCTTTTTGTAGTGTCTGGAAGTGGACATTTGGAGCGCTTTGATGCCTTTGGTGAAAAAGGGAACGTCTTCCCATAAAAACTAGACAGAAGCATTCTCAGAAACTTGTTTGTGATGTGTGTACCCAGCTAAAGGAGTTGAACATTTCTATTGATAGAGCAGTTTTGAAACACTCTTTTTGTGGAAAATGCAAGTGGATATTTGGATAGCTTGGAGGATTTCGTTGGAAGCGGGATTTCAAATAAAAGGTAGACAACAGCATTCTCAGAAATTTCTTTCTGATGTCTGCATTCAACTCATAGAGTTGAAGATTCCCTTTCATAGAGCAGGTTTGAAACACTCTTTCTGGAGTATCTGGATGTGGACATTTGGAGCGCTTTGATGCCTAAGGTGAAAAAGTAAATATCTTCCCATAAAAACGAGACAGAAGGATTCTCAGAAACAAGTTTGTGATGTGTGTACTCAGCTAACAGAGTGGAACCATTCTTTTTACAGAGCAGCTTTGAAACTCTATTTTTGTGGATTCTGCAAATGGATATTTAGATTGCTTTAACGATATCGTTGGAAAAGGGAATATCGTCATACAAAATCTGGACAGAAGCATTCTCACAAACTTCTTTGTGATGTGTGTCCTCAACTAACAGAGTTGAACCTTTCTTTTGATGCAGCAGTTTGGAAACACTCTTTTTGTAGAAACTGTAAGTGGATATTTGGATAGCTCTAACGATTTCGTTGGAAACGGGAATATCATCATCTAAAATCTAGACAGAAGCACTATTAGAAACTACTTGGTGATATCTGCATTCAAGTCAAAGAGTTGAACATTCCCTTACTTTGAGCACGTTTGAAACACTCTTTTGGAAGAATCTGGAAGTGGACATTTGGAGCGCTTTGATGCCTTTGGTGAAAAGGAAACGTCTTCCAATAAAAGCCAGACAGAAGCATTCTCAGAAACTTGTTTGTGATGTGTGTACTCAACTAAAAGAGTTGAACCTTTCTATTGATAGAGCAGTTTTGAAACCCTCTTTTTGTGGATTCTGCAAGTGGATATTTGGATTGCCTTGAGGATTTCGTTGGAAGCGGGAATTCGTATAAACACTAGACAGCAGCATTCCCAGAAATTTCTTTCGGATATTTCCATTCAACTCATAGAGATGAACATGGCCTTTCATATTGAAACACTCTTTTTGTAGTTTGTGGAAGTGGACATTTCGATCGCCTTGACGCCTACGGTGAAAAAGGAAATATCTTCCCATAAAAAATAGACAGAAGCATTCTCAGAAACTTGTTTGTGATGTGTGTACCCAGCTAAAGGAGTTGAACGTTTCTATTGATAGAGCAGTTTTGAAACACTCTTTTTGTGGAAAATGCAAGTGGATATTTGAATAGCTTGGAGGATTTCGTTGGAAGCGGGAATTCAAATAAAAGGTAGACAGCAGGATTCTGAGAAACAAGTTTGTGATGTGTGTACTCAGCTAACAGAGTGGAACCTGTCTTTTGATGCAGCAGTTTGGAAACACTCTTTTTGTAGAAACTGTATGTGGATATTTGGATAGCTCTAATGATTTCGTTGGAAACGGGAATATCATCATCTAAAATCTAGACAGAAGCCCTCTCAGAAACTACTTTGTGATATCTGCATTCAAGTAACAGAGTTGAACATTCGCTTTCTTAGAGCACGTTGGAAACACTCTTTTTGTAGTGTCTGGAAGTGGACATTTGGAGCACTTTGATGCCTTTGGTGAAAAAGGGAACGTCTTCCCATAAAAAGTAGACAGAAGCATTCTCAGAAACTTGTTTGTGATGTGTGTACCCAGCCAAAGGAGTTGAACATTTCTATTGATAGAGCAGTTTTGAAACGCTCTTTTTGTGGAAAATGCAGGTGGATATTTGGATAGCTTGGAGGATTTCGTTGGAAGCGGGAATTCAAATAAAAGGTAGACAGCAGCATTCTCAGAAATTTCTTTCTGATGTCTGCATTCAACTCATAGAGTTCAAGATTCCCTTTCATAGAGCAGGTTTGAAACACTCTTTCTGGAGTATCTGGATGTGGACATTTGGAGCGCTTTGATGCCTACGGTGAAAAAGTAAATATCTTCCCATAAAAACGAGACAGAAGGATTCTCAGAAACAAGTTTGTGATGTGTGTACTCAGCTAACAGAGTGGAACCTTTCTTTTTACAGAGCAGCTTTGAAACTCTATTTTTGTGGATTCTGCAAATGGATATTTAGATTGCTTTAATGATATCGCTGGAAAAGGGAATATGGTCATACAAAATCTAGACAGAAGCATTCTCACAAACTTCTTTGTGATGTGTGTCCTCAACTAACAGAGTTGAACCTTTCTTTTGATGCAGCAGTTTGGAAACACTCTTTTTGTAGAAACTGTAAGTGGATATTTGGATAGCTCTAACGATTTCGTTGGAAACGGGAATATCATCATCTAAAATCTAGACAGAAGCACTATTAGAAACTACTTGGTGATATCTGCATTCAAGTCACAGAGTTGAACATTCCCTTACTTCGAGCACGTTTGAAACACTCTTTTGGAAGAATCTGGAAGTGGACATTTGGAGCGCTTTGATGCCTTTGGTGAAAAGGAAACGTCTTCCAATAAAAGCCAGACAGAGCATTCTCAGTAAACTTGTTTGTGATGTGTGTACTCAACTAAAAGAGTTGAACCTTTCTATTGATAGAGCAGTTTTGAAACACTCTTTTTGTGGATTCTGCAAGTGGATATTTGGATTGCTTTGAGGATTTCGTTGGAAGCGGCAATTCGTATAAAAACTAGACAGCAGCATTCCCAGAAATTTCTTTCGGATAATTCCCATTCGACTCATAGAGATGAACATGGCCTTTCATAGAGCAGGTTTGAAACACTCTTTTTGTAGTTTGTGGAAGTGGACATTTCGATCGCCTTGACGCCTACGGTGAAAAAGGAAATATCTTCCCATAAAAAATAGACAGAAGCATTCTCAGAAACTTGTTGGTGATATGTGTCCTCAACTAACAGAGTTGAACTTTGCCATTGATAGAGAGCAGTTTTGAAACACTCTTTTTGTGGAATCTGCAAGTGGATATTTGGATAGCTTGGAGGATTTCGTTGGAAGCGGGAATTCAAATAAAAGGTAGACAGCAGCATTCTCAGAAATTTCTTTCTGATGTCTGATTCAGCTCATAGAGTTGAAGATTCCCTTTCATAGAGCAGGTTTGAAACACTCTTTCTGGAGTATCTGGATGTGGACATTTGGAGCGCTTTGAGGCCTACGGTGAGAAAGTAAATATCTTCCCATAAAAACGAGACAGAAGGATTCTGAGAAACAAGTTTGTGTTGTGTGTACTCAGCTAACAGAGTGGAACCTCTCTTTTGATGCAGCAGTTTGGAAACACTCTTTTTGTAGAAACTGTAAGTGGATATTTGGATAGCTCTAATGATTTCGTTGGAAACGGGAATATCATCATCTAAAATCTAGACAGAAGCCCTCTCAGAAACTACTTTGTGATATCTGCATTCAAGTCACAGAGTTGAACATTCGCTTTCTTAGAGCACGTTTGAAACACTCTTTTTGTAGTGTCTGGAAGTGGACATTTGGAGCGCTTTGATGCCTTTGGTAAAAAAGGGAATGTCTTCCCATAAAAACTAGACAGAAGCATTCTCAGAAACTTGTTTGTGATGTGTGTACCCAGCTAAAGGAGTTGAACATTTCTATTGATAGAGCAGTTTTGAAACACTCTTTTTGTGGAAAATGCAAGTGGATATTTGGATAGCTTGGAGGATTTCGTTGGAAGCGGGAATTCAAATAAAAGGTAGACAGCAGCATTCTCAGAAATTTCTTTCTGATGTCTGCATTCAACTCATAGAGTTGAAGATTCCCTTTCATAGAGCAGGTTTGAAACACTCTTTCTGGAGTATCTGGATGTGGACATTTGGAGGGCTTTGATGCCTACGGTGAAAAAGTAAATATCCTCCCATAAAAACGAGACAGACAAGGATTCTGAGAAACAAGTTTGTGATGTGTGTACTCAGCTAACAGAGTGGAACCTCTCTTTTGATGCAGCAGTTTGGAAACACTCTTTTTGTAGAAACTGTAAGTGGATATTTGGATAGCTCTAATGATTTCGTTGGAAACGGGAATATCATCATCTAAAATCTACACAGAAGCATTCTCACAAACTTCTTTGTGATGTGTGTCCTCAACTAACAGAGTTGAACCTTTCTTTTGATGCAGCAGTTTGGAAACACTCTTTTTGTAGAAACTGTAAGTGGATAATTGGATAGCTGTAACGATTTCGTTGGAAACGGGAATATCGTCATCTAAAATTTAGACAGAAGCACTATTAGAAACTACTTGGTGATATCTGCATTCAAGTCACAGAGTTGAACATTCCCTTACTTTGAGCACGTTTCAAACACTCTTTTGGAAGAATCTGGAAGTGGACATTTGGAGCGCTTTGATGCCTTTGGTGAAAAGGAAACGTCTTCCAATAAAAGCCAGACAGAAGCATTCTCAGAAACTTGTTCGTGATGTGTGTACTCAACTAAAAGAGTTGAACCTTTCTATTGATAGAGCAGTTTTGAAACACTCTTTTTGTGGATTCTGCAAGTGGATATTTGGATTGCTTTGAGGATTTCGTTGTAAGCGGGAATTCGTATAAAAACTAGACAGCCAGCATTCCCAGAAATTTCTTTCGGATATTTCCATTCGACTCATAGAGATGAACATGGCCTTTCATAGAGCAGGTTTGAAACACTCTTTTTGTAGTTTGTGGAAGTGGACATTTCGATCGCCTTGACGCCTACGGTGAAAAAGGAAATATCTTCCCATAAAAAATAGACAGAGCATTCTCAGAAACTTGTTGGTGATATGTGTCCTCAACTAACAGAGTTGAACTTTGCCATTGATAGAGAGCAGTTTTGAAACACTCTTTTTGTGGAATCTGCAAGTGGATATTTGGATAGCTTGGAGGATTTCGTTGGAAGCGGGAATTCAAATAAAAGGTAGACAGCCAGCATTCTCAGAAATTTCTTTCTGATGTCTGCATTCAACTCATAGAGTTGAACATTCCCTTTCATAGAGCAGGTTTGAAATACTCTTTCTGTAGTATCTGGATGTGGACATTTGGAGCGCTTTGATGCCTACGGTGAAAAAGTAAATATCTTCCCATAAAAACGAGACAGAAGGATTCTGAGAAACAAGTTTGTGATGTGTGTACTCAGCTAACAGAGTGGAACCTCTCTTTTGATGCAGCAGTTTGGAAACACTCTTTTTGTAGAAACTGTAAGTGGATATTTGGATAGCTCTAATGATTTTGTTGGAAACGGGAATATCATCATCTAAAATCTAGACAGAAGCCCTCTCAGAAACTACTTTGTGATATCTGCATTCAAGTCACAGAGTTGAATATTCGCTTTCTTAGAGCACGTTGGAAACACTCTTTTTGTAGTGTCTGGAAGTGGACATTTGGAGCGCTTTGATGCCTTTGGTGAAAAAGAGAACGTCTTCCCATAAAAACTAGACAGAAGCATTCTCAGAAACTTGTTTGTGATGTGTGTACCCAGCCAAAGGAGTTGAACATTTCTATTGATAGAGCAGTTTTGAAACACTCTTGTTGTGGAAAATGCAGGTGGATATTTGGATAGCTTGGAGGATTTCGTTGGAAGCGGGAATTCAAATAAAAGGTACACAGCAGCATTCTCAGAAATTTCTTTCTGATGTCTGCATTCAACTCATAGAGTTGAAGATTCCCTTTCATAGAGCAGGTTTGAAACACTCTTTCTGGAGTATCTGGATGTGGACATTTGGAGCGCTTTGATGCCTACGGTGAAAAAGTAAATATCTTCCCATAAAAACGAGACAGAAGGATTCTCAGAATCAAGTTTGTGATGTGTGTACTCAGCTAACAGAGTGGAACCTTTCTTTTTACAGAGCAGCTTTGAAACTCTATTTTTGTGGATTCTGCAAATTGATATTTAGATTGCTTTAACGATATCGTTGGAAAAGGGAATATCGTCATACAAAATCTAGACAGAAGCATTCTCACAAACTTCTTTGTGACGTGTGTCCTCAACTAACAGAGTTGAACCTTTCTTTTGATGCAGCAGTTTGGAAACACTGTTTTTGTAGCAACTGTAAGTGGATATTTGGATAGCTCTAACGATTTCGTTGGAAACGGGAATATCATCATCTAAAATCTAGACAGAAGCACTATTAGAAACTACTTGGTGATATCTGCATTCAAGTCAAAGAGTTGAACATTCCCTTACTTTGAGCACGTTTGAAACACTCTTTTGGAAGAATCTGGAAGTGGACATTTGGAGCGCTTTGATGCCTTTGGTGAAAAGGAAACGTCTTCCAATAAAAGCCAGACAGAAGCATTCTCAGAAACTTGTTTGTGATGTGTGTACTCAACTAAAAGAGTTGAACCTTTCTATTGATAGAGCAGTTTTGAAACACTCTTTTTGTGGATTCTGCAATTGGATATTTGGATTGCTTTGAGGATTTCGTTGGAAGCGGGAATTCGTATAAAAACTAGACAGCAGCATTCCCAGAAATTTCTTTCGGATATTTCCATTCGACTCATAGAGATGAACATGGCCGTTCATAGAGCAGGTTTGAAACACTCTTTTTGTAGTTTGTGGAAGTGGACATTTCGATCGCCTTGACGCCTACGGTGAAAAAGGAAATATCTTCCCATAAAAAATAGACAGAAGCATTCTCAGAAACTTGTTGGTGATATGTGTCCTTAACTAACAGAGTTGAACTTTGCCATTGATAGAGAGCAGTTTTGAAACACTCTTTTTGTGGAATCTGCAAGTGGATATTTGGATAGCTTGGAGGATTTCGTTGGAAGCGGGAATTCAAATAAAAGGTAGACAGCAGCAGTCTCAGAAATTTCTTTCTGATGTCTGCATTCAACTCATAGAGTTGAACATTCCCTTTCATAGAGCAGGTTTGAAACACTCTTTCTGGAGTATCTGGATGTGGACATTTGGAGCGCTTTGATGCCTACGGTGAAAAAGTAAATATCTTCCCATAAAAACGAGACAGAAGGATTCTGAGAAACAAGTTTGTGATGTGTGTACTCAGCTAACAGAGTGGAGCCTCTCTTTTGATGCAGCAGTTTGGAAACACTCTTTTTGTAGAAACTGTAAGTGGATATTTGGATAGCTCTAATGATTTCGTTGGAAACGGGAATATCATCATCTAAAATCTAGACAGAAGCCCTCTCAGAAACTACTTTGTGATATCTGCATTCAAGTCACAGAGTTGAACATTCGCTTTCTTAGAGCACGTTGGAAACACTCTTTTTGTAGTGTCTGGAAGTGGACATTTGGAGCGCTTTGATTCCTTTGGTGAAAAAGGGAATGTCTACCCATAAAAACTAGACAGAAGCATTCTCAGAAACTTGTTTGTGATGTGTGTACCCAGCCAAAGGAGTTGAACATTTCTATTGATAGAGCAGGTTTGAAACACTCTTTTTGTGGAAAATGCAGGTGGATATTTGGATAGCTTGGTGGATTTCGTTGGAAGCGGGAATTCAAATAAAAGGTAGACAGCAGCATTCTCAGAAATTTCTTTCTGATGTCTGCATTCAACTCATAGAGTTGAAGATTCCCTTTCATAGAGCAGGTTTGAAACACTCGTTCTGGAGTATCTGGATGTGGACATTTGGAGCGCTTTGATGCCTACGGTGGAAAAGTAAATATCTTCCCATAAAAACGAGACAGAAGGATTCTGAGAAACAAGTTTGTGATGTGTGTACTCAGCTAACGGAGTGGAACCTTTCTTTTTACAGAGCAGCTTTGAAAGTCTATTTTTGTGGATTCTGCAAATTGATATTTAGATTGCTTTAACGATATCGTTGGAAAAGGGAATATCCTCATACAAAATCTAGACAGAAGCATTCTCACAAACTTCTTTGTGACGTGTGTCCTCAACTAACAGAGTTGAACCTTTCTTTTGATGCAGCAGTTTGGAAACACTGTTTTTGTAGCAACTGTAAGTGGATATTTGGATAGCTCTAACGATTTCGTTGGAAACGGGAATATCATCATCTAAAATCTAGACAGAAGCACTATTAGAAACTACTTGGTGATATCTGCATTCAAGTCACAGAGTTGAACATTCCCTTACTTTGAGCACGTTTGAAACACTCTTTTGGAAGTATCTGGAAGTGGACATTTGGAGCGCTTTGATGCCTTTGGTGAAAAGGAAACGTCTTCCAATAAAAGCCAGACAGAAGCATTCTCAGAAACTTGTTCGTGATGTGTGTACTCAACTAAAAGAGTTGAACCTTTCTATTGATAGAGCAGTTTTGAAACACTCTTTTTGTGGATTCTGCAAGTGGATATTTGGATTGCTTTGAGGATTTCGTTGGAAGCGGGAATTCGTATAAACACTAGACAGCAGCATTCCCAGAAATTTCTTTCGGATATTTCCATTCAACTCATAGAGATGAACATGGGCTTTCATAGAGCAGGTTTGAAACACTCTTTTTGTAGTTTGTGGAAGTGGACATTTCGATCGCCTTGACGCCTACGGTGATAAAGGAAATATCTTCCCATAAAAAATAGACAGAAGCATTCTCAGAAACTTGTTGGTGATATGTGTCCTCAACTAACAGAGTTGAACTTTGCCATTGATAGAGAGCAGTTTTGAAACACTCTTTTTGTGGAATCTGCAAGTGGATATTTGGATAGCTTGGAGGATTTCGTTGGAAGCGGGAATTCAAATAAAAGGTAGACAGCAGCATTCTCAGAAATTTCTTTCTGATGTCTGCATTCAACTCATAGAGTTGAAGATTCCCTTTCATAGAGCAGGTTTGAAACACTCTTTCTGGAGTATCTGGATGTGGACATTTGGAGCGCTTTGATGCCTACGGTGAGAAAGTAAATATCTTCCCATAAAAACGAGACAGAAGGATTCTGAGAAACAAGTTTGTGATGTGTGTACTCAGCTAACAGATTGGAACCTCTCCTTTGATGCAGCAGTTTGGAAACACTCTTTTTGTAGAAACTGTAAGTGGATATTTGGATAGCTCTAATGATTTCGTTGGAAACGGGAATATCATCATCTAAAATCTAGACAGAAGCACTCTCAGAAACTACTTTGTGATATCTGCATTCAAGTCACAGAGTTGAACATTCGCTTTCTTAGAGCACGTTTGAAACACTCTTTTTGTAGTGTCTGGAAGTGGACTTTTGGAGCGCTTTGATTCCTTTGGTGAAAAAGGGAATGTCTACCCATAAAAACTAGACAGAAGCATTCTCAGAAACTTGTTTGTGATGTGTGTACCCAGCCAAAGGAGTTGAACATTTCTATTGATAGAGCAGTTTTGAAACACTCTTTTTGTGGAAAATGCAGGTGGATATTTGGATAGCTTGGAGGATTTCGTTGGAAGCGGGAATTCAAATAAAAGGTAGACAGCAGCATTCTCAGAAATTTCTTTCTGATGTCTGCATTCAACTCATAGAGTTGAACATTCCCTTTCATAGAGCAGGTTTGAAACACTCTTTCTGGAGTATCTGGATGTGGACATTTGGAGCCCTTTGATGCCTACGGTGAAAAAGTAAATATCTTCCCATAAAAACGAGACAGAAGGATTCTCAGAAACAAGTTTGTGATGTGTGTACTCAGCTAACAGAGTGGAACCTTTCTTTTTACAGAGCAGCTTTGAAACTCTATTTTTGTGGATTCTGCAAATGGATATTTAGATTGCTTTAACGATATCGTTGGAAAAGGGAATATCGTCATACAAAATCTAGACAGAAGCATTCTCACAAACTTCTTTGTGATGTGTGTCCTCAACTAACAGAGTTGAACCTTTCTTTTGATGCAGCAGTTTGGAAACACCCTTTTGGTAGAAACTGTAACTGGATATTTGGATAGCTCTAACGATTTCGTTGGAAACGGGAATATCATCATCTAAAATCTAGACAGGAGCACTATTAGAAACTACTTGGTGATATCTGCATTCAAGTCACAGAGTTGAACATTCCCTTACTTTGAGCACGTTTCAAACACTCTTTTGGAAGAATCTGGAAGTGGACATTTGGAGCGCTTTGATGCCTTTGGTGAAAAGGAAACGTCTTCCAATAAAAGCCAGACAGAAGCATTCTCAGAAACTTGTTTGTGATGTGTGTACTCAACTAAAAGAGTTGAACCTTTCTATTAATAGAGCAGTTTTGAAACACTCTTTTTGTGGATTCTGCAAGTGGATATTTGGATTGCTTTGAGGATTTCGTTGGAAGCGGGAATTCGTATAAAAACTAGACAGCAGCATTCCCAGAAATTTCTTTCGGATATTTCCATTCAACTCATAGAGATGAACATGGCCTTTCATAGAGCAGGTTTGAAACACTCTTTTTGTAGTTTGTGGAAGTGGACATTTCGATCGCCTTGACGCCTACGGTGAAAAAGGAAATATCTTCCCATAAAAAATAGACAGAAGCATTCTCAGAAACTTGTTTGTGATGTGTGTACCCAGCTAAAGGACTTGAACATTTCTATTGATAGAGCAGTTTTGAAACACTCTTTTTGTGGAATCTGCAGGTGGATATTTGGATAGCTTGGAGGATTTCGTTGGAAGCGGGAATTCAAATAAAAGGTAGACAGCAGCATTCTCAGAAATTTCTTTCTGATGTCTGCATTCAACTCATAGAGTTGAAGATTCCCTTTCATAGAGCAGGTTTGAAACACTCTTTCTGGAGTATCTGGATGTGGACATTTGTAGCGCTTTGATGCCTACGGTGAAAAGGTAAATATCTTCCCATAAAAACGAGACAGAAGGATTCTCAGAAACAAGTTTGTGATGTGTGTACTCAGCTAACAGAGTGGAACCTCTCTTTTGACACAGCAGTTTGGAAACACTCTTTTTGTAGAAACTGTAAGTGCACATTTGGATAGCTCTAATGACTTCGTTGGAAACGGGAATATCATCATCTAAAATCTAGACAGAAGCACTCTCAGAAACTACTTTGTGATATCTGCATTCAAGTCACAGAGTTGAACATTCGCTTTCTTACAGCACTTTTGAAACACACTTTTTGTAGTATCTGGAAGTGGACATTTGGAGCGCTTTGATGCCTTTGGTGAAAAAGGAAATGTCTTCCCATAAAAACTAGACAGAAGCATTCTCAGAAACTTGTTTGTGATGTGTGTACCCAGCCAAAGGAGTTGAACATTTCTATTGATAGAGCAGTTTTGAAACACTCTTTTTGTGGAAAATGCAAGTGGATATTTGGATAGCTTGGAGGATTTCGTTGGAAGCGGGAATTCAAATAAAAGGTAGACAGCCAGCATTCTCAGAAATTTCTTTCTGATGTCTGCATTCAACTCATAGAGTTGAAGATTCCCTTTCATAGGAGCAGGTTTGAAACACTCTTTCTGGAGTATCTGGATGTGGACATTTGGAGCGCTTTGATGCCTACGGTGAAAAAGTAAATATCTTCCCAGAAAAACGAGACAGAGGATTCTGAGAAACAAGTTTGTGATGTGTGTACTCAGCTAACAGAGTGGAACCTCTCTTTGGATGCAGCAGTTTGGAAACACACTTTTTGTAGAAACTGTAAGTGGATATTTGGATAGCTCTAATGATTTCGTTGGAAACGGGAATATCATCATCTAAAATCTAGACAGAAGCATTCTCACAAACTTCTTTGTGATGTGTGTCCTCAACTAACAGAGTTGAACCTTTCTTTTGATGCAGCAATTTGGAAACACCCTTTTGGTAGAAACTGTAACTGGATATTTGCTTAGCTCTAACGATTTCGTTGGAAACGGGAATATCATCATCTAAAATGTAGACAGAAGCACTATTAGAAACTACTTGGTGATATCTGCATTCAAGTCACAGAGTTGAACATTCCCTTACTTTGAGCACGTTTGAAACACTCTTTTGGAAGAATCTGGAAGTGGACATTTGGAGCGCTTTGATGCCTTTGGTGAAAAGGAAACGTCTTCCAATAAAAGCCAGACAGAAGCATTCTCAGAAACTTGTTGGTGATGTGTGTACTCAACTAAAAGAGTTGAACCTTTCTATTGATAGAGCAGTTTTGAAACACTCTTTTTGTGGATTCTGCAAGTGGATATTTGGATTGCTTTGAGGATTTCGTTGGAAGCGGGAATTCGTATAAACACTAGACAGCCAGCATTCCCAGGAAATTTCTTTCGGATATTTCCATTCAACTCATAGCAGGATGAACATGGCCTTTCATAGAGCAGGTTTGAAACACTCTTTTTGTAGTTTGTGGAAGTGGACATTTCGATCGCCTTGACGCCTACGCTGAAAAAGGAAATATCTTCCCATAAAAAATAGACAGAGCATTCTCAGAAACTTGTTGGTGATATGTGTCCTCAACTAACAGAGTTGAACTTTGCCATTGATAGAGAGCAGTTTTGAAACACTCTTTTTGTGGAATCTGCAAGTGGATATTTGGATAGCTTGGAGGATTTCGTTGGAAGCGGGAATTCGTATAAAAACTAGACAGCAGCATTCTCAGAAATTTCTTTCTGATGTCTGCATTCAACTCATAGAGTTGAAGATTCCCTTTCATAGAGCAGGTTTGAAACACTCTTTCTGGAGTATCTGGATGTGGACATTTGGAGCGCTTTGATGCCTATGGTGAAAAAGTATAATCTTCCCATAAAAACGAGACAGAAGGATTCTGAGAAACAAGTTTGTGATGTGTGTACTCAGCTAACAGAGTGGAACCTCTCTTTTGATGCAGCAGTTTGGAAACACTCTTTTTGTAGAAACTGTAAGTGGATATTTGGATAGCTCTAATGATTTCGTTGGAAACGGGAATATCATCATCTAAAATCTAGACAGAAGCACTCTCAGAAACTACTGTGTGATATCTGCATTCAAGTCACAGAGTTGAACATTCCCTTTCTTAGAGCACGTTTGAAACACTCTTTTTGTAGTGTCTGGAAGTGGACATTTGGAGCGCTTTGATTCCTTTGGTGAAAAAGGGAATGTCTACCCATAAAAACTAGACAGAAGCATTCTCAGAAACTTGTTGGTGATATGTGTCCTCAACTAACAGAGTTGAACTTTGCCATTGATAGAGAGCAGTTTTGAAACACTCTTTTTGTTGAATCTGCAAGTGGATATTTGGATAGCCTGGAGGATTTCGTTGGAAGCGGGAATTCAAATAAAAGGTAGACAGCAGCATTCTCAGAAATTTCTTTCTGATGTCTGCATTCAACTCATAGAGTTGAAGATTCCCTTTCATAGAGCAGGTTTGAAACACTCTTTCTGGAGTATCTGGATGTGGACATTTGGAGCAGCTTTGATGCCTACAGTGAAAAAGTAAATATCTTCCCATAAAAACCGAGACAGAAGGATTCTCAGAAACAAGTTTGTGATGTGTGTACTCAGCTAACAGAGTGGATCCTTTCTTTTTACAGAGCAGCTTTGAAACTCTATTTCTGTGGATTCTGCAAATTGATATTTGGGTTGATTTAACGATATCGATGGAAAAGGGAATATCTTCATTCAAAATCTAGACAGAAGCATTCTCACAAACTTCTTTGTGATGTGTGTCCTCAACTAACAGTAGTTGAACCTTTCTTTTGATGCAGCAGTTTGGAAACACTCTTTTTGTAGAAACTGTAAGTGGATATTTGGATAGCTCTAACGATTTCGTTGGAAACGGGAATATCATCATCTAAAATCTAGACAGAAGCACTATTAGAAACTACTTGGTGATATCTGCATTCAAGTCACAGAGTTGAACATTCCCTTACATTGAGCACGTTTGCAACACTCTTTTGGAAGAATCTGGAAGTGGACATTTGGAGCGCTTTGATGCCTTTGGTGAAAAGGAAACGTATTCCAATAAAAGCCAGACAGAAGCATTCTCAGAAACTTGTTTGTGAAGTGTGTACTCAACTAAAAGAGTTGAACCTTTCTATTGATAGAGCAGTTTTGAAACACTCTTTTTGTGGATTCTGCAAGTGGATATTTGGATTGCTTTGAGGATTTCGTTGGAAGCGGGAATTCGTATAAAAACTAGACAGCAGCATTCCCAGAAATTTCTTTCGGATATTTCCATTCAACTCATAGAGATGAACATGGCCTTTCATAGAGCAGGTTTGAAACACTCTTTTTGTAGTTTGTGGAAGTGGACATTTCGATCGCCTTGACGCCTACGGTGAAAAAGGAAATATCTTCCCATAAAAAATAGACAGAAAGCATTCTCAGAAACTTGTTTGTGATGTGTGTACCCAGCTAAAGGACTTGAACGTTTCTATTGATAGAGCAGTTTTGAAACACTCTTTTTGTGGAAAATGCAAGTGGATGTTTGGATAGCTTGGAGGATTTCGTTGGAAGCGGGAATTCAAATAAAAGGTAGACAGCAGCATTCTCAGAAATTTCTTTCTGATGTCTGCATTCAACTCATAGAGTTGAACATTCCCTTTCATAGAGCAGGTTTGAAATACTCTTTCTGTAGTATCTGGATGTGGACATTTGGAGCGCTTTGAGGCCTACGATGAAAAAGTAAATATCTTCCCATAAAAACGAGACAGAAGGATTCTGAGAAACAAGTTTGTGATGTGTGTACTCAGCTAACAGAGTGGAACCTCTCTTTTGATGCAGCAGTTTGGAAACACTCTTTTTGTAGAAACTGTAAGTGGATATTTGGATATCTCTAATGATTTCGTTGGAAACGGGAATATCATCATCTAAAATCTAGACAGAAGCCCTCTCAGAAACTACTTTGTGATATCTGCATTCAAGTCACAGAGTTGAACATTCGCTTTCTTAGGGCACGTTGGAAACACTCTTTTTGTAGTGTCTGGAAGTGGACATTTGGAGCGCTTTGATGCCTTTGGTGAAAAAGGGAACGTCTTCCCATAAAAACTAGACAGAAAGCATTCTCAGAAACTTGTTTGTGATGTGTGTACCCAGCCAAAGGAGTTGAACATTTCTATTGATAGAGCAGTTTTGAAACACTCTTTTTGTGGAAAATGCAAGTGGATATTTGGATAGCTTGGAGGATTTCGTTGGAAGCGGGAATTCAAATAAAAGGTAGACAGCAGCATTCTCAGAAATTTCTTTCTGATGTCTGCATTCAACTCATAGAGTTGAAGATTCCCTTTCATAGAGCAGGTTTGAAACACTCGTTCTGGAGTATCCGGATGTGGACATTTGGAGCGCTTTGATGCCTACGGTGGAAAAGTAAATATCTTCCCATAAAAACGAGACAGAAGGATTCTCAGAAACAAGTTTTTGATGTGTGTACTCAGCCAAAAGAGTGGAACCTTTCTTTTTACAGAGCAGCTTTGAAACTGTATTTTTGTGGATTCTGCAAATTTATATTTAGATTGTTTTAACGATATCGTTGGAAAAGGGAATATCGTCATACAAAATCTAGAGAGAAGCATTCTCACAAACTTCTTTCTGATGTGTGTCCTCAACCAACAGAGTTGAACCTTTCTTTTGATGCAGCAGTTTGGAAACACTCTTTTTGTAGAAACTGTAACTGGATATTTGGATAGCTCTAACGATTTCGTTGGAAACGGGAATATCATCATCTAAAATCTAGACAGAAGCACTATTAGAAACTACTTGGTGATATCTGCATTCAAGTCACAGAGTTGAACATTCCCTTACTTTGAGCACGTTTGAAACACTCTTTTGGAAGAATCTGGAAGTGGACATTTGGAGCGAATTGATGCCTTTGGTGAAAAGGAAACGTCTTCCAATAAAAGCCAGACAGAAGCATTCTCAGAAACTTGTTCGTGATGTGTGTACTCAACTAAAAGAGTTGAACCTTTCTATTGATAGAGCAGTTTAGAAACACTCTTTTTGTGGATTCTGCAAGTGGATATTTAGATTGCTTTGAGGATTTCGTTGGAAGCGGGAATTCGTATAAACACTAGACAGCAGCATTCCCAGAAATTTCTTTCGGATATTTCCATTCGACTCATAGAGATGAACATGGCCTTTCATAGAGCAGGTTTGAAACACTCTTTTTGTAGTTTGTGGAAGTGGACATTTCGATCGCCTTGACGCCTACGGTGAAAAAGGAAATATCTTCCCATAAAAAATAGACAGAAGCATTCTCAGAAACTTGTTGGTGATATGTGTCCTCAACTAACAGAGTTGAACTTTGCCATTGATAGAGAGCAGTTTTGAAACACTCTTTTTGTCGAATCTGCAAGTGGATATTTGGATAGCTTGGAGGATTTCGTTGGAAGCGGGAATTCAAATAAAAGGTAGACAGCAGCATTCTCAGAAATTTCTTTGTGATGTTTGCATTCAACTCATAGAGTTGAACATTCCCTTTAATAGAGCAGGTTTGAAACACTCTTTCTGTACTATCTGGATGTGGACATTTGGAGCACTTTGAGGCCTACGGTGAAAAAGGAAATGTCTTCCCATAAAAAATTGAAGAAGGATTCTGAGAAACAAGTTTGTGATGTGTGTACTCAGCTAACAGTGGAACCTCTCTTTTGATGCAGCAGTTTGGAAACACTCTTTTTGTAGAAACTGTAAGTGGATATTTGGATAGCTCTAATGATTTCGTTGGAAACGGGAATATCATCATCTAAAATCTAGACAGAAGCCCTCTCAGAAACTACTTTGTGATATCTGCATTCAAGTCACAGAGTTGAACATTCGCTTTCTTTGAGCACGTTGGAAACACTCTTTTTGTAGTGTCTGGAAGTGGACTTTTGGAGCGCTTTGATGCCTTTGGTGAAAAAGGGAACGTCTTCCCATAAAAACTAGACAGAAGCATTCTCAGAAACTTGTTTGTGATGTGTGTACCCAGCCAAAGGAGTTGAACATTTCTATTGATAGAGCAGTTTTGAAACGCTCTTTTTCTGGAAAATGCAGGTGGATATTTGGATAGCTTGGAGGATTTCGTTGGAAGCGGGAATTCAAATAAAAGGTAGACAGCAGGATTCTCAGAAACAAGTTTGTGATGTGTGTACTCAGCTAACAGAGTGGAACCTTTCTTTTTACAGAGCAGCTTTGAAACTCTATTGTTGTGGATTCTGCAAATTGATATTTAGATTGCTTTAACGATATCGTTGGAAAAGGGAATACCGTCATACAAAATCTAGACAGAAGCATTCTCACAAACTTCTTTGTGACGTGTGTCCTCAACTAACAGAGTTGAACCTTTCTTTTGATGCAGCAGTTTGGAAACACTGTTTTTGTAGCAACTGTAAGTGGATATTTGGATAGCTCTAACGATTTCGTTGGAAACGGGAATATCATCATCTAAAATCTAGACAGAAGCACTATTAGAAACTACTTGGTGATATCTGCATTCAAGTCACAGAGTTGAACATTCCCTTACTTTGAGCACGTTTGAAACACTCTTTTGGAAGAATCTGGAAGTGGACATTTGGAGCGCTTTGATGCCTTTGGTGAAAAGGGAAACGTCTTCCAATAAAAGCCAGACAGAAGCATTCTCAGAAACTTGTTCGTGATGTGTGTACTCAACTAAAAGAGTTGAACCTTTCTATTGATAGAGCAGTTTTGAAACACTCTTTTTGTGGATTCTGCAAGTGGATATTTGGATTGCTTTGAGGATTTCGTTGGAAGCGGGAATTCGTATAAACACTAGACAGCAGCATTCCCAGAAATTTCTTTCGGATATTTCCATTCGACTCATAGAGATGAACATGGCCTTTCATAGAGCAGGTTTGAAACACTCTTTTTGTAGTTTGTGGAAGTGGACATTTCGATCGCCTTGACGCCTACGGTGAAAAAGGAAATATCTTCCCATAAAAAATAGACAGAAGCATTCTCAGAAACTTGTTGGTGATATGTGTCCTCAACTAACAGAGTTGAACTTTGCCATTAATAGAGAGCAGTTTTGAAACACTCTTTTTGTGGAATCTGCAAGTGGATATTTGGATAGCTTGGAGGATTTCGTTGGAAGCGGGAATTCAAATAAAAGGTAGACAGCAGCATTCTCAGAAATTTCTTTCTGATGTCTGCATTCAACTCATAGAGTTGAACATTCCCTTTCATAGAGCAGGTTTGAAACACTCTTTCTGGAGTATCTGGATGTGGACATTTGGAGCGCTTTGATGCCTACGGTGAAAAAGTAAATATCTTCCCATAAAAACGAGACAGAAGGATTCTGAGAAACAAGTTTGTGATGTGTGTACTCAGCTAACAGAGTGGAACCTCTCTTTTGATGCAGCAGTTTGGAAGCACTCTTTTTGTAGAAACTGTAAGTGGATATTTGGAAGCTCTAATGATTTTGTTGGAAACGGGAATATCATCATCTAAAATCTAGACAGAAGCACTCTCAGAAACTACTTTGTGATATCTGCATTCAAGTCACAGAGTTGAACATTCGCTTTCTTAGAGCACGTTTGAAACACTCTTTTTGTAGTGTCTGGAAGTGGACATTTGGAGCGCTTTGATTCCTTTGGTGAAAAAGGGAATGTCTACCCATAAAAACTAGACAGAAGCATTCTCAGAAACTTGTTTGTGATGTGTGTACCCAGCCAAAGGAGTTGAACATTTCTATTGATAGAGCAGTTTTGAAACGCTCTTTTTGTGGAAAATGCAGGTGGATATTTGGATAGCTTGGAGGATTTCGTTGGAAGCGGGAATTCAAATAAAAGGTAGACAGCAGAATTCTCAGAAATTTCTTTCTGATGTCTTCATTCAACTCATAGAGTTGAAGATTCCCTTTCATAGAGCAGGTTTGAAACACTCTTTCTGGAGTATCTGGATGTGGACATTTGGAGCGCTTTGATGCCTACGGTGGAAAAGTAAATATCTTCCCATAAAAACGAGACAGAAGGATTCTCAGAAACAAGTTTGTGATGTGTGTACTCAGCTAACAGAGTGGATCCTTTCTTTTTACAGAGCAGCTTTGAAACTCTATTTCTGTGGATTCTGCAAATTGATATTTGTGTTGATTTAACGATATCGTTGGAAAAGGGAATATCTTCATACAAAATCTAGACAGAAGCTTTCTCAGAAACTTCTTTGTGATGTGTGTCCTCAACTAACAGAGTTGAACCTTTCTTTTGATGCAGCAGTTTGGAAACACTCTTTTTGTAGAAACTGTAAGTGGATATTTGGATAGGTCTAACGATATCGTTGGAAACGGGAATATCTTCATCTAAAGTATACACAGAAGCACTATTAGAAACTACTTGGTGATATCTGCATTCAAGTCACAGAGTTGAACATTCCCTTACTTTGAGCACGTTTCAAACACTCTTTTGGAAGAATCTGGAAGTGGACATTTGGAGCGCTTTGATGCCTTTGGTGAAAAGGAAACGTCTTCCAATAAAAGCCAGACAGAAGCATTCTCAGAAACTTGTTTGTGATGTGTGTACTCAACTAAAAGAGTTGAACCTTTCTATTGATAGCGCAGTTTTGAAACACTCTTTTTGTGGATTCTGCAAGTGGATATTTGGATTGCTTTGAGGATTTCGTTGGAAGCGGGAATTCGTATAAAAATTAGACAGCAGCATTCCCAGAAATTTCTTTCGGATATTTCCATTCAACTCATAGAGATGAACATGGCCTTTCATAGAGCAGGTTTGAAACACTCTTTTTGTAGTTTGTGGAAGTGGACATTTCGATCGCCTTGACACCTACGCTGAAAAAGGAAATATCTTCCCATAAAAAATAGACAGAAGCATTCTCAGAAACTTGTTGGTGATATGTGTCCTCAACTAACAGAGTTGAACTTTGCCATTGATAGAGAGCAGTTTTGAAACACTCTTTTTGTGGAATCTGCAAGTGGATATTTGGATAGCTTGGAGGATTTCGTTGGAAGCGGGAATTCAAATAAAAGGTAGACAGCAGCATTCTCAGAAATTTCTTTCTGATGTCTGCATTCAACTCATAGATTTGAAGATTCCCTTTCATAGAGCAGGTTTGAAACACTCTTTCTGGAGTATCTGGATGTGGACATTTGGAGCGCTTTGATGCCTACGGTGAGAAAGTAAATATCTTCCCATAAAAACGAGACAGAAGGATTCTGAGAAACAAGTTTGTGATGTGTGTACTCAGCTAACAGAGTGGAACCTCTGTTTTGATGCAGCAGTTTGGAAACACTCTTTTTGTAGAAACTGTAAGTGGATATTTGGATAGCTCTAATGATTTCGTTGGAAACGGGAATATCATCATCTAAAATCTAGACAGAAGCACTCTCAGAAACTACTTTGTGATATCTGCATTCAAGTCACAGAGTTGAACATTCGCTTTCTTAGAGCACGTTTGAAACACTCTTTTTGTAGTGTCTGGAAGTGGACATTTGGAGCGCTTTGATTCCTTTGGTGAAAAAGGGAATGTCTACCCATAAAAACTAGACAGAAGCATTCTCAGAAACTTGTTTGTGATGTGTGTACCCAGCCAAAGGAGTTGAACATTTCTATTGATAGAGCAGTTTTGAAACACTCTTTTTGTGGAAAATGCAGGTGGATATATGGATAGCTTGGAGGATTTCGTTGGAAGCGGGAATTCAAATAAAAGGTAGACAGCAGCATTCTCAGAAATTTCTTTCTGATGTCTGCATTCAACTCATAGAGTTGAAGATTCCCTTTCATAGAGCAGGTTTGAAACACTCTTTCTGGAGTATCTGGATGTGTACATTTGGAGCGCTTTGATGCCTACGGTGAAAAAGTAAATATCTTCCCATAAAAACGAGACAGAAGGATTCTGAGAAACAAGTTTGTGATGTGTGTACTCAGCTAACAGAGTGGAACCTTTCTTTTTACAGAGCAGCTTTGAAACTCTATTTTTGTGGATTCTGCAAATGGATATTTAGATTGCTTTAATGATATCGCTGGAAAAGGGAATATGGTCATACAAAATCTAGACAGAAGCATTCTCACAAACTTCTTTGTGATGTGTGTCCTCAACTAACAGAGTTGAACCTTTCTTTTGATGCAGCAGTTTGGAAACACTCTTTTTGTAGAAACTGTAAGTGGATATTTGGATAGCTCTAACAATTTCGTTGGAAACGGGAATATCATCATCTAAAATCTAGACAGAAGCACTATTAGAAACTACTTGGTGATATCTGCATTCAAGTCACAGAGTTGAACATTCCCTTACTTTGAGCACGTTTCAAACACTCTTTTGGAAGAATCTGGAAGTGGACATTTGGAGCGCTTTGATGCCTTTGGTGAAAAGGAAACGTCTTCCAATAAAAGCCAGACAGAAGCATTCTCAGAAACTTGTTCTTGATGTGTATACTCAACTAAAAGAGTTGAACCTTTCTATTGATAGAGCAGTTTTGAAACACTCTTTTTGTGGATTCTGCAAGTGGATATTTGGATTGCTTTGAGGATTTCGTTGGAAGCGGGAATTCGTATAACAACTAGACAGCAACATTCCCAGAAATTTCTTTCGGATATTTCCATTCAACTCATAGAGATGAACATGGCCTTTCATAGAGCAGGTTTGAAACACTCTTTTTGTAGTTTGTGGAAGTGGACATTTCGATCGCCTTGACGCCTACGGTGAAAAAGGAAATATCTTCCCATAAAAAATAGACAGAAGAATTCTCAGAAACTTGTTTGTGATGTGTATCCTCAACTGACAGAGTTGAACCTTGCCATTGATAGAGCAGTTTAGAAACACTCTTTTTGTGGAATCTGCAAGTGGATATTTGGATAGCCTGGAGGATTTCGTTGGAAGCGGGAATTCAAATGAAAGGTAGACAGCAGCATTCTCAGAAATTTCTTTGTGACGTTTGCATTCAACTCATAGAGTTGAACATTCCCTTTCATAGAGCAGGTTTGAAACGCTCTTTCTGTACTATCTGGATGTGGACATTTGGAACGCTTTGATGCCTACGGTGAAAAAGAAAATATCTTCCCATAAAAGCTAGACAGAAGGATTCTGAGAAACAAGTTTGTGATGTGTGTACTCAGCTAACAGAGTGGAACCTCTCTTTTGATGCAGCAGTTTGGAAACACTCTTTTTGTAGAAACTGTAAGTGGATATTTGGATAGCTCTAATGATTTCTTTGGAAACGGGGAATATCATCATCTAAAATCTAGACAGAAGCACTATTAGAA
This sequence comes from Homo sapiens, assembly GCF_000001405.40. Classification (NCBI taxonomy): domain Eukaryota; kingdom Metazoa; phylum Chordata; class Mammalia; order Primates; family Hominidae; genus Homo; species Homo sapiens. The sequence goes on from NC_000021.9 coordinate 12,836,285, forward strand.
ACTACTTTGTGATATCTGCATTCAAGTCACAGAGTTGAACATTCGCTTTCTTAGAGCACGTTGGAAACACTCTTTTTGTAGTGTCTGGAAGTGGACATTTGGAGCGCTTTGATGCCTTTGGTGAAAAAGGGAATGTATTCCCATAAAAACTAGACAGAAGCATTCTCAGAAACTTGTTTGTGATGTGTGTACCCAGCTAAAGGAGTTGAACATTTCTATTGATAGAGCAGTTTTGAAACACTCTTTTTGTGGAAAATGCAAGTTGATATTTGGATAGCTTGGAGGATTTCGTTGGAAGCGGGAATTCAAATAAAAGGTAGACAGCAGCATTCTCAGAAATTTCTTTCTGATGTCTGCATTCAACTCATAGAGTTGAAGATTCCCTTTCATAGAGCAGGTTTGAAACACTCGTTCTGGAGTATCTGGATGTGGACATTTGGAGCGCTTTGATGCCTACCGTGGAAAAGTAAATATCTTCCCATAAAAACGAGACAGAAGGATTCTCAGAAACAAGTTTGTGATGTGTGTACTCAGCTAGCAGAGTGGAACCTTTCTTTTTACAGAGCAGCTTTGAAACTCTATTGTTGTGGATTCTGCAAATTGATATTTAGATTGCTTTAACGATATCGTTGGAAAAGGGAATACCGTCATACAAAATCTAGACAGAAGCATTCTCACAAACTTCTTTGTGACGTGTGTCCTCAACTAACAGAGTTGAACCTTTCTTTTGATGCAGCAGTTTGGAAACACTGTTTTTGTAGCAACTGTAAGTGGATATTTGGATAGCTCTAACGATTTCGTTGGAAACCGGGAATATCATCATCTAAAATCTAGACAGAAGCACTATTAGAAACTACTTGGTGATATCTGCATTCAAGTCACAGAGTTGAACATTCCCTTACTTTGAGCACGTTTCAAACACTCTTTTGGAAGAATCTGGAAGTGGACATTTGGAGCGCTTTGATGCCTTTGGTGAAAAGGAAACGTCTTCCAATAAAAGCCAGACAGAAACATTCTCAGAAACTTGTTTGTGATGTGTGTACTCAACTAAAAGAGTTGAACCTTTCTATTGATAGAGCAGTTTTGAAACACTCTTTTTGTGGATTCTGCAAGTGGATATTTGGATTGCTTTGAGGATTTCGTTGGAAGCGGGAATTCATATAAAAACTAGACAGCAGCATTCCCAGAAATTTCTTTCGGATATTTCCATTCAACTCATAGAGATGAACATCGCCTTTCATAGAGCAGGTTTGAAACACTCTTTTTGTAGTTTGTGGAAGTGGACATTTCGATCGCCTTGACGCCTACGGTGAAAAAGGAAATATCTTCCCATAAAAAATAGACAGAAGCATTCTCAGAAACTTGTTGGTGATATGTGTCCTCAACTAACAGAGTTGAACTTTGCCATTGATAGAGAGCAGTTTTGAAACACTCTTTTTGTGGAATCTGCAAGTGGATATTTGGATAGCTTGGAGGATTTCGTTGGAAGCGGGAATTCAAATAAAAGGTAGACAGCAGCATTCTCAGAAATTTCTTTCTGATCTCTGCATTCAACTCATAGAGTTGAAGATTCCGTTTCATAGGGCAGGTTTGAAATACTCTTTCTGTAGTATCTGGATGTGGACATTTGGAGCGCTTTGATGCCTACGGTGAAAAAGTAAATATCTTCCCATAAAAACGAGACAGAAGGATTCTCAGAAACAAGTTTGTGATGTGTGTACTCAGCTAACAGAGTGGAACCTCTCTTTTGATGCAGCAGTTTGGAAACACTCTTTTTGTAGAAAGTGTAAGTGGATATTTGGATAGCTCTAATGATTTCGTTGGAAACGGGAATATCATCATCTAAAATCTAGACAGAAGCACTCTCAGAAACTACTGTGTGATATCTGCATTCAAGTCACAGAGTTGAACATTCGCTTTCTTAGAGCACGTTTGAAACACTCTTTTTGTAGTGTCTGGAAGTGGACATTTGGAGCGCTTTGATTCCTTTGGTGAAAAAGGGAATGTCTACCCATAAAAACTAGACAGAAGCATTCTCAGGAAACTTGTTTGTGATGTGTGTACCCAGCCAAAGGAGTTGAACATTTCTATTGATAGAGCAGTTTTGAAACGCTCTTTTTGTGGAAAATGCAGGTGGATATTTGGATAGCTTGGAGGATTTCGTTGGAAGCGGGAATTCAAATAAAAGGTAGACAGCAGCATTCTCAGAAATTTCTTTCTGATGTCTGCATTCAACTCATAGAGTTGAAGATTCCCTTTCATAGAGCAGGTTTGAAACACTCGTTCTGGAGTATCTGGATGTGGACATTTGGAGCGCTTTGATGCCTACGGTGGAAAAGTAAATATCTTCCCATAAAAACGAGACAGAAGGATTCTCAGAAACAAGTTTGTGATGTGTGTACTCAGCTAACAGAGTGGAACCTTTCTTTTTACAGAGCAGTTTTGAAACTCTATTTTTGTGGATTCTGCAAATTGATATTTAGATTGCTTTAACGATATCGTTGTAAAAGGGAATATCGTCATACAAAATCTAGACAGAAGCATTCTCACAAACTTCTTTGTGATGTGTGTCCTCAACTAACAGAGTTGAACCTTTCTTTTGATGCAGCAGTTTGGAAACACTCTTTTTGTAGAAACTGTAAGTGGATATTTGGATAGCTGTAACGATTTCGTTGGAAACGGGAATATCATCATCTAAAATCTAGACAGAAGCACTATTAGAAACTACTTGGTGATATCTGCATTCAAGTCACAGAGTTGAACATTCCCTTACTTTGAGCACGTTTGAAACACTCTTTTGGAAGAATCTGGAAGTGGACATTTGGAGCGCTTTGATGCCTTTGGTGAAAAGGGAAACGTCTTCCAATAAAAGCCAGACAGGAAGCATTCTCAGAAACTTGTTCGTGATGTGTGTACTCAACTAAAAGAGTTGAACCTTTCTATTGATAGCGCAGTTTTGAAACACTCTTTTTGTGGATTCTGCAAGTGGATATTTGGATTGCTTTGAGGATTTCGTTGCAAGCGGGAATTCATATAAAAACTAGACAGCAGCATTCCCAGAAATTTCTTTCGGATATTTCCATTCAACTCATAGAGATGAACATGGCCTTTCATAGAGCAGGTTTGAAACACTCTTTTTGTTGTTTGTGGAAGTGGACATTTCGATCGCTTTGACGCATACGGTGAAAAAGGAAATATCTTCCCATAAAAATTAGACAGAAGCATTCTCAGAAACTTGTTGGTGATATGTGTCCTCAACTAACAGAGTTGAACTTTGCCATTGATAGAGAGCAGTTTTGAAACACTCTTTTTGTGGAATCTGCAAGTGGATATTTGGATAGCTTGGAGGATTTCGTTGGAAGCGGGAATTCAAATAAAAGGTAGACAGCAGCATTCTCAGAAATTTCTTTCTGATGTCTGCATTCAACTCATAGAGTTGAAGATTCCCTTTCATAGAGCAGGTTTGAAACACTCTTTCTGGAGTATCTGGATGTGGACATTTGGAGCGCTTTGATGCCTACGGTGAAAAAGCAAATATCTTCCCATAAAAACGAGACAGAAGGATTCTGAAAAACAAGTTTGTGATGTGTGTACTCAGCTAACAGAGTGGAACCTCTCTTTTGATGCAGCAGTTTGGAAACACTCTTTTTGTAGAAACTGTAAGTGGATATTTGGATAGCTCTAATGATTTCGTTGGAAACGGGAATATCATCATCTAAAATCTAGACAGAAGCACTCTCAGAAACTACTGTGTGATATCTGCATTCAAGTCACAGAGTTGAACATTCGCTTTCTTAGAGCACGTTTGAAACACTCTTTTTGTAGTGTCTGGAAGTGGACATTTGGAGCGCTTTGATTCCTTTGGTGAAAAAGGGAATGTCTACCCATAAAAACTACACAGAAGCATTCTCAGAAACTTGTTTGTGATGTGTGTACCCAGCCAAAGGAGTTGAACATTTCTATTGATAGAGCAGTTTTGAAACACTCTTTTTGTGGAAAATGCAGGTGGATATTTGGATAGCTTGGAGGATTTCGTTGGAAGCGGGAATTCAAATAAAAGGTTGACAGCAGCATTCTCAGAAATTTCTTTCTGATGTCTGCATTCAACTCATAGAGTTGAAGATTCCCTTTCATAGAGCAGGTTTGAAACACTCGTTCTGGAGTATCTGGATGTGGACATTTGGAGCGCTTTGATGCCTACGGTGGAAAAGTAAATATCTTCCCATAAAAACGAGACAGAAGGATTCTCAGAAACAAGTTTGTGATGTGTGTACTCAGCTAACAGAGTGGAACCTTTCTTTTTACAGAGCAGCTTTGAAACTCTATTGTTGTGGATTCTGCAAATTGATATTTAGATTGCTTTAACGATATCGTTGGAAAAGGGAATATCGTCATACAAAATCTAGACAGAAGCATTCTCACAAACTTCTTTGTGATGTGTGTCCTCAACTAACAGAGTTGAACCTTTCTTTTGATGCAGCAGTTTGGAAACACCCTTTTGGTAGAAACTGTAAGTGGATATTTGGATAGCTCTAACGAATTCGTTGGAAACGGGAATATCATCATCTAAAATCTAGACAGAAGCACTATTAGAAACTACTTGGTGATATCTGCATTCAAGTCACAGAGTTGAACATTCCCTTACTTTGAGCACGTTTGAAACACTCTTTTGGAAGAATCTGGAAGTGGACATTTGGAGCGTTTTGATGCCTTTGGTGAAAAGGAAACGTCTTCCAATAAAAGCCAGACAGAAGCATTCTCAGAAACTTGTTTGTGATGTGTGTACTCAACTAAAAGAGTTGAACCTTTCTATTGATAGAGCAGTTTTGAAACACTCTTTTTGTGGATTCTGCAAGTGGATATTTGGATTGCTTTGAGGATTTCGTTGGAAGCGGGAATTCGTATAACAACTACACAGCAGCATTCCCAGAAATTTCTTTCGGATATTTCCATTCAACTCATAGAGATGAACATGGCCTTTCATAGAGCAGGTTTGAAACACTCTTTTTGTAGTTTGTGGAAGTGGACATTTCGATCGCCTTGATGCCTACGGTGAAAAAGGAAATATCTTCCCATAAAAAATAGACAGAAGCATTCTCAGAAACTTGTTGGTGATATGTGTCCTCAACTAACAGAGTTGAACTTTGTCATTGATAGAGAGCAGTTTTGAAACACTCTTTTTGTGGAATCTGCAAGTGGATATTTGGATAGCTTGGAGGATTTCGTTGGAAGCGGGAATTCAAATAAAAGGTAGACAGCAGCATTCTCAGAAATTTCTTTCTGATGTCTGCATTCAACTCATAGAGTTGAAGATTCCCTTTCATAGAGCAGGTTTGAAACACTCTTTCTGTAGTATCTGGATGTGGACATTTGGAGCGCATTGATGCCTACGGTGAAAAAGTATAATCTTCCCATAAAAACGAGACAGAAGGATTCTGAGAAACAAGTTTGTGATGTGTGTACTCAGCTAACAGAGTGGAACCTCTCTTTTGATGCAGCAGTTTGGAAACACTCTTTTTGTAGAAACTGTAAGTGGATATTTGGATAGCTCTAATGATTTCGTTGGAAACGGGAATATCATCATCTAAAATCTAGACAGAAGCCCTCTCAGAAACTACTTTGTGATATCTGCATTCAAGTCACAGAGTCGAACATTCGGTTTCTTAGAGCACGTTGGAAACACTCTTTTTGTAGTGTCTGGAAGTGGACATTTGGAGCGCTTTGATGCCTTTGGTGAAAAAGGGAATGTCTTCCCATAAAAACTAGACAGAAGCATTCTCAGAAACTTGTTTGTGATGTGTGCACCCAGCTAAAGGAGTTGAACATTTATTGATAGAGCAGTTTTGAAGCACTCTTTTTGTGGAAAATGCAAGTGGATATTTGGATAGCTTGGAGGATTTCGTTGGAAGCGGGAGTTCAAATAAAAGGTAGACAGCAGCATTCTCAGAAATTTCTTTCTGATTCTGCATTCAACTCATAGAGTTGAAGATTCCCTTTCATAGAGCAGGTTTGAAACACTCGTTCTGGAGTATCTGGATGTGGACATTTGGAGCGCTTTGATGCCTACAGTGGAAAAGTAAATATCTTCCCATAAAAACGAGACAGAAGGTTTCTCAGAAACAAGTTTGTGATGTGTGTACTCAGCTAACAGAGTGGAACCTTTCTTTTTACAGAGCAACTTTGAAACTCTATTTTTGTGGATTCTGCAAATTGATATTTAGATTGCTTTAACGATATCGTTGGAAAAGGGAATATCGTCATACAAAATCTAGACAGAAGCATTCTCACAAACTTCTTTGTGATGTGTGTCCTCAACTAACAGAGTTGAACCTTTCTTTTGATGCAGCAATTTGGAAACACCCTTTTGGTAGAAACTGTAACTGGATATTTGGATAGCTCTAACGATTTCGTTGGAAACGGGAATATCATCACCTAAAATCTAGACAGAAGCACTATTAGAAACTACTTGGTGATATCTGCATTCAAGTCACAGAGTAGAACATTCCCTTACTTCGACCACGTTTGAAACACTCTTTTGGAAGAATCTGGAAGTGGACATTTGGAGCGCTTTGATGCCTTTGGTGAAAAAGGGAATGTCTTCCCATAAAAACTAGACAGAAGCATTCTCAGAAACTTGTTCGTGATGTGTGTACTCAACTAAAAGAGTTGAACCTTTCTATTGATAGAGCAGTTTTGAAACACTCTTTTTGTGGATTCTGCAAGTGGATATTTGAATTGCTTTGAGGATTTCGTTGGAAGCGGGAATTCGTATAAGCACTAGACAGCAGCATTCCCAGAAATTTCTTTCGGATATTTCCATTCAACTCATAGAGATGAACATGGCCTTTCATAGAGCAGGTTTGAAACACTCTTTTTGTAGTTTGTGGAAGTGGACATTTCGATCGCCTTGACGCCTACGGTGAAAAAGGAAATATCTTCCCATAAACAATAGACAGAAGCATTCTCAGAAACTTGTTGGTGATATGTGTCCTCAACTAACAGAGTTGAACTTTGCCATTGATAGAGAGCAGTTTTGAAACACTCTTTTTGTGGAATCTGCAAGTGGATATTTGGATAGCTTGGAGGATTTCGTTGGAAGCGGGAATTCAAATAAAAGGTAGACAGCAGCATTCTCAGAAATTTCTTTCTGATGTCTGCATTCAACTCATAGAGTTGAAGATTCCCTTTCATAGAGCTGGTTTGAAACACTCTTTCTGGAGTATCTGGATGTGGACATTTGGAGCGCTTTGATGCCTACGGTGAAAAAGTAAATATCTTCCCATAAAAACGAGACAGAAGCATTCTCACAAACTTCTTTGTGATGTGTGTCCTAAACTAACAGAGTTGAACCTTTCTTTTGATGCAGCAGTTTGGAAACACTCTTTTTGTAGAAACTGTAAGTGGATATTTGGATAGCTCTAATGATTTCGTTGGAAATGGGAATATCATCATCTAAAATCTAGACAGAAGCCCTCTCAGAAACTACTTTGTGATATCTGCATTCAAGTCACAGAGTTGAACATTCGCTTTCTTAGAGCACGTTTGAAACACTCTTTTTGTAGTGTCTGGAAGTGGACATTTGGAGCGCTTTGATGCCTTTGGTGAAAAAGGGAATGTCTTCCCATAAAAACTAGACAGAAGCATTCTCAGAAACTTGTTTGTGATGTGTGTACCCAGCCAAAGGAGTTAAACATTTCTATTGATAGAGCAGTTTTGAAACACTCTTTTTGTGGAAAATGCAGGTGGATATTTGGATAGCTTGGAGGATTTCGTTGGAAGCGGGAATTCAAATAAAAGGTAGACAGCAGCATTCTCAGAAATTTCTTTCTGATGTCTGCATTCAACTCATAGAGTTGAAGATTCCCTTTCATAGAGCAGGTTTGAAACACTCGTTCTGGAGTATCTGGATGTGGACATTTGGAGCGCTTTGATGCCTACGGTGGAAAAGTAAATATCTTCCCATAAAAACGAGACAGAAGGATTCTCAGAAACAAGTTTGTGATGTGTGTACTCAGCTAACAGAGTGGAACCTTTCTTTTTACAGAGCAGCTTTGAAACTCTATTTTTGTGGAATCTGCAAATTGATATTTAGATTGCTTTAACGATATCGTTGGAAAAGGGAATATCGTCATACAAAATCTAGACAGAAGCATTCTCACAAACTTCTTTGTGATGTGTGTCCTCAACTAACAGAGTTGAACCTTTCTTTTGATGCAGCAGTTTGGAAACACTCTTTTTGTAGAAACTGTAAGTGGATATTTGGATAGCTCTAACGATTTCGTTGGAAACGGGAATATCATCATCTAAAATCTAGACAGAAGCACTATTAGAAACTACTTAGTGATATCTGCATTCAAGTCACAGAGTTGAACATTCCCTTACTTTGAGCACGTTTCAAACACTCTTTTGGAAGAATCTGGAAGTGGACATTTGGAGCGCTTTGATGCCTTTGGTGAAAAGGAAACGTCTTCCAATAAAAGCCAGACAGAAGCATTCTCAGAAACTTGTTTGTGATGTGTGTACTCAACTAAAAGAGTTGAACCTTTCTATTGATAGAGCAGTTTTGAAACACTCTTTTTGTGGATTCTGCAAGTGGATATTTGGATTGCTTTGAGGATTTCGTTGGAAGCGGGAATTCGTATAAAAACTAGACAGCAGCATTCCCAGAAATTTCTTTCGGATATTTCCATTCAACTCATAGAGATGAACATGGCCTTTCATAGAGCAGTTTTGAATCACTCTTTTTGTAGTTTGTGGAAGTGGACATTTCGATCGCCTTGACGCATACGGTGAAAAAGGAAATATCTTCCCATAAAAAATAGACAGAAACATTCTCAGAAACTTGTTGGTGATATGTGTCCTCAACTAACAGAGTTGAACTTTGCCATTGATAGAGAGCAGTTTTGAAACACTCTTTTTGTGGAATCTGCAAGTGGATATTTGGATAGCTTGGAGGATTTCGTTGGAAGCGGGAATTCAAATAAAAGGTAGACAGCAGCATTCTCAGAAATTTCTTTCTGATGTCTGCATTCAACTCATAGAGTTGAAGATTCCCTTTCATAGAGCAAGTTTGAAACACTCTTTCTGGAGTATCTGGATATGGACATTTGGAGCGCTTTGATGCCTACGGTGAAAAAGTAAATATCTTCCCATAAAAACGAGACAGAAGGATTCTGAGAAACAAGTTTGTGATGTGTGTACTCAGCTAACAGAGTGGAACCTCTCTTTTGATGCAGCAGTTTGGAAACACTCTTTTTGTAGAAACTGTAAGTGGATATTTGGATAGCTCTAATGATTTCGTTGGAAACGGGAATATCATCAACTAAAATCTAGACAGAAGCCCTCTCAGAAACCACTTTGTGATATCTGCATTCAAGTCACAGAGTTGAACATTCGCTTTCTTAGAGCACGTTTGAAACACTCTTTTTGTAGTGTCTGGAAGTGGACATTTGGAGCGCTTTGATGCCTTTGGTGAAAAAGGGAACGTCTTCCCATAAAAACTAGACAGAAGCATTCTCAGAAACTTGTTTGTGATGTGTGTACCCAGCCAAAGGAGTTGAACATTTCTATTGATAGAGCAGTTTTGAAACACTCTTGTTGTGGAAAATGCAGGTGGATATTTGGATAGCTTGGAGGATTTCGTTGGAAGCGGGAATTCAAATAAAAGGTAGACAGCAGCATTCTCAGAAATTTCTTTCTGATGTCTGCATTCAACTCATAGAGTTGAAGATTCCCTTTCATAGAGCAGGTTTGAAACACTCTTTCTGGAGTATCTGGATGTGGACATTTGGAGCGCTTTGATGCCTACGGTGAAAAAGTAAATATCTTCCCATAAAAACGAGACAGAAGGATTCTCAGAAACAAGTTTGTGATGTGTGTACTCAGCTAACAGAGTGGAACCTTTCTTTTTACAGAGCAGCTTTGAAACTCTATTTTTGTGGATTCTGCAAATTGATATTTAGATTGCTTTAAGGATATCGTTGGAAAAGGGAATATCGTCATACAAAATCTAGACAGAAGCATTCTCACAAACTTCTTTGTGATGTGTGTCCTCAACTAACAGAGTTGAACCTTTCTTTTGATGCAGCAGTTTGGAAACACTCTTTTTGTAGAAACTGTAAGTGGATATTTGGATAGCTCTAACGATTTCGTTGGAAACGGGAATATCATCATCTAAAATCTAGACAGAAGCACTATTAGAAACTACTTGGTGATATCTGCATTCAAGTCACAGAGTTGAACATTCCCTTACTTCGACCACGTTTGAAACACTCTTTTGGAAGAATCTGGAAGTGGACACTTGGAGCGCTTTGATGCCTTTGGTGAAAAGGAAACGTCTTCCAATAAAAGCCAGACAGAAGCATTCTCAGAAACTTGTTTGTGATGTGTGTACTCAACTAAAAGAGTTGAACCTTTCTATTGATAGTGCAGTTTTGAAACACTCTTTTTGTGAATTCTGCAAGTGGATATTTGGATTGCTTTGAGGATTTCGTTGGAAGCGGGAATTCGTATAAACACTAGACAGCAGCATTCCCAGAAATTTCTTTCGGATATTTCCATTCGACTCATAGAGATGAACATGGCCTTTCATAGAGCAGGTTTGAAACACTCTTTTTGTAGTTTGTGGAAGTGGACATTTCGATCGCCTTGACGCCTACGGTGAAAAAGGAAATATCTTCCCATAAAAAATAGACAGAAGCATTCTCAGAAACTTGTTGGTGATATGTGTCCTCAACTAACAGAGTTGAACTTTGCCATTGATAGAGAGCAGTTTTGAAACACTCTTTTTGTGGAATCTGCAAGTGGATATTTGGATAGCTTGGAGGATTTCGTTGGAAGCGGGAATTCAAATAAAAGGTAGACAGCAGGATTCTGAGAAACAAGTTTGTGATGTGTGTACTCAGCTAACAGAGTGGAACCTCTCTTTTGATGCAGTAGTTTGGAAACACTCTTTTTGTAGAAACTGGAAGTGGATATTTGGATAGCTCTAATGATTTCGTTGGAAACGGGAATATCATCATCTAAAATCTAGACAGAAGCACTCTCAGAAACTACTGTGTGATATCTGCATTCAAGTCACAGAGTTGAACATTCGCTTTCTTAGAGCACGTTTGAAACACTCTTTTTGTAGTGTCTGGATGTGGACATTTGGAGCGCTTTGATTCCTTTGGTGAAAAAGGGAATGTCTACCCATAAAAACTAGACAGAAGCATTCTCAGAAACTTGTTTGTGATGTGTGTACCCAGCCAAAGGAGTTGAACATTTCTATTGATAGAGCAGTTTTGAAACACTCTTGTTGTGGAAAATGCAGGTGGATATTTGGATAGCTTGGAGGATTTCGTTGGAAGCGGGAATTCAAATGAAAGGTAGACAGCAGGATTCTGAGAGACAAGTTTGTGATGTGTGTACTCAGCTAACAGAGTGGAACCTTTCTTTTTACAGAGCAGCTTTGAAACTCTATTTTTGTGGATTCTGCAAATGGATATTTAGATTGCTTTAACGATATCGTTGGAAAAGGGAATATCGTCATACAAAATCTGGACAGAAGCATTCTCACAAACTTCTTTGTGACGTGTGTCCTCAACTAACAGAGTTGAACCTTTCTTTTGATGCAGCAGTTTGGAAACACTGTTTTTGTAGCAACTGTAAGTGGATATTTGGATAGCTCTAACGATTTCGTTGGAAACGGGAATATCATCATCTAAAATCTAGACAGAAGCACTATTAGAAACTTCTTGGTGATATCTGCATTCAAGTCACAGAGTAGAACATTCCCTTACTTCGAGCACGTTTGAAACACTCTTTTGGAAGAATCTGGAAGTGGACATTTGGAGCGCTTTGATGCCTTTGGTGAAAAGGAAACGTCTTCCAATAAAAGCCAGACAGAAGCATTCTCAGAAACTTGTTTGTGATGTGTGTACTCAACTAAAAGAGTTGAACCTTTCTATTGATAGAGCAGTTTTGAAACCCTCTTTTTGTGGATTCTGCAAGTGGATATTTGGATTGCTTTGAGGATTTCGTTGGAAGCGGGAATTCGTATAAACACTAGACAGCAGCATTCCCAGAAATTTCTTTCGGATCTTTCCATTCAACTCATAGAGATGAACATGGCCTTTCATATTGAAACACTCTTTTTGTAGTTTGTGGAAGTGGACATTTCGATCGCCTTGACGCCTACGGTGAAAAAGGAAATATCTTCCCATAAAAAATAGACAGAAGCATTCTCAGAAACTTGTTGGTGATATGTGTCCTCAACTAACAGAGTTGAACTTTGCCATTGATAGAGAGCAGTTTTGAAACACTCTTTTTGTGGAATCTGCAAGTGGATATTTGGATAGCTTGGAGGATTTCGTTGGAAGCGGGAATTCAAATAAAAGGTAGACAGCAGCATTCTCAGAAATTTCTTTCTGATGTCTGCATTCAACTCATAGAGTTGAAGATTCCCTTTCATAGAGCAGGTTTGAAACACTCTTTCTGGAGTATCTGGATGTGGACATTTGGAGCGCTTTGATGCCTACGGTGAAAAAGTAAATATCTTACCCAGAAAAACGAGACAGAAGGATTCTGAGAAACAAGTTTGTGATGTGTGTACTCAGCTAACAGAGTGGAACCTCTCTTTTGATGCAGCAGTTTGGAAACACTCTTTTTGTAGAAACTGTAAGTGGATATTTGGATAGCTCTAATGATTTCGTTGGAAAAGGGAATATCATCATCTAAAATCTAGACAGAAGCCCTCTCAGAAACTACTTTGTGATATCTGCATTCAAGTCACAGAGTTGAACATTCGCTTTCTTAGGGCACGTTGGAAACACTCTTTTTGTAGTGTCTGGAAGTGGACATTTGGAGTGCTTTGATGCCTTTGGTGAAAAAGGGAATGTCTTCCCATAAAAACTAGACAGAAGCATTCTCAGAAACTTGTTTGTGATGTGTGTACCCAGCTAAAGGAGTTGAACATTTCTATTGATAGAGCAGTTTTGAAACACTCTTTTTGTGGAAAATGCAAGTGGATATTTGGATAGCTTGGAGGATTTCGTTGGAAGCGGGAATTCAAATAAAAGTAGACAGCAGCATTCTCAGAAATTTCTTTCTGATGTCTGCATTCAACTCATAGAGTTGAAGATTCCCTTTCATAGAGCAGGTTTGAAACACTCGTTCTGGAGTATCTGGATGTGGACATTTGGAGCGCTTTGATGCCTACGGTGGAAAAGTAAATATCTTCCCATAAAAACGAGACAGAAGGATTCTGAGAAACAAGTTTGTGATGTGTGTACTCAGCTAACAGAGTGGAACCTTTCTTTTTACAGAGCAGCTTTGAAACTCTATTTTTGTGGATTCTGCAAATGGATATTTAGATTCCTTTAACGATATCGTTGGAAAAGGGAATATCGTCATACAAAATCTAGACAGAAGCATTCTCACAAACTTCTTTGTGACGTGTGTCCTCAACTAACAGAGTTGAACCTTTCTTTTGATGCAGCAGTTTGGAAACACTGTTTTTGTAGCAACTGTAAGTGGATATTTGGATAGCTCTAACGATTTCGTTGGAAACGGGAATATCATCATCTAAAATCTAGACAGAAGCACTATTAGAAACTACTTGGTGATATCTGCATTCAAGTCACAGAGTAGAACATTCCCTTACTTCGAGCACGTTTGAAACACTCTTTTGGAAGAATCTGGAAGTGGACATTTGGAGCGCTTTGATGCCTTTGGTGAAAAGGAAACGTCTTCCAATAAAAGCCAGACAGAAGCATTCTCAGAAACTTGTTTGTGATGTGTGTACTCAACTAAAGAGTTGAACCTTTCTATTGATAGAGCAGTTTTGAAACCCTCTTTTTGTGGATTCTGCAAGTGGATATTTGGATTGCTTTGAGGATTTCGTTGGAAGCGGGAATTCGTATAAACACTAGACAGCAGCATTCCCAGAAATTTCTTTCGGATATTTCCATTCGACTCATAGAGATGAACATGGCCTTTCATAGAGCAGGTTTGAAACACTCTTTTTGTAGTTTGTGGAAGTGGACATTTCGATCGCCTTGACGCCTACGGTGAAAAAGGAAATATCTTCCCATAAAAAATAGACAGAAGCATTCTCAGAAACTTGTTGGTGATATGTGTCCTCAACTAACAGAGTTGAACTTTGCCATTGATAGAGAGCAGTTTTGAAACACTCTTTTTGTGGAATCTGCAAGTGGATATTTGGATAGCTTGGAGGATTTCATTGGAAGCGGGAATTCAAATAAAAGGTAGACAGCAGCATTCTCAGAAATTTCTTTCTGATGTCTGCATTCAACTCATAGAGTTGAAGATTCCCTTTCATAGAGCAGGTTTGAAACACTCTTTCTGGAGTATCTGGATGTGGACATTTGGAGCGCTTTGATGCCTACGGTGAAAAAGTAAATATCTTCCCATAAAAACGATACAGAAGGATTCTAAGAAACAAGTTTGTGATGTGTGTACTCAGCTAACAGAGTGGAACCTCTCTTTTGATGCAGCAGTTTGGAAACACTCTTTTTGTAGAAACTGTATGTGGATATTTGGATAGCTCTAATGATTTCGTTGGAAACGGGAATATCATCATCTAAAATCTAGACAGAAGCCCTCTCAGAAACTACTTTGTGATATCTGCATTCAAGTCACAGGGTTGAACATTCGCTTTCTTAGAGCACGTTTGAAACACTCTTTTTGTAGTGTCTGGAAGTGGACATTTGGAGCGCTTTGATGCCTTTGGTGAAAAAGGGAATGTCTTCCCATAAAAACTAGACAGAAGCATTCTCAGAAACTTGTTTGTGATGTGTGTACCCAGCCAAAGGAGTTGAACATTTCTATTGATAGAGCAGTTTTGAAACACTCTTTTTGTGGAAAATGCAAGTGGATATTTGGATAGCTTGGAGGATTTCGTTGGAAGCGGGAATTCAAATAAAAGGTAGACAGCAGCATTCTCAGAAATTTCTTTCTGATGTCTGCATTCAACTCATAGAGTTGAACATTCCCTTTCATAGAGCAGGTTTGAAACACTCGTTCTGGAGTATCTGGATGTGGACATTTGGAGCGCTTTGATGCCTACGGTGGAAAAGTAAATATCTTCCCATAAAAACGAGACAGAAGGATTCTCAGAAACAAGTTTGTGATGTGTGTACTCAGCTAACAGAGTGGAACCTTTCTTTTTACAGAGCAGCTTTGAAACTCTATTTTTGTGGATTCTGCAAATTGATATTTAGATTGCTTTAACGATATCGTTGGAAAAGGGATATCGTCATACAAAATCTAGACAGAAGCATTCTCACAAACTTCTTTGTGCTGTGTGTCCTCAACTAACAGAGTTGAACCTTTCTTTTGATGCAGCAATTTGGAAACACCCTTTTGGTAGAAACTGTAACTGGATATTTGGATAGCTCTAACGATTTCGTTGGAAACGGGAATATCATCATCAAAAGGTAGACAGAAGCACTATTAGAAACTACTTGGTGATATCTGCATTCAAGTCACAGAGTTGAACATTCCCTTACTTTGAGCAGGTTTGAAACACTCTTTTGGAAGAATCTGGAAGTGGACATTTGGAGCGCTTTGATGCCTTTGGTGAAAAGGAAACGTCTTCCAATAAAAGCCAGACAGAAGCATTCTCAGAAACTTGTTTGTGATGTGTGTACTCAACTAAAAGAGTTGAACCTTTCTATTGATAGAGCAGTTTTGAAACACTCTTTTTGTGGATTCTGCAAGTGGATATTTGGATTGCTTTGAGGATTTCGTTGGAAGCGGGAATTCGTATAACAACTAGACAGCAGCATTCCCAGAAATTTCTTTCGGATATTTCCATTCAACTCATAGAGATGAACATGGCCTTTCATAGAGCAGGTTTGAAACACTCTTTTTGTAGTTTGTGGAAGTGGACATTTCGATCGCCTTGACACCTACGGTGAAAAAGGAAATATCTTCCCATAAAAAATAGACAGAAGCATTCTCAGAAACTTGTTGGTGATATGTGTCCTCAACTAACAGAGTTGAACTTTGCCATTGATAGAGAGCAGTTTTGAAACACTCTTTTTCCTGAATCTGCAAGTGGATATTTGGATAGTTTGGAGGATTTCGTTGGAAGCGGGAATTCAAATAAAAGGTAGACAGCAGGATTCTGAGAAACAAGTTTGTGATGTGTGTACTCAGCTAACAGAGTGGAAGCTCTCTTTTGATGCAGCAGTTTGGAAACACTCTTTTTGTAGAAACTGTAAGTGGATATTTGGATAGCTCTAATGATTTCGTTGGAAACGGGAATATCATCATCTAAAATCTAGACAGAAGCACTCTCAGAAACTACTTTGTGATATCTGCATTCAAGTCACAGAGTTGAACATTCGCTTTCTTAGAGCACTTTTTAAACACTCTTTTTGTAGTATCTGGAAGTGGACATTTGGAGCTCTTTGATGCCTTTGGTGAAATAGGAAATGTCTTCCCATAAAAACTAGACAGACAAGCATTCTCAGAAACTTGTTTGTGATGTGTGCACCCAGCTAAAGGAGTTGAACATTTATTGATAGAGCAGTTTTGAAGCACTCTTTTTGTGGAAAATGCAAGTGGATATTTGGATAGCTTGGAGGATTTCGTTGGAAGCGGGAGTTCAAATAAAAGGTAGACAGCAGCATTCTCAGAAATTTCTTTCTGATGTCTGCATTCAACTCATAGAGTTGAAGATTCCCTTTCATAGAGCAGGTTTGAAACACTCTTTCTGGAGTATCTGGATGTGGACATTTGGAGCGCTTTGATGCCTACGGTGAAAAAGTAAATATCTTCCCATAAAAACGAGACAGAAGGATTCTGAGAGACAAGTTTGTGATGTGTGTACTCAGCTAACAGAGTGGAACCTTTCTTTTTACAGAGCAGCTTTGAAACTCTATTTTTGTGGATTCTGCAAATGGATATTTAGATTGCTTTAATGATATCGTTGGAAAAGGGAATAACGTCATACAAAATCTGGACAGAAGCATTCTCACAAACTTCTTTGTGATGTGTGTCCTCAACTAGCAGAGTTGAACCTTTCTTTTGATGCAGCAATTTGGAAACACCCTTTTGGTAGAAACTGTAACTGGATATTTGGATAGCTCTAACGATTTCGTTGGAAACGGGAATATCATCATCTAAAATGTAGACAGAAGCACTATTAGAAACTACTTGGTGATATCTGCATTCAAGTCACAGAGTTGAACATTCCCTTACTTTGAGCACGTTTGAAACACTCTTTTGGAAGAATCTGGAAGTGGACATTTGGAGCGCTTTGATGCCTTTGGTGAAAAGGAAACGTCTTCCAATAAAAGCCAGACAGAAGCATTCTCAGAAACTTGTTTGTGATGTGTGTACTCAACTAAAAGAGTTGAACCTTTCTATTGATAGAGCAGTTTTGAAACACTCTTTTTGTGGATTCTGCAAGTGGATATTAGGATTGTTTTGAGGATTTCGTTGGAAGCGGGAATTCGTATAAAATCTAGACAGCAGCATTCCCAGAAATTTCTTTCGGATATTTCCATTCGACTCATAGAGATGAACATGGCCTTTCATAGAGCAGGTTTGAAACACTCTTTTTGTAGTTTGTGGAAGTGGACATTTCGATCGCCTTGACGCCTACGGTGAAAAAGGAAATATCTTCCCATAAAAAATAGACAGAAGAATTCTCAGAAACTTGTTTGTGATGTGTATCCTCAACTGACAGAGTTGAACCTTGCCATTGATAGAGCAGTTTAGAAACACTCTTTTTGTGGAAAATGCAAGTGGATATTTGGATAGCTTGGAGGATTTCGTTGGAAGCGGGAATTCAAATAAAAGGTAGACAGCAGGATTCTGAGAAACAAGTTTGTGATGTGTGTACTCAGCTAACAGAGTGGAACCTCTGTTTTGATGCAGCAGTTTGGAAACACTCTTTTTGTAGAAACTGTAAGTGGATATTTGGATAGCTCTAATGATTTCGTTGGAAACGGGAATATCATCATCTAAAATCTAGACAGAAGCCCTCTCAGAAACTACTTTGTGATATCTGCATTCAAGTCACAGAGTTGAACATTCGCTTTCTTAGAGCACGTTGGAAACACTCTTTTTGTAGTGTCTGGAAGTGGACATTTGGAGCGCTTTGATGCCTTTGGTGAAAAAGGGAATGTCTTCCCATAAAAACTAGACAGAAGCATTCTCAGAAACTTGTTTGTGATGTGTGCACCCAGCTAAAGGAGTTGAACATTTCTATTGATAGAGCAGTTTTCAAACACTCTTTTTGTGGAAAATGCAAGTGGATATTTGGATAGCTTGGAGGATTTCGTTGGAAGCGGGAGTTCAAATAAAAGGTAGACAGCAGCATTCTCAGAAATTTCTTTCTGATGTCTGCATTCAACTCATAGCAGTTGAAGATTCCCTTTCATAGAGCAGGTTTGAAACACTCTTTCTGGAGTATCTGGATGTGGACATTTGGAGCGCTTTGATGCCTACGGTGAAAAAGTAAATATCTTCCCATAAAAACGAGACAGAAGGATTCTCAGAAACAAGTTTGTGATGTGTGTACTCAGCTAACAGAGTGGAACCTTTCTTTTTACAGAGCAGCTTTGAAACTCTATTTTTGTGGATTCTGCAAATGGATATTTAGATTGCTTTAATGATATCGCTGGAAAAGGGAATATGGTCATACAAAATCTAGACAGATGCATTCTCACAAACTTCTTTGTGATGTGTGTCCTCAACTAACAGAGTTGAACCTTTCTTTTGATGCAGCAATTTGGAAACACCCTTTTGGTAGAAACTGTAACTGGATATTTGGATAGCTCTAACGATTTCGTTGGAAACGGGAATATCATCATCTAAAATCTAGACAGAAGCACTATTAGAAACTACTTGGTGATATCTGCATTCAAGTCAAAGAGTTGAACATTCCCTTACTTTGAGCACGTTTGAAACACTCTTTTGGAAGAATCTGGAAGTGGACATTTGGAGCGCTTTGATGCCTTTGGTGAAAAGGAAACGCCTTCCAATAAAAGCCAGACAGAAGCATTCTCAGAAACTTGTTTGTGATGTGTGTACTCAACTAAAAGAGTTGAACCTTTCTATTGATAGAGCAGTTTTGAAACACTCTTTTTGTGGATTCTGCAAGTGGATATTTGGATTGCTTTGAGGATTTCGTTGGAAGCGGGAATTCGTATAAAAACTAGACAGCAGCATTCCCAGAAATTTCTTTCGGATATTTCCATTCACCTCATAGAGATGAACATGGCCTTTCATAGAGCAGGTTTGAAACACTCTTTTTGTAGTTTGTGGAAGTGGACATTTCGATCGCCTTGACGCCTACGGTGAAAAAGGAAATATCTTCCCATAAAAAATAGACAGAAGCATTCTCAGAAACTTGTTGGTGATATGTGTCCTCAACTAACAGAGTTGAACTTTGCCATTGATAGAGAGCAGTTTTGAAACACTCTTTTTGTGGAATCTGCAAGTGGATATTTGGATAGCTTGGAGGATTTCGTTGGAAGCGGGAATTCAAATAAAAGGTAGACAGCAGCATTCTCAGAAATTTCTTTCTGATGTCTGCATTCAACTCATAGAGTTGAAGATTCCCTTTCATAGAGCAGGTTTGAAGCACTCTTTCTGGAGTATCTGGATGTGGACATTTGGAGCGCTTTGATGCCTACGGTGAAAAAGTAAATATCTTCCCATAAAAACGAGACAGAAGGATTCTGAGAAACAAGTTTGTGATGTGTGTACTCAGCTAACAGAGTGGAACCTCTCTTTTGATGCAGCAGTTTGGAAACACTCTTTTTGTAGAAACTGTAAGTGGATATTTGGATAGCTCTAATGATTTCGTTGGAAACGGGAATATCATCATCTAAAATCTAGACAGAAGCCCTCTCAGAAACTACTTTGTGATATCTGCATTCAAGTCACAGAGTTGAACATTCGCTTTCTTAGAGCACGTTTGAAACACCCTTTTTGTAGTGTCTGGAAGTGGACATTTGGAGCGCTTTGATGCCTTTGGTGAAAAAGGGAATGTCTTCCCATAAAAACTAGACAGAAGCATTCTCAGAAACTTGTTTGTGATGTGTGTACCCAGCCAAAGGAGTTGAACATTTCTATTGATAGAGCAGTTTTGAAACACTCTTTTTGTGGAAAATGCAGGTGGATATTTGGATAGCTTGGAGGATTTCGTTGGAAGCTGGAATTCAAATAAAAGGTAGACAGCAGCATTCTCAGAAATTTCTTTCTGATGTCTGCATTCAACTCATAGAGTTGAAGATTCCCTTTCATAGAGCAGGTTTGAAACACTCTTTCTGGAGTATCTGGATGTGGACATTTGGAGCGCTTTGATGCCTACGGTGAGAAAGTAAATATCTTCCCATAAAAACGAGACAGAAGGATTCTGAGAAACAAGTTTGTGATGTGTGTACTCAGCTAACAGAGTGGAACCTTTCTTTTTACAGAGCAGCTTTGAAACTCTATTTTTGTGGATTCTGCAAATGGATATTTAGATTGCTTTAATGATATCGCTGGAAAAGGGAATATGGTCATACAAAATCTAGACAGAAGCATTCTCACAAACTTCTTTGTGATGTGTGTCCTCAACTAACAGAGTTGAACCTTTCTTTTGATGCAGCAGTTTGGAAACACTGTTTTTGTAGCAACTGTAAGTGGATATTTGGATAGCTCTAACGATTTCGTTGGAAACGGGAATATCATCATCTAAAATCTAGACAGAAGCACTATTAGAAACTACTTGGTGATATCTGCATTCAAGTCACAGAGTTGAACATTCCCTTACTTTGAGCACGTTTGAAACACTCTTTTGGAAGAATCTGGAAGTGGACATTTGGAGCACTTTGATGCCTTTGGTGAAAAGGAAACGTCTTCCAATAAAAGCCAGACAGAAGCATTCTCAGAAACTTGTTCGTGATGTGTGTACTCAACTAAAAGAGTTGAACCTTTCTATTGATAGAGCAGTTTTGAAACACTCTTTTTGTGGATTCTGCAAGTGGATATTTGGATTGCTTTGAGGATTTCGTTGGAAGCGGGAATTCGTATAAACACTAGACAGCAGCATTCCCAGAAATTTCTTTCGGATATTTCCATTCAACTCATAGAGATGAACATGGCCTTTCATAGAGCAGGTTTGAAACACTCTTTTTGTAGTTTGTGGAAGTGGACATTTCGATCGCCTTGACGCCTACGGTGAAAAAGGAAATATCTTCCCATAAAAAGTAGACAGAAGCATTCTCAGAAACTTGTTGGTGATATGTGTCCTCAACTAACAGAGTTGAACTTTGCCATTGATAGAGAGCAGTTTTGAAACACTCTTTTTGTGGAATCTGCAAGTGGATATTTGGATAGCTTGGAGGATTTCGTTGGAAGCGGGAATTCAAATAAAAGGTAGACAGCAGCATTCTCAGAAATTTCTTTCTGATGTCTGCATTCAACTCGTAGAGTTGAACATTCCCTTTCATAGAGCAGGTTTGAAACACTCTTTCTGGAGTATCTGGATGTGGACATTTGGAGCGCTTTGATGCCTACGGTGAAAAAGTAAATAACTTCCCATAAAAACGAGACAGAAGGATTCTGAGAAACAAGTTTGTGATGTGTGTACTCAGCTAACAGAGTGGAACCTCTCTTTTGATGCAGCAGTTTGGAAACACTCTTTTTGTAGAAACTGTAAGTGGATATTTGGATAGCTCTAATGATTTCGTTGGAAACGGGAATATCATCATCTAAAATCTAGACAGAAGCCCTCTCAGAAACTACTTTGTGATATCTGCATTCAAGTCACAGAGTTGAACATTCGCTTTCTTAGAGTACGTTGGAAACACTCTTTTTGTAGTGTCTGGAAGTGGACATTTGGAGCGCTTTGATGCCTTTGGTGAAAAAGGGAACGTCTTCCCATAAAAACTAGACTGAAGCATTCTCAGAAACTTGTTTGTGATGTGTGTACCCAGCCAAAGGAGTTGAACATTTCTATTGATAGAGCAGTTTTGAAGCGCTCTTTTTGTGGAAAATGCAGGTGGATATTTGGATAGCTTGGAGGATTTCGTTGGAAGCGGGAGTTCAAATAAAAGGTAGACAGCAGCATTCTCAGAAATTTCTTTCTGATGTCTGCATTCAACTCATAGAGTTGAATATTCCCTTTCATAGAGCAGGTTTGAAACACTCTTTCTGGAGTATCTGGATGTGGACATTTGGAGCGCTTTGATGCCTACGGTGGAAAAGTAAATATCTTCCCATAAAAACGAGACAGAAGGATTCTGAGAAACAAGTTTGTGATGTGTGTACTCAGCTAACAGAGTGGAACCTTTCTTTTTACACAGCAGCTTTGAAACTCTATTTTTGTGGATTCTGCAAATGGATATTTAGATTGCTTTAATGATATCGCTGGAAAAGGGAATATGGTCATACAAAATCTAGACAGAAGCATTCTCACAAACTTCTTTGTGATGTGTGTCCTCAACTAACAGAGTTGAACCTTTCTTTTGATGCAGCAGTTTGGAAACACTCTTTTTGTAGAAACTGTAAGTGGATATTTGGATAGCTCTAACGATTTCGTTGGAAACGGGAATATCATCATCTAAAATCTAGACAGAAGCACTATTAGAGACTACTTGGTGATATCTGCATTCAAGTCACAGAGTTGAACATTCCCTTACTTTGAGCACGTTTGAAACACTCTTTTGGAAGAATCTGGAAGTGGACATTTGGAGCGCTATGATGCCTTTGGTGAAAAGGAAACGTCTTCCAATAAAAGCCAGACAGAAGCATTCTCAGAAACTTGTTTGTGATGTGTGTACTCAACTAAAAGAGTTGAACCTTTCTATTGATAGAGCAGTTTTGAAACACTCTTTTTGTGGATTCTGCAAGTGGATATTTGGATTGCTTTGAGGATTTTGTTGGAAGCGGGAATTCGTATAAAAACTAGACAGCAGCATTCCCAGAAATTTCTTTCGGATATTTCCATTCAACTCATAGAGATGAACATGGCCTTTCATAGAGAAGGTTTGAAACACTCTTTTTGTAGTTTGTGGAAGTGGACATTTCGATCGCCTTGACGCATACGGTGAAAAAGGAAATATCTTCCCATAAAAAATAGACAGAAGCATTCTCAGAAACTTGTTGGTGATATGTGTCCTCAACTAACAGAGTTGAACTTTGCCATTGATAGAGAGCAGTTTTGAAACACTCTTTTTCCTGAATCTGCAAGTGGATATTTGTATAGCTTGGAGGATTTCGTTGGAAGCGGGAATTCAAATAAAAGGTAGACAGCAGCATTCTCAGAAATTTCTTTCTGATGTCTGCATTCAACTCATAGAGTTGAACATTCCCTTTCATAGGACAGGTTTGAAATACTCTTTCTGTAGTATCTGGATGTGGACATGTGGAGCGCTTTGATGCCTACAGTGAAAAAGTAAATATCTTCCCATAAAAACGAGACAGAAGGATTCTGAGAAACAAGTTTGTGATGTGTGTACTCAGCTAACAGAGTGGAACCTCTCTTTTGATGCAGCAGTTTGGAAACACTCTTTTTGTAGAAACTGTAAGTGGATATTTGGATAGCTCTAATGATTTCGTTGGAAACGGGAATATCATCATCTAAAATCTAGACAGAAGCCCTCTCAGAAACTACTTTGTGATATCTGCATTCAAGTCACAGAGTTGAACATTTGCTTTCTTAGAGCACGTTGGAAACACTCTTTTTGTAGTGTCTGGAAGTGGACATTTGGAGCGCTTTGATGCCTTTGGTGAAAAAGGGAATGTCTTCCCATAAAAACTAGACAGAAGCATTCTCAGAAACTTGTTTGTGATGTGTGTACCTAGCTAAAGGAGTTGAACATTTCTATTGATAGAGCAGTTTTGAAACACTCTTTTTGTGGAAAATGCAGGTGGATATTTGGATAGGTTGGAAGATTTCGTTGGAAGCGGGAATTCAAATAAATGGTAGACAGCAGCATTCTCAGAAATTTCTTTCTGATGTCTGCATTCAACTCATAGAGTTGAAGATTCCCTTTCATAGAGCAGGTTTGAAACATTCTTTCTGGAGTATCTGGATGTGGACATTTGGAGCGCTTTGATGCCTACGGTGAAAAAGTAAATATCTTCCCATAAAAACGAGACAGAAGGATTCTCAGAAACAAGTTTGTGATGTGTGTACTCAGCTAACAGAGTGGAACCTTTCTTTTCACAGAGCAGCTTTGAAACTCTATTTTTGTGGATTCTGCAAATGGATATTTAGATTGCTTTAACGATATCATTGGAAAAGGGAATATCGTCATACAAAATCTGGACAGAAGCATTCTCACAAACTTCTTTGTGACGTGTGTCCTCAACTAACAGAGTTGAACCTTTCTTTTGATGCAGCAGTTTGGAAACACTGTTTTTGTAGCAACTGTAAGTGGATATTTGGATAGCTCTAACGATTTCGTTGGAAACGGGAATATCATCATCTAAAATCTAGACAGAAGCACTATTAGAAACTACTTGGTGATATCTGCATTCAAGTCACAGAGTTGAACATTCCCTTACTTTGAGCACGTTTGAAACACTCTTCTGGAAGAATCTGGAAGTGGACATTTGGAGCGCTTTGATGCCTTTGGTGAAAAGGAAACGTCTTCCAATAAAAGCCAGACAGAAGCATTCTCAGAAACTTGTTCGTGATGTGTGTACTCAACTAAAAGAGTTGAACCTTTCTATTGATAGAGCAGTTTTGAAACACTCTTTTTGTGGATTCTGCAAGTGGATATTTGGATTGCTTTGAGGATTTCGTTGGAAGCGGGAATTCGTATAAACACTAGACAGCAGCATTCCCAGAAATTTCTTTCGGATATTTCCATTCAACTCATAGAGATGAACATGGCCTTTCATAGAGCAGGTTTGAAACACTCTTTTTGTAGTTTGTGGAAGTGGACATTTCGATCGCCTTGACGCCTACGGTGAAAAAGGAAATATCTTCCCTTAAAAAATAGACAGAAACATTCTCAGAAACTTGTTGATGATATGTGTCCTCAACTAACAGAGTTGAACTTTGCCATTGATAGAGAGCAGTTTTGAAACACTCTTTTTGTGGAATCTGCAAGTGGATATTTGGATAGCTTGGAGGATTTCGTTGGAAGCGGGAATTCAAATAAAAGGTAGACAGCAGGATTCTTGAGAAACAAGTTTGTGATGTGTGTACTCAGCTAACAGAGTGGAACCTCTCTTTTGATGCAGCAGTTTGGAAACACTCTTTTTGTAGAAACTGTAAGTGGATATTTGGATAGCTCTAATGATTTCGTTGGAAACGGGAATATCATCATCTAAAATCTAGACAGAAGCCCTCTCAAAAACTACTTTGTGATATCTGCATTCAAGTCACAGAGTTGAACATTCGCTTTCTTAGAGCACGTTTGAAACACTCTTTTTGTAGTGTCTGGAAGTGGACATTTGGAGCGCTTTGATGCCTTTGGTGAAAAAGGGAATATCTTCCCATAAAAACTAGACAGAAGCATTCTCAGAAACTTGTTTGTGATGTGTGTACCCAGCTAAAGGAGTTGAACATTTCTATTGATACAGCAGTTTTGAAACACTCTTTTTGTGGAAAATGCAAGTGGATATTTGGATAGCTTGGAGGATTTCGTTGGAAGCGGGAATTCAAATAAAAGGTAGACAGCAGCATTCTCAGAAATTTCTTTCTGATGTCTGCATTCAACTCATAGAGTTGAAGATTCCCTTTCATAGAGCAGGTTTGAAACACTTTCTGGAGTATCTGGATGTGGACATTTGGAGCGCTTTGATGCCTACGGTGAAAAAGTAAATATCTTCCCATAAAAACGAGACAGAAGGATTCTCAGAAACAAGTTTGTGATGTGTGTACTCAGCTAACAGAGTGGAACCTTTCTTTTTACAGAGCAGCTTTGAAACTCTATTTTTGTGGATTCTGCAAATGGATATTTAGATTGCTTTAACGATATCGCTGGAAAAGGGAATATGGTCATACAAAATCTAGACAGAAGCATTCTCACAAACTTCTTTGTGATGTGTGTCCTCAACTAACAGAGTTGAACCTTTCTTTTGATGCAGCAGTTTGGAAACACTCTTTTTGTAGAAACTGTAAGTGGATATTTGGATAGCTCTAACGATTTCGTTGGAAACGGGAATATCGTCATCTAAAATCTAGACAGAAGCACTATTAGAAACTACTTGGTGATATCTGCATTCAAGTCAAAGAGTTGAACATTCCCTTACTTTGAGCACGTTTGAAACACTCTTTTGGAAGAATCTGGAAGTGGACATTTGGAGCGCTTTGATGCCTTTGGTGAAAAGGAAACGTCTTCCAATAAAAGCCAGACAGAAGCATTCTCAGAAACTTGTTTGTGATGTGTGTACTCAACTAAAAGAGTTGAACCTTTCTATTGATAGAGCAGTTTTGAAACACTCTTTTTGTGGATTCTGCAAGTGGATATTTGGATTGCTTTGAGGATTTCGTTGGAAGCGTGAATTCGTATAAAAACTAGACAGCAGCATTCCCAGAAATTTCTTTCGGATATTTCCATTCAACTCATAGAGATGAACATGGCCTTTCATAGAGCAGGTTTGAAACACTCTTTTTGTAGTTTGTGGAAGTGGACATTTCGATCGCCTTGACGCCTACGGTGAAAAAGGAAATATCTTCCCATAAAAAATAGACAGAAGCATTCTCAGAAACTTGTTGGTGATATGTGTCCTCAACTAACAGAGTTGAACTTTGCCATTGATAGAGAGCAGTTTTGAAACACTCTTTTTGTGGAATCTGCAAGTGGATATTTGGATAGCTTGGAGGATTTCGTTGGAAGCGGGAATTCAAATAAAAGGTAGACAGCAGCATTCTCAGAAATTTCTTTCTGATGTCTGCATTCAACTCATAGAGTTGAACATTCCCTTTCGTAGAGCAGGTTTGAAACACTCTTTCTGGAGTATCTGGATGTGGACATTTGGAGCGCTTTGATGCCTACGGTGAAAAAGTAAATATCTTCCCATAAAAACGAGACAGAAGGATTCTCAGAAACAAGTTTGTGATGTGTGTACTCAGCTAACAGAGTGGAACCTCTCTTTTGACGCAGCAGTTTGGAAACACTCTTTTTGTAGAAACTGTAAGTGGATATTTGGATAGCTCTAATGATTTCGTTGGAAACGGGAATATCATCATCTAAAATCTAGACAGAAGCGCTCTCAGAAACTACTTTGCGATATCTGCATTCAAGTCACAGAGTTGAACATTCGCTTTCTTACAGCACTTTTGAAACACACTTTTTGTAGTATCTGGAAGTGGACATTTGGAGCTCTTTGATGCCTTTGGCGAAAAAGGAAATGTCTTCCCATAAAAACTAGACAGAAGCATTCTCAGAAACTTGTTTGTGATGTGTGTACCCAGCTAAAGGAGTTGAACATTTCCATTGATAGAGCAGTTTTGAAACACTCTTTTTGTGGAAAATGCAAGTGGATATTTGGATAGCTTGGAGGATTTCGTTGGAAGCGGGAATTCAAATAAAAGGTAGACAGCAGGATTCTGAGAAACAAGTTTGTGATGTGTGTACTCAGCTAACAGAGTGGAACCTTTCTTTTTACAGAGCAGCTTTGAAACTCTATTTTTGTGGATTCTGCAAATTGATATTTAGATTGCTTTAACGATATCGTTGGAAAAGGGAATATCGTCATACAAAATCCTAGACAGAGAGCATTCTCACAAACTTCTTTGTGATGTGTGTCCTCAACTAACAGAGTTGAACCTTTCTTTTGATGCAGCAGTTTGGAAACACTGTTTTTGTAGCAACTGTAAGTGGATATTTGGATAGCTCTAACGATTTCGTTGGAAACGGGAATATCATCATCTAAAATCTAGACAGAGCACTATTAGAAACTACTTGGTGATATCAGCATTCAAGTCACAGAGTTGAACACTCCCTTACTTCGACCACGTTTGAAACACTCTTTTGGAAGAATCTGGAAGTGGACATTTGGAGCGCTTTGATGCCTTTGGTGAAAAGGAAACGTCTTCCAATAAAAGCCAGACAGAAGCATTCTCAGAAACTTGTTCGTGATGTGTGTACTCAACTAAAAGAGTTGAACCTTTCTATTGATAGCACAGTTTTGAAACACTCTTTTTGTGGATTCTGCAAGTGGATATTTGGATTGCTTTGAGGATTTCGTTGGAAGCGGGAATTCATATAAAAACTAGACAGCAGCATTCCCAGAAATTTCTTTCGGATATTTCCATTCAACTCATAGAGATGAACATGGCCTTTCATAGAGCAGGTTTGAAACACTCTTTTTGTAGTTTGTGGAAGTGGACATTTCGATCGCCTTGACGCCTACGGTGAAAAAGGAAATATCTTCCCATAAAAAATAGACAAAAGCATTCTCAGAAACTTGTTTGTGATGTGTGTACCTAGCTAAAGGAGTTGAACATTTCTATTGATAGAGCAGTGTTGAAACACTCTTTTTGTGGAAAATGCAAGTGGATATTTGGATAGCTTGGAGGATTTCGTTGGAAGCGGGAATTCAAATAAAAGGTAGACAGCAGGATTCTCAGAAACAAGTTTGTGATGTGTGTACTCAGCTAACAGAGTGGAACCTCTGTTTTGATGCAGCAGTTTGGAAACACTCTTTTTGTAGAAACTGTAAGTGGATATTTGGATAGCTATCATGATTTCGTTGGAAACGGGAATATCATCATCTAAAATCTAGACAGAAGCCCTCTCAGAAACTACTTTGTGATATCTGCATTCAACTCACAGAGTTGAACATTCGGTTTCTTAGAGCACGTTTGAAACACTCTTTTCGTAGTGTCTGGAAGTGGACATTTGGAGCGCTTTGATGCCTTTGGTGAAAAAGGGAATGTCTTCCCATAAAAACTAGACAGAAGCGTTCTCAGAAACTTGTTTGTGATGTGTGTACCCAGCTAAAGGAGTTGAACGTTTCTATTGATAGAGCAGTTTTGAAACACTCTTTTTGTGGAAAATGCAAGTGGATGTTTGGATAGCTAGGAGGATTTCGTTGGAAGCGGGAATTCAAATAAAAGGTAGACAGCAGCATTCTCAGAAATTTCTTTCTGATGTCTGCATTCAACTCATAGAGTTGAAGATTCCCTTTCATAGAGCAGGTTTGAAACACTCTTTCTGGAGTATCTGGATGTGGACATTTGGAGCGCTTTGATGCCTACGGTGGAAAAGTAAATATTTTCCCATAAAAACGAGACAGAAGGATTCTCAGAAACAAGTTTGTGATGTGTGTACTCAGCTAACAGAGTGGAACCTTTATTTTTACAGAGCAGCTTTGAAACTCTATTTTTGTGGATTCTGCAAATTGATATTTAGATTGCTTTAACGATATCGTTGGAAAAGGGAATATCGTCATACAAAATACTAGACAGAAGCATTCTCACAAACTTCTTTGTGATGTGTGTCCTCAACTAACAGAGTTGAACCTTTCTTTTGATGCAGCAATTTGGAAACACCCTTTTGGTAGAAACTGTAAGTGGATATTTGGATAGCTCTAACGATTTCGTTGGAAACGGGAATATCATCATCTAAAATCTAGACAGAAGCACTATTAGAAACTACTTGGTGATATCTGCATTCAAGTCACAGAGTAGAACATTCCCTTACTTCGAGCACGTTTGAAACACTCTTTTGGAAGAATCTGGAAGTGGACATTTGGAGCGCTTTGATGCCTTTGGTGAAAAGGAAACGTCTTCCAATAAAAGCCAGACAGAAGCCTTCTCAGAAACTTGTTCGTGATGTGTGTACTCAACTAAAAGAGTTGAACCTTTCTATTGATAGAGCAGTTTTGAAACACTCTTTTTGTGGATTCTGCAAGTGGATATTTCGATTGCTTTGAGGATTTCGTTGGAAGCGGGAATTCGTATAAACACTAGACAGCAGCATTCCCAGAAATTTCTTTCGGATATTTCCATTCAACTCATAGAGATGAACATGGCCTTTCATAGAGCAGGTTTGAAACACTCTTTTTGTAGTTTGTGGAAGTGGACATTTCGATCGCCTTGACGCCTACGCTGAAAAAGGAAATATCTTCCCATAAAAAATAGACAGAAGCATTCTCAGAAACTTGTTGGTGATATGTGTCCTCAACTAACAGAGTTGAACTTTGCCATTGATAGAGAGCAGTTTTGAAACACTCTTTTTGTGGAATCTGCAAGTGGATATTTGGATAGCTTGGAGGATTTCGTTGGAAGCGGGAATTCAAATAAAAGGTAGACAGCAGCATTCTCAGAAATTTCTTTCTGATGTCTGCATTCAACTCATAGAGTTGAACATTCCCTTTCATAGAGCAGGTTTGAAACACTCTTTCTGGAGTATCTGGATGTGGACATTTGGAGCGCTTTGATGCCTACGGTGAAAAAGTATAATCTTCCCATAAAAACGAGACAGAAGCATTCTCACAAACTTCTTTGTGATGTGTGTCCTCAACTAACAGAGTTGAACCTTTCTTTTGAAGCAGCAGTTTGGAAACACTCTTTTTGTAGAAACTGTAAGTGGATGTTTGGATAGCTCTAATGATTTCGTTGGAAACGGGAATATCATCATCTAAAATCTAGACAGAAGCCCTCTCAGAAACTACTTTGTGATATCTGCATTCAAGTCACAGAGTTGAACATTCGCTTTCTTAGAGCACGTTGGAAACACTCTTTTTGTAGTGTCTGGAAGTGGACATTTGGAGCGCTTTGATGCCTTTGGTGAAAAAGGGAATGTCTTCCCATAAAAACTAGACAGAAGCATTCTCAGAAACTTGTTTGTGATGTGTGTACCCAGCTAAAGGAGTTGAACATTTCTATTGATAGAGCAGTTTTGAAACACTCTTTTTGTGGAAAATGCAGGTGGATATTTGGATAGCTTGGAGGATTTCGTTGGAAGCGGGAATTCAAATAAAAGGTAGACAGCAGCATTCTCAGAAATTTCTTTCTGATGTCTGCATTCAACTCATAGAGTTGAAGATTCCCTTTCATAGAGCAGGTTTGAAACACTCGTTCTGGAGTATCTGGATGTGGACATTTGGAGCGCTTTGATGCCTACGGTGGAAAAGTAAATATCTTCCCATAAAAACGAGACAGAAGGATTCTGAGAAACAAGTTTGTGATGTGTGTACTCAGCTAACAGAGTGGAACCTTTCTTTTTACAGAGCAGCTTTGAAACTCTATTTTTGTGGATTCTGCAAATTGATATTTAGATTGCTTTAACGATATCGTTGGAAAAGGGAATATCGTCATACAAAATCTAGACAGAAGCATTCTCACAAACTTCTTTGTGACGTGTGTCCTCAACTAACAGAGTTGAACCTTTCTTTTGATGCAGCAGTTTGGAAACACTGTTTTTGTAGCAACTGTAAGTGGATATTTGGATAGCTCTAACGATTTCGTTGGAAACGGGAATATCATCATCTAAAATCTAGACAGAAGCAAGTATTAGAAACTACTTGGTGATATCTGCATTCAAGTCACAGAGTTGAACATTCCCTTACTTTGAGCACGTTTCAAACACTCTTTTGGAAGAATCTGGAAGTGGACATTTGGAGCGCTTTGATGATGCCTTTGGTGAAAAGGAAACGTCTTCTAATAAAAGCCAGACAGAAGCATTCTCAGTAAACTTGTTTGTGATGTGTGTACTCAACTAAAAGAGTTGAACCTTTCTATTGATAGAGCAGTTTTGAAACACTCTTTTTGTGGATTCTGCAAGTGGATATTTGGATTGCTTTGAGGATTTCGTTGGAAGCGGGAATTCATATAAAAACTAGACAGCAGCATTCCCAGAAATTT
Organism: Homo sapiens; assembly: GCF_000001405.40. Taxonomy (NCBI): domain Eukaryota; kingdom Metazoa; phylum Chordata; class Mammalia; order Primates; family Hominidae; genus Homo; species Homo sapiens. The sequence continues at coordinate 12,868,062 of NC_000021.9, forward strand.
CTTTCGGATATTTCCATTCAACTCATAGAGATGAACATCGCCTTTCATAGAGCAGGTTTGAAACACTCTTTTTGTAGTTTGTGGAAGTGGACATTTCGATCGCCGTGACGCCTACAGTGAAAAAGGAAATATCTTCCCATAAACAATAGACAGAAGCATTCTCAGAAACTTGTTGGTGATATGTGTCCTCAACTAACAGAGTTGAACTTTGCCATTGATAGAGAGCAGTTTTGAAACACTCTTTTTGTGGAATCTGCAAGTGGATATTTGGATAGCTTGGAGGATTTCGTTGGAAGCAGGAATTCAAATAAAAGGTAGACAGCAGCATTCTCAGAAATTTCTTTCTGATGTCTGCATTCAACTCATAGAGTTGAAGATTCCCTTTCATAGAGCAGGTTTGAAACACTCTTTCTGGAGTATCTGGATGTGGACATTTGGAGCGCTTGGATGCCTACGGTGAAAAAGTAAATATCTTCCCATAAAAACGAGACAGAAGGATTCTGAGAAACAAGTTTGTGATGTGTGTACTCAGCTAACAGAGTGGAACCTCTCTTTTGATGCAGCAGTTTGGAAACACTCTTTTTGTAGAAACTGTAAGTGGATATTTGGATAGCTCTAATGATTTCGTTGGAAACGGGAATATCATCATCTAAAATCTAGACAGAAGCCTTCTGAGAAACTACTTTGTGATATCTGCATTCAAGTCACAGAGTTGAACATTCGCTTTCTTAGAGCACGTTGGAAACACTCTTTTTGTAGTGTCTGGAAGTGGACATTTGGAGCGCTTTGATGCCTTTGGTGAAAAAGGGAATGTCTTCCCATAAAAACTAGACAGAAGCATTCTCAGAAACTTGTTTGTGATGTGTGTACCCAGCCAAAGGAGTTGAACATTTCTATTGATAGAGCAGTTTTGAAACACTCTTTTTGTGGAAAATGCAAGTGGATATTTGGATAGCTTGGAGGATTTCGTTGGAAGCGGGAATTCAAATAAAAGGTAGACAGCAGCATTCTCAGAAATTTCTTTCTGATGTCTGCATTCAACTCATAAAGTTGAAGATTCCCTTTCATAGAGCAGGTTTGAAACACTCTTTCTGGAGTATCTGGATGTGGACATTTGGAGCGCTTTGATGCCTACGGTGAAAAAGTAAATATCTTCCCATAAAAACGAGACAGACAAGGATTCTGAGAGACAAGTTTGTGATGTGTGTACTCAGCTAACAGAGTGGAACCTTTCTTTTTACAGAGCAGCTTTGAAACTCTATTTTTGTGGATTCTGCAAATGGATATTTAGATTGCTTTAACGATATCGTTGGAAAAGGGAATATCGTCATACAAAATCTGGACAGAAGCATTCTCACAAACTTCTTTGTGATGTGTGTCCTCAACTAACAGAGTTGAACCTTTCTTTTGATGCAGCAGTTTGGAAACACTCTTTTTGTAGAAACTGTAAGTGGATATTTGGATAGCTCTAACGATTTCGTTGGAAACGGGAATATCATCATCTAAAATCTAGACAGAAGCACTATTAGAAACTACTTGGTGATATCTGCGTTCAAGTCACAGAGTTGAACATTCCCTTACTTTGAGCACGTTTGAAACACTCTTTTGGAAGAATCTGGAAGTGGACATTTGGAGCGCTTTGATGCCTTTGGTGAAAAGGAAACGTCTTCCAATAAAAGCCAGACAGAAGCATTCTCAGAAACTTGTTCATGATGTGTGTACTCAACTAAAAGATTTGAACCTTTCTATTGATAGAGCAGTTTTGAAACACTCTTTTTGTGGATTCTGCAAGTGGATATTTGGATTGCTTTGAGGATTTCGTTGGAAGCGGTAATTCGTATAAAAACTAGACAGCAGCATTCCCAGAAATTTCTTTCGGATATTTCCATTCAACTCATAGAGATGAACATGGCCTTTCATAGAGCAGGTTTGAAACACTCTTTTTGTAGTTTGTGGAAGTGGACATTTCGATCGCCTTGACGCCTACGGTGAAAAAGGAAATATCTTCCCATAAAAAATAGACAGAAGCATTCTCAGAAACTTGTTGGTGATATGTGTCCTCAACTAACAGAGTTGAACTTTGCCATTGATAGAGAGCAGTTTTGAAACACTCTTTTTGTGGAATCTGCAAGTGTATATTTGGATAGCATGGAGGATTTCGTTGGAAGCGGGAATTCAAATAAAAGGTAGACAGCAACATTCTCAGAAATTTCTTTCTGATGTCTGCATTCAACTCATAGAGTTGAAGATTCCCTTTCATAGAGCAGGTTTGAAACACTCTTTCTGGAGTATCTGGATGTGGACATTTGGAGCGCTTTGATGCCTACGGTGAAAAAGTAAATATCTTCCCATAAAAACGAGACAGAAGGATTCTGAGAAACAAGTTTGTGATGTGTGTACTCAGCTAACAGAGTGGAACCTCTGTTTTGATGCAGCAGTTTGGAAACACTCTTTTTGTAGAAACTGTAAGTGGATATTTGAATAGCTCTAATGATTTCGTTGGAAACGGGAATATCATCATCTAAAATCTAGACAGAAAGCCCTCTCAGCAAACTACTTTGTGATATCTGCATTCAAGTCACAGAGTTGAACATTCGCTTTCTTAGAGCACGTTTGAAACACTCTTTTTGTAGTGTCTGGAAGTGGACATTTGGAGCGCTTTGATGCCTTTGGTGAAAAAGGGAACGTCTTCCCATAAAAACTAGACAGAAGCATTCTCAGAAACTTGTTTGTGATGTGTGTACCCAGCTAAAGGAGTTGAACATTTCTATTGATAGAGCAGTTTTGAAACACTCTTTTTGTGGAAAATGCAAGTGGATATTTGGATAGCTTGGAGGATTTCGTTGGAAGCGGGAATTCAAATAAAAGGTAGACAGCAGCATTCTCAGAAATTTCTTTCTGATGTCTGCATTCAACTCATAGAGTTGAAGATTCCCTTTCATAGAGCAGGTTTGAAACACTCGTTCTGGAGCATCTGGATGTGGACATTTGGAGCGCTTTGATGCCTACGGTGGAAAAGTAAATATCTTCCCATAAAAACGAGACAGAAGGATTCTCAGAATCAAGTTTGTGATGTGTGTACTCAGCTAACAGAGTGGAACCTTTCTTTTTACAGAGCAGCTTTGAAACTCTATTTTTGTGGATTCTGCAAATTGATATTTAGATTGCTTTAACGATATCGTTGGAAAAGGGAATATCGTCATACAAAATCTAGACAGAAGCATTCTCACAAACTTCTTTGTGGTGTGTGTCCTCAACTAACAGAGTTGAACCTTTCTTTTGATGCAGCAATTTGGAAACACCCTTTTTGTAGAAACTGTAACTGGATATTTGCTTAGCTCTAACGATTTCGTTGGAAACGGGAATATCATCATCTAAAATCTAGACAGAAGCACTATTAGAAACTACTTGGTGATATCTGCATTCAAGTCACAGAGTTGAACATTCCCTTACTTTGAGCACGTTTGAAACACTCTTTTGGAAGAATCTGGAAGTGGACATTTGTAGCGCTTTGATGATGCCTTTGGTGAAAAGAAAACGTCTTCCAATAAAAGCCAGACAGAAGCATTCTCAGAAACTTGTTCGTGATGTGTGTACTCAACTAAAAGAGATGAACCTTTCTATTGATAGAGCAGTTTTGAAACACTCTTTTTGTGGATTCTGCAAGTGGATATTTGGATTGCTTTGAGGATTTCGTTGGAAGCGGGAATTCGTATAAACACTAGACAGCAGCATTCCCAGAAATTTCTTTCGGATATTTCCATTCAACTCATAGAGATGAACATGGCCTTTCATAGAGCAGGTTTGAAACACTCTTTTTGTAGTTTGTGGAAGTGGACATTTCGATCGCCTTGACGCCTACGGTGAAAAAGGAAATATCTTCCCATAAAAAATAGACAGAAGCATTCTCAGAAACTTGTTGGTGATATGTGTCCTCAACTAACAGAGTTGAACTTTGCCATTGATAGAGAGCAGTTTTGAAACACTCTTTTTGTGGAATCTGCAAGTGGATATTTGGATAGCTTGGAGGATTTCGTTGGAAGCGGGAATTCAAATAAAAGGTAGACAGCAGCATTCTCAGAAATTTCTTTCTGATGTCTGCATTCAACTCATAGAGTTGAACATTCCCTTTCATAGAGCAGGTTTGAAACACTCTTTCTGGAGTATCTGGATGTGGACATTTGGAGCGCTTTGATGCCTACGATGAAAAAGTAAATATCTTCCCATAAAAACGAGACAGAAGGATTCTGAGAAACAAGTTTGTGATGTGTGTACTCAGCTAACAGAGTGGAACCTCTCTTTTGATGCAGCAGTTTGGAAACACTCTTTTTGTAGAAACTGTAAGTGGATATTTGGATAGCTCTAATGATTTCGTTGGAAACGGGAATATCATCATCTAAAATCTAGACAGAAGCCCTCTCAGAAACTACTTTGTGATATCTGCATTCAAGTCACAGCAGTTGAACATTCGCTTTCTTAGAGCACGTTGGAAACACTCTTTTTGTAGTGTCTGGAAGTGGACATTTGGAGCGCTTTGATGCCTTTGGTGAAAAAGGGAATGTCTTCCCATAAAAACTAGACAGAAGCATTCTCAGAAACTTGTTTGTGATGTGTGTACCCAGCCAAAGGAGTTGAACATTTCTATTGATAGAGCAGTTTTGAAACACTCTTTTTGTGGAAAATGCAGGTGGATATTTGGATAGCTTGGAGGATTTCGTTGGAAGCGGGAATTCAAATAAAAGTTAGACAGCAGCATTCTCAGAAATTTCTTTCTTATGTCTGCATTCAACTCATAGAGTTGAAGATTCCCTTTCATAGAGCAGGTTTGAAACACTCGTTCTGGAGTATCTGGATGTGGACATTTGGAGCGCTTTGATGTCTACGGTGGAAAAGTAAATATCTTCCCATAAAAACGAGACAGACAAGGATTCTCAGAAACAAGTTTGTGATGTGTGTACTCAGCTAACAGAGTGGAACCTTTCTTTTTACAGAGCAGCTTTGAAACTCTATTTTTGTGGATTCTGCAAATTGATATTTAGATTGCTTTAACGATATCGTTGGAAAAGGGAATATCGTCATACAAAATCTAGACAGAAGCATTCTCACAAACTTCTTTGTGGTGTGTGTCCTCAACTAACCGAGTTGAACCTTTCTTTTGATGCAGCAATTTGGAAACACCCTTTTTGTAGAAACTGTAACTGGATATTTGCTTAGCTCTAACGATTTCGTTGGAAACGGGAATATCATCATCTAAAATCTAGACAGATAAGCACTATTAGAAACTACTTGGTGATATCTGCATTCAAGTCACAGAGTAGAACATTCCCTTACTTCGAGCACGTTTGAAACACTCCTTTGGAAGAATCTGGAAGTGGACATTTGGAGCGCTTTGATGCCTTTGGTGAAAAGGAAACGTCTTCCAATAAAAGCCAGACAGAAGCATTCTCAGAAACTTGTTGGTGATGTGTGTACTCAACTAAAAGAGTTGAACCTTTCTATTGATAGAGCAGTTTTGAAACACTCTTTTTGTGGATTCTGCAAGTGGATATTTGGATTGCTTTGAGGATTTCGTTGGAAGCGGGAATTCATATAAAAACTAGACAGCAGCATTCCCAGAAATTTCTTTCGGATATTTCCATTCAACTCATAGAGATGAACATGGCCTTTCATAGAGCAGGTTTGAAACACTCTTTTTGTAGTTTGTGGAAGTGGACATTTCGATCGCCTTGACGCCTACGCTGAAAAAGGAATTATCTTCCCATAAAAAATAGACAGAAGCATTCTCAGAAACTTGTTGGTGATATGTGTCCTCAACTAACAGAGTTGAACTTTGCCATTGATAGAGAGCAGTTTTGAAACACTCTTGTTGTGGAAAATGCAGGTGGATATTTGGATAGCTTGGAGGATTTCGTTGGAAGCGGGAATTCAAATAAAAGGTAGACAGCAGCATTCTCAGAAATTTCTTTCTGATGTCTGCATTCAACTCATAGAGTTGAACATTCCCTTTCATAGAGCAGGTTTGAAACACTCTTTCTGGAGTATCTGGATGTGGACATTTGGAGCGCTTTGATGCCTACGGTGAAAAAGTAAATATCTTCCCATAAAAACGAGACAGAAGGATTCTGAGAAACTAGTTTGTGATGTGTGTACTCAGCTAACAGAGTGGAACCTCTGTTTTGATGCAGCAGTTTGGAAACACTCTTTTTGTAGAAACTGTAAGTGGATATTTGGATAGCTCTAATGATTTCGTTGGAAACGGGAATATCATCATCTAAAATCTAGACAGAAGCCCTCTCAGAAACTACTTTGTGATATCTGCATGCAAGTCACAGAGTTGAACATTCGCTTTCTTAGAGCACGTTGGAAACACTCTTTTTGTAGTGTCTGGAAGTGGACATTTGGAGCGCTTTGATGCCTTTGGTGAAAAAGGGAATGGTCTTCCCATAAAAACTAGACAGAAGCATTCTCAGAAACTTGTTTGTGATGTGTGTACCCAGCTAAAGGAGTTGAACATTTCTATTGATAGAGCAGTTTTGAAACACTCTTTTTGTGGAAAATGCAAGTGGATATTTGGATAGCTTGGAGGATTTCGTTGGAAGCGGGAATTCAAATAAAAGGTAGACAGGAGCATTCTCAGAAATTTCTTTGTGATGTCTGCATTCAACTCATAGAGTTGAAGATTCCCTTTCATAGAGCAGGTTTGAAACACTCTTTCTGGAGTATCTGGATGTGGACATTTGGAGCGCTTTGATGCCTACGGTGGAAAAGTAAATATCTTCCCATAAAAACGAGACAGAAGGATTCTGAGAGACAAGTATGTGATGTGTGTACTCAGCTAACAGAGTGGAACCTTTCTTTTTACAGAGCAGCTTTGAAACTCTATTTTTGTGGATTCTGCAAATGGATATTTAGATTGCTTTAATGATATCGTTGGAAAAGGGAATATCGTCATACAAAATCTGGACAGAAGCATTCTCACAAACTTCTTTGTGATGTGTGTCCTCAACTAACAGAGTTGAACCTTTCTTTTGATGCAGCAGTTTGGAAACACTCTTTTTGTAGAAACTGTAAGTGGATAATTGGATAGCTGTAACGATTTCGTTGGAAACGGGAATATCGTCATCTAAAATTTAGACAGAAGCACTATTAGAAACTACTTGGTGATATCTGCATTCAAGTCACAGAGTTGAACATTCCCTTACTTTGAGCACGTTTGAAACACTCTTTTGGAAGAATCTGGAAGTGGACATTTGGAGCGCTTTGATGCCTTTGGTGAAAAGGAAACGTCTTCCAATAAAAGCCAGACAGAAGCATTCTCAGAAACTTGTTTGTGATGTGTGTACTCAACTAAAAGAGTTGAACCTTTCTATTGATAGAGCAGTTTTGAAACACTCTTTTTGTGGATTCTGCAAGTGGATATTTGGATTGCTTTGAGGATTTCGTTGGAAGCGGGAATTCGTATAAAAACTAGACAGCAGCATTCCCAGAAATTTCTTTCGGATATTTCCATTCGACTCATAGAGATGAACATGGCCTTTCATAGAGCAGGTTTGAAACACTCTTTTTGTAGTTTGTGGAAGTGGACATTTCGATCGCCTTGACGCCTACGGTGAAAAAGGAAATATCTTCCCATAAAAAATAGACAGAAGCATTCTCAGAAACTTGTTGGTGATATGTGTCCTCAACTAACAGAGTTGAACTTTGCCATTGATAGAGAGCAGTTTTGAAACACTCTTTTTGTGGAATCTGCAAGTGGATATTTGGATAGCTTGGAGGATTTCGTTGGAAGCGGGAATTCAAATAAAAGGTAGACAGCAGCATTCTCAGAAATTTCTTTCTGATGTCTGCATTCAACTCATAGAGTTGAAGATTCCGTTTCATAGAGCAGGTTTGAAACACTCTTTCTGGAGTATCTGGATGTGGACATTTGGAGCGCTTTGATGCCTACGGTGAAAAAGTAAATATCTTCCCATAAAAACGAGACAGAAGGATTCTGAGAAACAAGTTTGTGCTGTGTGTACTCAGCTAACAGAGTGGAACCTCTCTTTTGATGCAGCAGTTTGGAAACACTCTTTTTGTAGAAACTGTAAGTGGATATTTGGATAGCTCTAATGATTTCGTTGGAAACGGGAATATCATCATCTAAAATCTAGACAGAAGCCCTCTCAGAAAACTACTCTGTGATATCTGCATTCAAGTCACAGAGTTGAACATTCGTTTTCTTAGAGCACGTTTGAAACACTCTTTTTGTAGTGTCTGGAAGTGGACATTTGGAGCGCTTTGATGCCTTTGGTGAAAAAGGGAATGTCTTCCCATAAAAACTAGACAGAAGCATGCTCAGAAACTTGTTTGTGATGTGTGTACCCAGCCAAAGGAGTTGAACATTTCTATTGATAGAGCAGTTTTGAAACACTCTTTTTGTGGAAAATGCAGGTGGATATTTGGATAGCTTGGAGGATTTCGTTGGAAGCGGGAATTCAAATAAAAGGTAGACAGCAGGATTCTGAGAAACAAGTTTGTGATGTGTGTACTCAGCTAACAGAGTGGAACCTTTCTTTTTACAGAGCAGCTTTGAAACTCTATTTTTGTGGATTCTGCAAATTGATATTTAGATTGCTTTAACGATATCGTTGGAAAAGGGAATATCGTCATACAAAATCTAGACAGAAGCATTCTCACAAACTTCTTTGTGATGTGTGTCCTCAACTAACAGAGTTGAACCTTTCTTTTGATGCAGCAATTTGGAAACACCCTTTTGGTAGAAACTAACTGGATATTTGGATAGCTCTAACGATTTCGTTGGAAACGGGAATATCATCATCAAAATGTAGACAGAAGCACTATTAGAAACTACTTGGTGATATCTGCATTCAAGTCACAGCAGTTGAACATTCCCTTACTTTGAGCACGTTTCAAACACTCTTTTGGAAGAATCTGGAAGTGGACATTTGGAGCGCTTTGATGCCTTTGGTGAAAAGGAAACGTCTTCCAATAAAAGCCAGACAGAAGCATTCTCAGAAACTTGTTTGTGATGTGTGTACTCAACTAAAAGAGTTGAACCTTTCTATTGATAGAGCAGTTTTGAAACACTCTTTTTGTGGATTCTGCAAGTGGATATTTGGATTGCTTTGAGGATTTCGTTGGAAGCGGGAATTCGTATAAAAACTAGACAGCAGCATTCCCAGAAATTTCTTTCGGATATTTCCATTCGACTCATAGAGATGAACATGGCCTTTCATAGAGCAGGTTTGAAACACTCTTTTTGTAGTTTGTGGAAGTGGACATTTCGATTGCCTTGACGCCTACGGTGAAAAAGGATATATCTTCCCATAAAAAATAGACAGAAGCATTCTCAGAAACTTGTTGGTGATATGTGTCCTCAACTAACAGAGTTGAACTTTGCCATTGATAGAGAGCAGTTTTGAAACACTATTTTTGTGGAATCTGCAAGTGGATATTTGGATAGCTTGGAGGATTTCGTTGGAAGCGGGAATTCAAATAAAAGGTAGACAGCAGGACTCTGAGAAACAAGTTTGTGATGTGTGTACTCAGCTAACAGAGTGGAACCTCTCTTTTGATGCAGCAGTTTGGAAACACTCTTTTTGTAGAAACTGTAAGTGGATATTTGGATAGCTCTAATGATTTCGTTGGAAACGGGAATATCATCATCTAAAATCTAGACAGAAGCACTCTCAGAAACCACTTTGTGATATCTGCATTCAAGTCACAGAGTTGAACATTCGCTTTCTTAGAGCACGTTTGAAACACTCTTTTTGTAGTGTCTGGAAGTGGACATTTGGAGCGCTTTGATGCCTTTGGTGAAAAAGGGAACGTCTTCCCATAAAAACTAGACAGAAGCATTCTCAGAAACTTGTTTGTGATGTGTGTACCCAGCCAAAGGAGTTGAACATTTCTATTGATAGAGCAGTTTTGAAACACTCTTGTTGTGGAAAATGCAGGTGGATATTTGGATAGCTTGGAGGATTTCGTTGGAAGCGGGAATTCAAATAAAAGGTAGACAGCAGCATTCTCAGAAATTTCTTTCTGATGTCTGCATTCAACTCATAGAGTTGAACATTCCCTTTCATAGAGCAGGTTTGAAACACTCTTTCTGGAGTATCTGGATGTGGACATTTGGAGCGCTTTGATGCCTACGGTGGAAAAGTAAATATCTTCCCATAAAAACGAGACAGAAGGATTCTCAGAAACAAGTTTGTAATGTGTGTACTCAGCTAACAGAGTGGAACCTTTCTTTTTACAGAGCAGCTTTGAAACTCTATTGTTGTGGATTCTGCAAATTGATATTTAGATTGCTTTAACGATATCGTTGGAAAAGGGAATACCGTCATACAAAATCTAGACAGAAGCATTCTCACAAACTTCTTTGTGATGTGTGTCCTCAACTAACAGAGTTGAACCTTTCTTTTGATGCAGCAATTTGGAAACACCCTTTTGGTAGAAACTGTAACTGGATATTTGGATAGCTCTAACGATTTCGTTGGAAACGGGAATATCATCATCTAAAATCTAGACAGAAGCACTATTAGAAACTACTTGGTGATATCTGCATTCAAGTCACAGAGTTGAACATTCCCTTACTTTGAGCACGTTTGAAACACTCTTTTGGAAGAATCTGGAAGTGGACATTTGGAGCGCTTTGATGCCTTTGGTGAAAAGGAAACGTCTTCCAATAAAAGCCCGACAGAAGCATTCTCAGAAACTTGTTTGTGATGTGTGTACTCAACTAAAAGAGTTGAACCTTTCTATTGATAGAGCAGTTTTGAAACACTCTTTTTGTGGATTCTGCAAGTGGATATTTGGATTGCTTTGAGGATTTCGTTGGAAGCGGGAATTCGTATAAAAACTAGACAGCAGCATTACCAGAAATTTCTTTCGGATATTTCCATTCAACTCATAGAGAAGAACATGACCTTTCATAGAGCAGGTTTGAAACACTCTTTTTGTAGTTTGTGGAAGTGGACATTTCGATCACCTTGACGCCTACGGTGAAAAAGGAAATATCTTCCCATAAAAAATAGACAGAAGCATTCTCAGAAACTTGTTGGTGATATGTGTCCTCAACTAACAGAGTTGAACTTTGCCATTGATAGAGAGCAGTTTTGAAACACTCTTTTTGTGGAATCTGCAAGTGGATATTTGGATAGCTTGGAGGATTTCGTTGGAAGTGGGAATTCAAATAAAAGGTAGACAGCAGCATTCTCAGAAATTTCTTTCTGATGTCTGCATTCAACTCATAGAGTTGAAGATTCCCTTTCATAGAGCAGGTTTGAAACACTCTTTCTGGAGTATCTGGATGTGGACATTTGGAGCGCTTTGAGGCCTATGGTGAGAAAGTAAATATCTTCCCATAAAAACGAGACAGAAGGATTCTGAGAAACTAGTTTGTGATGTGTGTACTCAGCTAACAGAGTGGAACCTCTCTTTTGATGCAGCAGTTTGGAAACACTCTTTTTGTAGAAACTGTAAGTGGATATTTGGATAGCTCTAATGATTTCGTTGGAAACGGGAATATCATCATCTAAAATCTAGACAGAAGCCCTCTCAGAAACTACTTTGTGATATCTGCATTCAAGTCACAGAGTTGAACATTCGCTTTCTTAGAGCACGTTTGAAACACTCTTTTTGTAGTGTCTGGAAGTGGACATTTGGAGCGCTTTGATGCCTTTGGTGAAAAAGGGAATGTCTTCCCATAAAAACTAGACAGAAGCATTCTCAGAAACTTGTTTGTGATGTGTGTACCCAGCTAAAGGAGTTGAACATTTCTATTGATAGAGCAGTTTTGAAACACTCTTTTTGTGGAAAATGCAAGTGGATATTTGGATAGCTTGGAGGATTTCGTTGGAAGCGTGAATTCAAATAAAAGGTAGACAGCAGCATTCTCAGAAATTTCTTTCTGATGTCTGCATTCAACTCATAGAGTTGAACATTCCCTTTCATAGAGCAGGTTTGAAATACTCTTTCTGTAGTATCTGGATGTGGACATTTGGAGCGCTTTGATGCCTACGGTGAAAAAGTAAATATCTTCCCATAAAAACGAGACAGAAGGATTCTGAGAAACAAGTTTGTGATGTGTGTACTCAGCTAACAGAGTGGAACCTTTCTTTTCACAGAGCAGCTTTGAAACTCTATTTTTGTGGATTCTGCAAATGGATATTTAGATTGCTTTAACGATATCGTTGGAAAAGGGAATATCGTCATACAAAATCTAGACAGAAGCATTCTCACAAACTTTTTTGTGATGTGTGTCCTCAACTAACAGAGTTGAATCTTTCTTTTGATGCAGCAGTTTGGAAACACCCTTTTGGTAGAAACTGTAAGTGGATATTTGGATAGCTCTAACGATTTCGTTGGAAACGGGAATATCATCATCTAAAATCTAGACAGAAGCACTATTAGAAACTACTTGGTGATATCTGCATTCAAGTCACAGAGTTGAACATTCCCTTACTTTGAGCACGTTTGAAACACTCTTTTGGAAGAATCTGGAAGTGGACATTTGGAGCGCTTTGATGCCTTTGGTGAAAAGGAAACGTCTTCCAATAAAAGCCAGACAGAAGCATTCTCAGAAACTTGTTCGTGATGTGTGTACTCAACTAAAAGAGTTGAACCTTTCTATTGATAGAGCAGTTTAGAAACACTCTTTTTGTGGATTCTGCAAGTGGATATTTGGATTGCTTTGAGGATTTCGTTGGAAGCGGGAATTCGTATAAACACTAGACAGCAGCATTCCCAGAAATTTCTTTCGGATATTTCCATTCAACTCATAGAGATGAACATGGCCTTTCATAGAGCAGGTTTGAAACACTCTTTTTGTATTTTGTGGAAGTGGACATTTCGATCGCCTTGACGCCTACGGTGAAAAAGGAAATATCTTCCCATAAAAAATAGACAGAAGCATTCTCAGAAACTTGTTGGTGATATGTGTCCTGAACTAACAGAGTTGAACTTTGCCATTGATAGAGAGCAGTTTTGAAACACTCTTTTTGTGGAATCTGCAAGTGGATATTTGGATAGTTTGGAGGATTTCGTTGGAAGCGGGAATTCAAATAAAAGGTAGACAGCAGCATTCTCAGAAATTTCTTTCTGATGTCTGCATTCAACTCATAGAGTTGAAGATTCCCTTTCATAGAGCAGGTTTGAAACACTCTTTCTGGAGTATCTGGATGTGGACATTTGGAGCGCTTTGATGCCTACGGTGAGAAAGTAAATATCTTCCCATAAAAACGAGACAGAAGGATTCTGAGAAACTAGTTTGTGATGTGTGTACTCAGCTAACAGAGTGGAACCTCTCTTTTGATGCAGCAGTTTGGAAACACTCTTTTTGTAGAAACTGTAAGTGGATATTTGTATAGCTCTAATGATTTCGTTGGAAACGGGAATATCATCATCTAAAATCTAGACAGAAGCACTCTCAGAAACTACTTTGTGATATCTGCATTCAAGTCACAGAGTTGAACATTCGCTTTCTTAGAGCACGTTTGAAACACTCTTTTTGTAGTGTCTGGAAGTGGACATTTGGAGCGCTTTGATGGCTTTGGTGAAAAAGGGAACGTCTTCCCATAAAAACTAGACAGAAGCATTCTCAGAAACTTGTTTGTGATGTGTGTACCCAGCCAAAGGAGTTGAACATTTCTATTGATAGAGCAGTTTTGAAACACTCTTTTTGTGGAAAATGCAGGTGGATATTTGGATAGCTTGGAGGATTTCGTTGGAAGCGGGAATTCTAATAAAAGGTAGACAGCAGCATTCTCAGAAATTTCTTTCTGATGTCTGCATTCAACTCATAGAGTTGAAGATTCCCTTTCATAGAGCAGGTTTGAAACACTCTTTCTGGAGTATCTGGATGTGGACATTTGGAGCGCTTTGATGCCTACAGTGAAAAAGTAAATATCTTCCCATAAAAACGAGACAGAAGGATTCTCAGAAACAAGTTTGTGATGTGTGTACTCAGCTAACAGAGTGGAACCTTTCTTTTTACAGAGCAGCTTTGAAACTCTATTTTTGTGGATTCTGCAAATGGATATTTAGATTGCTTTAACGATATCGTTGGAAAAGGGAATATCGTCATACAAAATCTAGACAGAAGCATTCTCACAAACTTCTTTGTGATGTGTGTCCTCAACTAACAGAGTTGAACTTTTCTTTTGATGCAGCAATTTGGAAACACCCTTTTGGTAGAAACTGTAACTGGATATTTGGATAGCTCTAGCGATTTCGTTGGAAACGGGAATATCATCATCTAAAATGTAGACAGAAGCACTATTAGAAACTACTTGGTGATATCTGCATTCAAGTCACAGAGTTGAAATTCCCTTACTTTGAGCACGTTTGAATCACTCTTTTGGAAGAATCTGGAAGTGGACATTTGGAGCGCTTTGATGCCTTTGGTGAAAAGGAAACGTCTTCCAATAAAAGCCAGACAGAAGCATTCTCAGAAACTTGTTTGTGATGTGTGAACTCAACTAAAAGAGTTGAACCTTTCTATTGATAGAGCAGTTTTGAAACACTCTTTTTGTGGATTCTGCAAGTGGATATTTGGATTGCTTTGAGGATTTCGTTGGAAGCGGGAATTCGTATAAAAACTAGACAGCAGCATTCCCAGAAATTTCTTTCGGATATTTCCATTCAACTCATAGAGATGAACATGGCCTTTCATAGAGCAGGTTTGAAGCACTCCTTTTGTAGTTTGTGGAAGTGGACATTTCGATCGCCTTGACGCCTACGGTGAAAAAGGAAATATCTTCCCATAAAAAATAGACAGAAGCATTCTCAGACAAACCTTTGTTGGTGATATGTGTCCTCAACTAACAGAGTTGAACTTTGCCATTGATAGAGAGCAGTTTTGAAACACTCTTTTTGTGGAATCTGCAAGTGGATATTTGGATAGCTTGGAGGATTTCGTTGGAAGCGGGAATTCAAATAAAAGGTAGACAGCAGCATTCTCAGAAATTTCTTTCTGATGTCTGCATTCAACTCATAGAGTTGAAGATTCCCTTTCATAGAGCAGGTTTGAAACACTCGTTCTGGAGTATCTGGATGTGGACATTTGGAGCGCTTTGATGCCTACGGTGGAAAAGTAAATATCTTCCCATAAAAAACGAGACAGAAGGATTCTGAGAAACAAGTTTGTGATGTGTGTACTCAGCTAACAGAGTGGAACCTCTCTTTTGATGCAGCAGTTTGGAAACTCTCTTTTTGTAGAAACTGTAAGTGGATATTTGGATAGCTCTAATGATTTCGTTGGAAACGGGAATATCATCATCTAAAATCTAGACAGAAGCCCTCTCAGAAACTACTTTGTGATATCTGCATTCAACTCACAGAGTTGAACATTCGCTTTCTTAGAGCACGTTTGAAACACTCTTTTTGTAGTGTCTGGAAGTGGACATTTGGAGCGCTTTGATGCCTTTGGTGAAAAAGGGAATGTCTTCCCATAAAAACTAGACAGAAGCATTCTCAGAAACTTGTTTGTGATGTGTGTACCCAGCTAAAGGAGTTGAACATTTCTATTGATAGAGCAGTTTTGAAACACTCTTTTTGTGGAAAATGCAAGTGGATATTTGGATAGCTTGGAGGATTTCGTTGGAAGCGGGAATTCAAATAAAAGGTAGACAGCAGCATTCTCAGAAATTTCTTTCTGATGTCTGCATTCAACTCATAGAGTTGAACATTCCCTTTCATAGGACAGGTTTGAAATACTCTTTCTGTAGTATCTGGATGTGGACATGTGGAGCGCTTTGATGCCTACAGTGAAAAAGTAAATATCTTCCCATAAAAACGAGACAGAAGGATTCTCAGAAACAAGTTTGTGATGTGTGTACTCAGCTAACAGAGTGGAACCTTTCTTTTTACAGAGCAGCTTTGAAACTCTATTTTTGTGGATTCTGCAAATTGATATTTAGATTGCTTTAACGATATCGTTGGAAAAGGGAATATCGTCATACAAAATCTGGACAGAAGCATTCTCACAAACAGCTTTGTGACGTGTGTCCTCAACTAACAGAGTTGAACCTTTCTTTTGATGCAGCAGTTTGGAAACACCCTTTTGGTAGAAACTGTAAGTGGATATTTGGATAGCTCTAACGATTTCGTTGGAAACGGGAATATCATCATCTAAAATCTAGACAGAAGCACTATTAGAAACTACTTGGTGATATCTGCATTCAAGTCACAGAGTTGAACATTCCCTTACTTTGAGCACGTTTCAAACACTCTTTTGGAAGAATCTGGAAGTGGACATTTGGAGCGCTTTGATGCCTTTGGTGAAAAGGAAACGTCTTCCAATAAAAGCCAGACAGAAGCATTCTCAGAAACTTGTTGGTGATGTGTGTACTCAACTAAAAGAGTTGAACCTTTCTATTGATAGAGCAGTTTTGAAACACTCTTTTTGTGGATTCTGCAAGTGGATATTTGGATTGCTTTGAGGATTTCGTTGGAAGCGGGAATTCGTATAAACACTAGACAGCAGCATTCCCAGAAATTTCTTTCGGATATTTCCATTCAACTCATAGAGATGAACATGGCCTTTCATAGAGCAGGTTTCAAACACTCTTTTTGTAGTTTGTGGAAGTGGACATTTCGATCGCCTTGACGCCTACGGTGAAAAAGGAAATATCTTCCCATAAAAAATAGACAGAAGCATCCTCAGAAACTTGTTGCTGATATGTGTCCTCAACTAACAGAGTTGAACTTTGCCATTGATAGAGAGCAGTTTTGAAACACTCTTTTTGTGGAATCTGCAAGTGGATATTTGGATAGCTTGGAGGATTTCGTTGGAAGCGGGAATTCAAATAAAAGGTAGACAGCAGCATTCTCAGAAATTACTTTCTGATGTCTGCATTCAACTCATTGAGTTGAAGATTCCCTTTCATAGAGCAGGTTTGAAACACTCTTTCTGTAGTATCTGGATGTGGTCATTTGGAGCGCTTTGATACCTACGGTGAAAAAGTAAATATCTTCCCATGAAAACTAGACAGAAGGATTCTGAGAAACAAGTTTGTGATGTGTGTACTCAGCTAACAGAGTGGAACCTCTCTTTTGATGCAGCAGTTTGGAAACACTCTTTTTGTAGAAACTGTAAGTGGATATTTGGATAGCTCTAATGATTTCGTTGGAAACGGGAATATCATCATCTAAAATCTAGACAGAAGCCCTCTCAGAAACTACTTGGTGATATCTGCATTCAAGTCACAGAGTTGAACATTCGCTTTCTTAGAGCACGTTTGAAACACTCTTTTTGTAGTGTCTGGAAGTGGACATTTGGAGCGCTTTGATGCCTTTGGTGAAAAAGGGAATGTCTTCCCACAAAAACTAGACAGAAGCATTCTCAGAAACTTGTTTGTGATGTGTGCACCCAGCTAAAGGAGTTGAACATTTCTATTGATAGAGCAGTTTTGAAGCACTCTTTTTGTGGAAAATGCAAGTGGATATTTGGATAGCTTGGAGGATTTCGTTGGAAGCGGGAGTTCAAATAAAAGGTAGACAGCAGCATTCTCAGAAATTTCTTTCTGATGTCTGCATTCAACTCATAGAGTTGAAGATTCCCTTTCATAGAGCAGGTTTGAAACACTCTTTCTGGAGTATCTGGATGTGGACATTTGGAGCGCTTTGATGCCTACGGTGAAAAAGTAAATATCTTCCCATAAAAACGAGACAGAAGGATTCTCAGAAACAAGTTTGTGATGTGTGTACTCAGCTAACAGAGTGGAACCTTTCTTTTTTGCAGAGCAGCTTTGAAACTCTATTTTTGTGGATTCTGCAAATTGATATTTAGATTGCTTTAACGATATCGTTGGAAAAGGGAATATCGTCATACAAAATCTAGACAGAAGCATTCTCACAAACTTCTTTGTGACGTGTGTCCTCAACTAACAGAGTTGAACCTTTCTTTTGATGCAGCAATTTGGAAACACCCTTTTGGTAGAAACTGTAACTGGATATTTGGATAGCTCTAGCGATTTCGTTGGAAACGGGAATATCATCATCTAAAATCTAGACAGAAGCACTATTAGAAACTACTTGGTGATATCTGCATTCAAGTCACAGAGTTGAACATTCCCTTACTATGAGCACGTTTGAAACACTCTTTTGGTAGAATCTGGAAGTGGACATTTGGAGCACTTTGATGCCTTTGGTGAAAAGGAAACGTCTTCCAATAAAAGCCAGACAGAAGCATTCTCAGAAACTTGTTCGTGATGTGTGTACTCAACTAAAAGAGTTGAACCTTTCTATTGATAGAGCAGTTTTGAAACACTCTTTTTGTGGATTCTGCAAGTGGATATTTGGATTGCTTTGAGGATTTCGTTGGAAGCGGGAATTCGTATAAACACTAGACAGCAGCATTCCCAGAAATTTCTTTCGGATATTTCCATTCAACTCATAGAGATGAACATGGCCTTTCATAGAGCAGGTTTGAAACACTCTTTTTGTAGTTTGTGGAAGTGGACATTTCGGATCGCCTTGACGCCTACGCTGAAAAAGGAAATATCTTCCCATAAAAAATAGACAGAAAGCATTCTCAGAAACTTGTTGGTGATATGTGTCCTCAACTAACAGAGTTGAACTTTGCCATTGATAGAGAGCAGTTTTGAAACACTCTTTTTGTGGAATCTGCAAGTGGATATTTGGATAGCTTGGAGGATTTTGTTGGAAGCGGGAATTCAAATAAAAGGTAGACAGCAGCATTCTCAGAAATTTCTTTCTGATGTCTGCATTCAACTCATAGAGTTGAAGATTCCCTTTCATAGAGCAGGTTTGAAACACTCTTTCTGGAGTATCTGATTGTGGACATTTGGAGCGCTTTGATGCCTACGGTGAAAAAGTAAATATCTTCCCATAAAAACGAGACAGAAGGATTCTGAGAAACAAGTTTGTGATGTGTGTACTCAGCTAACAGAGTGGAACCTCTCTTTTGATGCAGCAGTTTGGAAACACTCTTTTTGTAGAAACTGTAAGTGGATATTTGGATAGCTCTAATGATTTCGTTGGAAACGGGAATATCATCATCTAAAATCTAGACAGAAGCCCTCTCAGAAACTACTTTGTGATATCTGCATTCAAGTCACAGAGTTGAACATTCGCTTTCTTAGAGCACGTTTGAAACACTCTTTTTGTAGTGTCTGGAAGTGGACATTTGGAGCGCTTTGATTCCTTTGGTGAAAAAGGGAATGTCTACCCATAAAAACTAGACAGAAGCATTCTCAGAAACTTGTTTGTGATGTGTGTACCCAGCCAAAGGAGTTGAACATTTCTATTGATAGAGCAGTTTTGAAACATTCTTTTTGTGGAAAATGCAAGTGGATATTTGGATAGCTTGGAGGATTTCGTTGGAAGCGGGAATTCAAATAAAAGGTAGACAGCAGCATTCTCAGAAATTTCTTTCTGATGTCTGCATTCAACTCATAGAGTTGAAGATTCCCTTTCATAGAGCAGGTTTGAAACACTGTTTCTGGAGTATCTGGATGTGGACATTTGGAGCGCTTTGATGCCTACGGTGAAAAAGTAAATGTCTTCCCATAAAAACGAGACAGAAAGGATTCTGAGAGACAAGTTTGTGATGTGTGTACTCAGCTAACAGAGTGGAACCTTTCTTTTTACAGAGCAGCTTTGAAACTCTATTTTTGTGGATTCTGCAAATGGATATTTAGATTGCTTTAACGATATCGTTGGAAAAGGGAATATCGTCATACAAAATCTGGACAGAAGCATTCTCACAAACTTCTTTGTGATGTGTGTCCTCAACTAACAGAGTTGAACCTTTCTTTTGATGCAGCAGTTTGGAAACACTCTTTTTGTAGAAACTGTAAGTGGATATTTGGATAGCTCTAACGATTTCGTTGGAAACGGGAATATCATCATCTAAAATCTAGACAGAAGCACTATTAGAAACTACTTGGTGATATCTGCATTCAAGTCACAGAGTTGAACATTCCCTTACTTTGAGCACGTTTCAAACACTCTTTTGGAAGAATCTGGAAGTGGACATTTGGAGCGCTTTGATGCCTTTGGTGAAAAGGAAACGTCTTCCAATAAAAGCCAGACAGAAGCATTCTCAGAAACTTGTTCGTGATGTGTGTACCTCAACTAAAAGAGTTGAACCTTTCTATTGATAGAGCAGTTTTGAAACACTCTTTTTGTGGATTCTGCAAGTGGATATTTGGATTGCTTTGAGGATTTCGTTGGAAGCGGGAATTCGTATAAACACTAGACAGCAGCATTCCCAGAAATTTCTTTCGGATATTTCCATTCAACTCATAGAGATGAACATGGCCTTTCATAGAGCAGGTTTGAAACACTCTTTTTGTAGTTTGTGGAAGTGGACATTTCGATCGCCTTGACGCCTACGGTGAAAAAGGAAATATCTTCCCATAAAAAATAGACAGAAGCATTCTCAGAAACTTGTTGGTGATATGTGTCCTCAACTAACAGAGTTGAACTTTGCCATTGATAGAGAGCAGTTTTGAAACACTCTTTTTGTGGAATGTGCAAGTGGATATTTGGATAGCTTGGAGGATTTCGTTGGAAGCGGGAATTCAAATTAAAGGTAGACAGCAGCATTCTCAGTAAATTTCTTTCTGATGTCTGCATTCAACTCATAGAGTTGAAGATTCCCTTTCATAGAGCAGGTTTGAAACACTCTTTCTGGAGTATCTGGATGTGGACATTTGGAGCGCTTTGATGCCTACGGTGAAAAAGTAAATATCTTCCCATAAAAACGAGACAGACGGATTCTCAGAAACAAGTTTGTGATGTGTGTACTCAGCTAACAGAGTGGAACCTCTCTTTTGATGCAGCAGTTTGGAAACACTCTTTTTGTAGAAACTGTAAGTGGATATTTGGATAGCTCTAATGATTTCGTTGGAAACGGGAATATCATCATCTAAAATCTAGACAGAAGCCCTCTCAGAAACTACTTTGTGATATCTGCATTCAAGTCACAGAGTTGAACATTCGCTTTCTTAGAGCACGTTTGAAACACTCTTTTTGTAGTGTCTGGAAGTGGACATTTGGAGCGCTTTGATGCCTTTGGTGAAAAAGGGAATGTCTTCCCATAAAAACTAGACAGAAGCATTCTCAGAAACTTGTTTGTGATGTGTGTACCCAGCCAAAGGAATTGAACATTTCTATTGATAGAGCAGTTTTGAAACACTCTTTTTGTGGAAAATGCAGGTGGATATTTGGATAGCTTGGAGGATTTCGTTGGAAGCGGGAATTCAAATAAAAGTTAGACAGCAGCATTCTCAGAAATTTCTTTCTGATGTCTGCATTCAACTCATAGAGTTGAAGATTCCCTTTCATAGAGCAGGTTTGAAACTGGATGTGGACATTTGGAGCGCTTTGATGCCTACGGTGAAAAAGTAAATATCTTCCCAGAAAAACGAGACAGAAGGATTCTGAGAAACAAGTTTGTGATGTGTGTACTCAGCTAACAGAGTGGAACCTTTCTTTTTACAGAGCAGCTTTGAAACTCTATTTTTGTGGATTCTGCAAATGGATATTTAGATTGCTTTAACGATATCGTTGGAAAAGGGAATATCGTCATACAAAATCTAGACAGAAGCATTCTCACAAACTTCCTTTGTGATGTGTGTCCTCAACTAACAGAGTTGAACCTTTCTTTTGATGCAGCAGTTTGGAAACACCCTTTTGGTAGAAACTGTAAGTGGATATTTGGATAGCTCTAACGATTTCGTTGGAAACGGGAATATCATCATCTAAAATCTAGACAGAAGCACTATTAGAAACTACTTGGTGATATCTGCATTCAAGTCACAGAATTGAACATTCCCTTATTTTGAGCACGTTTGAAACACTCTTTTGGAAGAATCTGGAAGTGGACATTTGGAGCGCTTTGATGCCTTTGGTGAAAAGGAAACGTCTTCCAATAAAAGCCAGACAGAAGCATTCTCAGAAACTTGTTCGTGATGTGTGTACTCAACTAAAAGATTTGAACCTTTCTATTGATAGAGCAGTTTTGAAACACTCTTTTTGTGGATTCTGCAAGTGGATATTTGGATTGCTTTGAGGATTTCGTTGGAAGCGGGAATTCGTATAAAAACTAGACAGCAGCATTCCCAGAAATTTCTTTCGGATATTTCCATTCAACTTATAGAGATGAACATCGCCTTTCATAGAGCAGGTTTGAAACACTCTTTTTGTAGTTTGTGGAAGTGGACATTTCGATCGCCTTGATGCCTACGGTGAAAAAGGAAATATCTTCCCATAAAAAATAGACAGAAGCATTCTCAGAAACTTGTTGGTGATATGTGTCCTCAACTAACAGAGTTGAACTTTGCCATTGATAGAGAGCAGTTTTGAAACACTCTTTTTGTGGAATCTGCAAGTGGATATTTGGATAGCTTGGAGGATTTCGTTGGAAGCGGGAATTCAAATAAAAGGTAGACAGCAGGATTCTCAGAAACAAGTTTGTGATGTGTGTACTCAGCTAACAGAGTGGAACCTTTCTTTTTACAGAGCAGCTTTGAAACTCTATTTTTGTGGATTCTGCAAATGGATATTTAGATTGCTTTAACGATATCGTTGGAAAAGGGAGTATCGTCATACAAAATCTGGACAGAAGCCCTCTCAGAAACTACTTTGTGATATCTGCATTCAACTCACAGAGTTGAACATTCGCTTTCTTAGAGCACGTTTGAAACACTCTTTTTGTAGTGTCTGGAAGTGGACATTTGGAGCGCTTTGATGCCTTTGGTGAAAAAGGGAACGTCTTCCCATAAAAACTAGACAGAAGCATTCTCAGAAACTTGTTTGTGATGTGTGTACCCAGCCAAAGGAGTTGAACATTTCTATTGATAGAGCAGTTTTGAAACACTCTTTTTGTTGAAAATGCAGGTGGATATTTGGATAGCTTGGAGGATTTCGTTGGAAGCGGGAACTCAAATAAAAGGTAGACAGCAGGATTCTCAGAAACAAGTTTGTGATGTGTGTACTCAGCTAACAGCAGTGGAACCTTTCTTTTTACAGAGCAGCTTTGAAACTCTATTTTTGTGGATTCTGCAAATTGATATTTAGATTGCTTTAACGATATCGTTGGAAAAGGGAATATCGTCATACAAAATCTAGACAGAAGCATTATCACAAACTTCTTTGTGATGTGTGTCCTCAACTAACAGAGTTGAACCTTTCTTTTGATGCAGCAGTTTGGAAACACTCTTTTTGTAGAAACTGTAAGTGGATATTTGGATAGCTCTAACGATTTCGTTGGAAACGGGAATATCATCATCTAAAATCTAGACAGAAGCACTATTAGAAACTACTTGGTGATATCTGCATTCAAGTCACAGAGTTGAACATTCCCTTACTTTGAGCACGTTTCAAACACTCTTTTGGAAGAATCTGGAAGTGGACATTTGGAGCGCTTTGATGCCTTTGGTGAAAAGGAAACGTCTTCCAATAAAAGCCAGACAGAAGCATTCTCAGAAACTTGTTCGTGATGTGTGTACTCAACTAAAAGAGTTGAACCTTTCTATTGATAGAGCAGTTTTGAAACACTCTTTTTGTGGATTCTGCAAGTGGATATTTGGATTGCTTTGAGGATTTCGTTGGAAGTGGGAATTCGTATAAACACTAGACAGCAGCATTCCCAGAAATTTCTTTCGGATATTTCCATTCAACTCATAGAGATGAACATCGCCTTTCATAGAGCAGGTTTGAAACACTCTTTTTGTAGTTTGTGGAAGTGGACATTTCGATCGCCTTGACGCCTACGGTGAAAAAGGAAATATCTTCTCATAAAAAATAGACAGAAGCATTCTCAGAAACTTGTTGGTGATATGTGTCCTCAACTAACAGAGTTGAACTTTGCCATTGATAGAGAGCAGTTTTGAAACACTCTTTTTGTGGAATCTGCAAGTGGATATTTGGATAGCTTGGAGGATTTCGTTGGAAGCGGGAATTCAAATAAAAGGTAGACAGCAGCATTCTCAGAAATTTCTTTCTGATGTCTGCATTCAACTCATAGAGTTGAAGATTCCCTTTCATAGAGCAGGTTTGAAACACTCTTTCTGTAGTATCTGGATGTGGACATTTGGAGCGCTTTGATGCCTACGGTGAAAAAGTATAATCTTCCCATAAAAACGAGACAGAAGGATTCTGAGAAACAAGTTTGTGATGTGTGTACTCAGCTAACAGAGTGGAACGTCTCTTTTGATGCAGCAGTTTGGAAACACTCTTTTTGTAGAAACTGTAAGTGGATATTTGGATAGCTCTAATGATTTCGTTGGAAACGGGAATATCATCATCTAAAATCTAGACAGAAGCCCTCTCAGAAACTACTTTGTGATATCTGCATTCAAGTCACAGAGTTGAACATTCGCTTTCTTAGAGCACGTTGGAAACACTCTTTTTGTAGTGTCTTGAAGTGGACATTTGGAGCGCTTTGATGCCTTTGGTGAAAAAGGGAACGTCTTCCCATAAAAACTAGACAGAAGCATTCTCAGAAACTTGTTTGTGATGTGTGTACCCAGCCAAAGGAGTTGAACATTTCTATTGATAGAGCAGTTTTGAAACACTCTTTTTGTGGAAAATGCAAGTGGATATTTGGATAGCTTGGAGGATTTCGTTGGAAGCGGGAATTCAAATAAAAGGTAGACAGCAAGCATTCTCAGAAATTTCCTTCTGATGTCTGCATTCAACTCATAGAGTTGAAGATTCCCTTTCATAGAGCAGGTTTGAAACACTCTTTCTGGAGTATCTGGATGTGGACATTTGGAGCGCTTTGATGCCTGCGGTGAAAAAGTAAATATCTTCCCATAAAAACGAGACAGAAGGATTCTCAGAAACAAGTTTGTGATGTGTGTACTCAGCTAACAGAGTGGAACCTTTCTTTTTACAGAGCAGCTTTGAAACTCTATTTTTGTGGATTCTGCAAATTGATATTTAGATTGCTTTAACGATATCGTTGGAAAAGGGAATATCGTCATACAAAATCTAGACAGAAGCATTCTCACAAACTTCTTTGTGATGTGTGTCCTCAACTAACAGAGTTGAACCTTTCTTTTGATGCAGCAATTTGGAAACACCCTTTTGGTAGAAACTGTAACTGGATATTTGGATAGCTCTAACGATTTCTTTGGAAACGGGAATATCATCATCTAAAATGAGACAGAATCACTATTAGAAACTACTTGGTGATATCTGCATTCAAGTCACAGAGTTGAACATTCCCTTACTTTGAGCACGTTTCAAACACTCTTTTGGAAGAATCTGGAAGTGGACATTTGGAGCGCTTTGATGCCTTTGGTGAAAAGGAAACGTCTTCCAATAAAAGCCAGACAGAAGCATTCTCAGAAACTTGTTTGTGATGTGTGTACTCAACTAAAAGAGTTGAACCTTTCTATTGATAGAGCAGTTTTGAAACACTCTTTTTGTGGATTCTGCAAGTGGATATTTGGATTGCTTTGAGGATTTCGTTGGAAGCGGGAATTCGTATAAAAACTAGACAGCAGCATTCCCAGAAATTTCTTTCGGATATATCCATTCAACTCATAGAGATGAACATGGCCTTTCATAGAGCAGGTTTGAAACACTCTTTTTGTAGTTTGTGAAAGTGGACATTTCGATCGCCTTGACGCCTACGGTGAAAAAGGGAATATCTTCCCTTAAAAAATAGACAGAAGCATTCTCAGAAACTTGTTGGTGATATGTGTCCTCAACTAACAGAGTTGAACTTTGCCATTGATAGAGAGCAGTTTTGAAACACTCTTTTTGTGGAATCTGCAAGTGGATATTTGGATAGCTTGGAGGATTTCGTTGGAAGCGGGAATTCAAATAAAAGGTAGACAGCAGCATTCTCAGAAATTTCTTTCTGATGTCTGCATTCAACTCATAGAGTTGAAGATTCCCTTTCATAGAGCAGGTTTGAAACACTCTTTCTGTAGTATCTGGATGTGGACATTTGGAGCGCTTTGATGCCTACGGTGAAAAAGTAAATATCTTCCCATAAAAACGAGACAGAAGGATTCTGAGAAACAAGTTTGTGATGTGTGTACTCAGCTAACAGAGTGGAACCTCTCTTTTGATGCAGCAGTTTGGAAACACTCTTTTTGTAGAAACTGTAAGTGGATATTTGGATAGCTCTAATGATTTCGTTGGAAACGGGAATATCATCATCTAAAATCTAGACAGAAGCACTCTCAGAAACTACTGTGTGATATCTGCATTCAAGTCACAGAGTTGAACATTCGCTTTCTTAGAGCACGTTTGAAACACTCTTTTTGTAGTGGCTGGAAGTGGACATTTGGAGCGCTTTGATTCCTTTGGTGAAAAAGGGAATGTCTACCCATAAAAACTAGACAGAAGCATTCTCAGAAACTTGTTTGTGATGTGTGTACCCAGCCAAAGGAGTTGAACATTTCTATTGATAGAGCAGTTTTGAAACGCTCTTTTTGTGGAAAATGCAGGTGGATATTTGGATAGCTTGGAGGATTTCGTTGGAAGCGGGAATTCAAATAAAAGGTAGACAGCAGGATTCTCAGAAACAAGTTTGTGATGTGTGTACTCAGCTAACAGAGTGGAACCTTTCTTTTTACAGAGCAGCTTTGAAACTCTATTTTTGTGGATTCTGCAAATTGATATTTAGATTGCTTTAACGATATCGTTGGAAAAGGGAATATCGTCATACAAAATCTAGACAGAAGCATTCTCACAAACTTCTTTGTGATGTGTGTCCTCAACTAACAGAGTTGAACCTTTCTTTTGATGCAGCAATTTGGAAACACCCTTTTGGTAGAAACTGTAACTGGATATTTGGATACCTCTAACGATTTCGTTGGAAACGGGAATATCATCATCTAAAATGTAGACAGAAGCACTATTAGAAACTACTTGGTGATATCTGCATTCAAGTCACAGAGTTGAACATTCCCTTACTTTGAGCACGTTTGAAACACTCTTTTGGAAGAATCTGGAAGTGGACATTTGGAGCGCTTTGATGCCTTTGGTGAAAAGGAAACGTCTTCCAATAAAAGCCAGACAGAAGCATTCTCAGAAACTTGTTCGTGATGTGTGTACTCATCTAAAAGAGTTGAACCTTTCTATTGATAGAGCAGTTTTGAAACACTCTTTTTGTGGATTCTGCAAGTGGATATTTGGATTGCTTTGAGGATTTCGTTGGAAGCGGGAATTCGTATAAACACTAGACAGCAGCATTCCCAGAAATTTCTTTCGGATATTTCCATTCAACTCATAGAGGTGAACATGGCCTTTCATAGAGCAGGTTTGAAACACTCTTTTTGTAGTTTGTGGAAGTGGACATTTCGATCGCCTTGACGCCTACGGTGAAAAAGGAAATATCTTCCCATAAAAAATAGACAGAAGCATTCTCAGAAACTTGTTGGTGATATGTGTCCTCAACTAACAGAGTTGAACTTTGCCATTGATAGAGAGCAGTTTTGAAACACTCTTTTTGTGGAATCTGCAAGTGGATATTTGGATAGCTTGGAGGATTTCGTTGGAAGCGGGAATTCAAATAAAAGGTAGACAGCCGGATTCTGAGAAACAAGTTTGTGATGTGTGTACTCAGCTAACAGAGTGGAACCTCTCTTTTGATGCAGCAGTTTGGAAACACTCTTTTTGTAGAAACTGTAAGTGGATATTTGGATAGCTCTAATGATTTCGTTGGAAACGGGAATATCATCATCTAAAATCTAGACAGAAGCCCTCTCAGAAACTACTTTGTGATATCTGCATTCAAGTCACAGAGTTGAACATTCGCTTTCTTAGAGCACGTTGGAAACACTCTTTTTGTAGTGTCTGGAAGTGGACATTTGGAGCGCTTTGATGACTTTGGTGAAAAAGGGAACGTCTTCCCATAAAAACTAGACAGAAGCATTCTCAGAAACTTGTTTGTGATGTGTGTACCCAGCCAAAGGAGTTGAACATTTCTATTGATAGAGCAGTTTTGAAACACTCTTGTTGTGGAAAATGCAGGTGGATATTTGGATAGCTTGGAGGATTTCGTTGGAAGCGGGAATTCAAATAAAAGGTAGACAGCAGCATTCTCAGAAATTTCTTTCTGATGTCTGCATTCAACTCATAGAGTTGAAGATTCCCTTTCATAGAGCAGGTTTGAAACACTCGTTCTGGAGTATCTGGATGTGGACATTTGGAGCGCTTTGATGCCTACGGTGGAAAAGTAAATATCTTCCCATAAAAACGAGACAGAAGGATTCTCAGAAACAAGTTTGTGATGTGTGTACTCAGCTAACAGAGTGGAACCTTTCTTTTTACAGAGCAGCTTTGAAACTCTATTTTTGTGGATTCTGGAAATTGATATTTAGATTGCTTTAACGATATCGTTGGAAAAGGGAATATCGTCATACAAAATGCTGGACAGAAGCATTCTCACAAACTTCTTTGTGATGTGTGTCCTCAACTAACAGAGTTAAACCTTTCTTTTGATGCAGCAATTTGGAAACACCCTTTTGGTAGAAACTGTAACTGGATATTTGGATAGCTCTAACGATTTCGTTGGAAACGGGAATATCATCATCTAAAATCTAGACAGAAGCACTATTAGAAACTACTTGGTGATATCTGCATTCAAGTCACAGAGTTGAACATTCCCTTACTTTGAGCACGTTTGAAACACTCTTTTGGAAGAATCTGGAAGTGGACATTTGGAGCGCTTTGATGCCTTTGGTGAAAAGGAAACGTCTTCCAATGAAAGCCAGACAGAAGCATTCTCAGAAACTTGTTCGTGATGTGTGTACTCAACTAAAAGAGTTGAACCTTTCTATTGATAGCGCAGTTTTGAAACACTCTTTTTGTGGATTCTGCAAGTGGATATTTGGATTGCTTTGAGGATTTCGTTGGAAGCGGGAATTCATATAAAAACTAGACAGCAGCATTCCCAGAAATTTCTTTCGGATATTTCCATTCAACTCATAGAGATGAACATGGCCTTTCATAGAGCAGGTTTGAAACACTCTTTTTGTAGTTTCTGGAAGTGGACATTTCGATCGCCTTGACGCCTACGCTGAAAAAGGAAATATCTTCCCATAAAAAATAGACAGAAGCATTCTCAGAAACTTGTTGGAGATATGTGTCCTCAACTGACAGAGTTGAACTTTGCCATTGATAGAGAGCAGTTTTGAAACACTCTTTCTGTGGAATCTGCAAGTGGATATTTGGATAGCTTGGAGGATTTCGTTGGAAACGGGAATTCAAATAAAAGATAGACAGCAGCATTCTCAGAAATTTCTTTCTGATGTCTGCATTCAACTCATAGAGTTGAAGATTCCCTTTCATAGAGCAGGTTTGAAATACTCTTTCTGTAGTATCTGGATGTGGACATTTGGAGCGCTTTGATGCCTACGGTGAAAAAGTAAATATCTTCCCATAAAAACGAGACAGAAGGATTCTGAGAAACAAGTTTGTGATGTGTGTACTCAGCTAACAGAGTGGAACCTCTCTTTTGATGCAGCAGTTTGGAAACACTCTTTTTGTAGAAACTGTAAGTGGATATTTGGATAGCTCTAATGATTTCTTTGGAAACGGGAATATCATCATCTAAAATCTAGACAGAAGCCCTCTCAGAAACTACTTTGTGATATCTGCATTCAAGTCACAGCAGTTGAACATTCGCTTTCTTAGAGCACGTTGGAAACACTCTTTTTGTAGTGTCTGGAAGTGGACATTTGGAGCGCTTTGATGCCTTTGGTGAAAAAGGGAATGTCTTCCCATAAAAACTAGACAGAAAGCATTCTCAGCAAACTTGTTTGTGATGTGTGTACCCAGCCAAAGGAGTTGAACATTTCTATTGATAGAGCAGTTTTGAAACACTCTTTTTGTGGAAAATGCAGGTGGATATTTGGATAGCTTGGAGGATTTCGTTGGAAGCGGGAATTCAAATAAAAGGTAGACAGCAGGATTCTCAGAAACAAGTTTGTGATGTGTGTACTCAGCTAACAGAGTGGAACCTTTCTTTTTACAGAGCAGCTTTGAAACTCTATTTTTGTGGATTCTGCAAATTGATATTTAGATTGCTTTAACGATATCGTTGGAAAAGGGAATATGGTCATACAAAATCTAGACAGAAGCATTCTCACAAACTTCTTTGTGATGTGTGTCCTCAAATAACACAGTTGAACCTTTCTTTTGATGCAGCAGTTTGGAAACACCCTTTTGGTAGAAACTGTAAGTGGATATTTGGATAGATCTAACGATTTCGTTGGAAACGGGAATATCATCATCTAAAATCTAGACAGAAGCACTATTAGAAACTACTTGGTGATATCTGCATTCAAGTCACAGAGTTGAACATTCCCTTACTTTGAGCACGTTTCAAACACTCTTTTGGAAGAATCTGGAAGTGGACATTTGGAGCGCTTTGATGCCTTTGGTGAAAAGGAAACGTCTTCCAATAAAAGCCAGACAGAAGCATTCTCAGAAACTTGTTCGTGATGTGTGTACTCAACTAAAAGAGTTGAACCTTTCTATTGATAGAGCAGTTTTGAAACACTCTTTTTGTGGATTCTGCAAGTGGATATTTGGATTGCTTTGAGGATTTCGTTGGAAGCAGGAATTCGTATAAACACTAGACAGCAGCATTCCCAGAAATTTCTTTCGGATATTTCCATTCAACTCATAGAGATGAACATGGCCTTTCATAGAGCAGGTTTGAAACACTCTTTTTGTAGTTTGTGGAAGTGGACATTTCGATCGCCTTGACGCCTACGCTGAAAAAGGAAATATCTTCCCATAAAAAATAGACAGAAGCATTCTCAGAAACTTGTTGGTGATATGTGTCCTCAACTAACAGAGTTGAACTTTGCCATTGATAGAGAGCAGTTTTGAAACACTCTTTTTGTGGAATCTGCAAGTGGATATTTGGATAGCTTGGAGGATTTCGTTGGAAGCGGGAATTCAAATAAAAGGTAGACAGCAGCATTCTCAGAAATTTCTTTCTGATGTCTGCATTCAACTCATAGAGTTGAAGATTCCCTTTCATAGCAGCAGGTTTGAAACACTCTTTCTGGAGTATCTGGATGTGGACATTTGGAGCGCTTTGATGCCTACGGTGAAAAAGTAAATATCTTCCCATAAAAACGACACAGAAGGATTCTCAGAAACAAGTTTGTGATGTGTGTACTCAGCTAACAGAGTGGAACCTCTCTTCTGATGCAGCAGTTTGGAAACACTCTTTTTGTAGAAACTGTAAGTGGATATTTGGATAGCTCTAATGATTTCGTTGGAAACGGGAATATCATCATCTAAAATCTAGACAGAAGCCCTCTCAGAAACTACTTTGTGATATCTGCATTCAAGTCACAGAGTTGAACATTCGCTTTCTTAGAGCACGTTTGAAACACTCTTTTTGTAGTGTCTGGAAGTGGACATTTGGCGCGCTTTGATGCCTTTGGTGAAAAAGGGAATGTCTTCCCATAAAAACTAGACAGAAGCATTCTCAGAAACTTGTTTGTGATGTGTGTACCCAGCCAAAGGAGTTGAACATTTCTATTGATAGAGCAGTTTTGAAACGCTCTTTTTGTGGAAAATGCAGGTGGATATTTGGATAGCTTGGAGGATTTCGTTGGAAGCGGGAGTTCAAATAAAAGGTAGACAGCAGCATTCTCAGAAATTTCTTTCTGATGTCTGCATTCAACTCATAGAGTTGAAGATTCCCTTTCATAGAGCAGGTTTGAAACACTCTTTCTGGAGTATCTGGATGTGGACATTTGGAGCGCTTTGATGCCTACGGTGAAAAAGTAAATATCTTCCCATAAAAACGAGACAGAAGGATTCTGAGAAACAAGTTTGTGATGTGTGTACTCAGCTAACAGAGTGGAACCTTTCTTTTTACAGAGCAGCTTTGAAACTCTATTTTTGTGGATTCTGCAAATTGATATTTAGATTGCTTTAACGATATCGTTGGACAAGGGAATATGGTCATACAAAATCTAGACAGAAGCATTCTCACAAACTTCTTTGTGATGTGTGTCCTCAACTAACAGAGTTGAACCTTTCTTTTGATGCAGCAATTTGGAAACACCCTTTTGGTAGAAACTGTAACTGGATATTTGGATAGCTCTAACGATTTCGTTGGAAACGGGAATATCATCATCAAAATGTAGACAGAAGCACTATTAGAAACTACTTGGTGATATCTGCATTCAAGTCACAGAGTTGAACATTCCCTTACTTTGAGCACGTTTGAAACACTCTTTTGGAAGAATCTGGAAGTGGACATTTGGAGTGCTTTGATGCCTTTGGTGAAAAGGAAACGTCTTCCAATAAAAGCCAGACAGAAGCATTCTCAGAAACTTGTTTGTGATGTGTGTACTCAACTAAAAGAGTTGAACCTTTCTATTGATAGAGCAGTTTTGAAACACTCTTTTTGTGGATTCTGCAAGTGGATATTTGGATTGCTTTGAGGATTTCGTTGGAAGCGGGAATTCGTATAAAAACTAGACAGCAGCATTCCCAGAAATTTCTTTCGGGTATTTCCATTCGACTCATAGAGATGAACATGGCCTTTCATAGAGCAGGTTTGAAACACTCTTTTTGTAGTTTGTGGAAGTGGACATTTCGATCGCCTTGACGCCTACGGTGAAAAAGGAAATATCTTCCCATAAAAAATAGACAGAAGCATTCTCAGAAACTTGTTGGTGATATGTGTCCTCAACTAACAGAGTTGAACTTTGCCATTGATAGAGAGCAGTTTTGAAACACTCTTTTTGTGGAATCTGCAAGTGGATATTTGGATAGCTTGGAGGATTTCGTTGGAAGCGGGAATTCAAATAAAAGGTAGACAGCAGCATTCTCAGAAATTTCTTTCTGATGTCTGCATTCAACTCATAGAGTTGAAGATTCCATTTCATAGAGCAGGTTTGAAACACTCTTTCTGGAGTATCTGGATGTGGACATTTGGAGCGCTTTGATGCCTACGGTGAAAAAGTAAATATCTTCCCATAAAAACGAGACAGAAGGATTCTGAGAAACAAGTTTGTGATGTGTGTACTCAGCTAACAGAGTGGAACCTCTCTTTTGATGCAGCAGTTTGGAAACACTCTTTTTGTAGAAACTGTAAGTGGATATTTGGATAGCTCTAATGATTTCGTTGGAAACGGGAATATCATCATCTAAAATCTAGACAGAAGCACTCTCAGAAACTACTTTGTGATATCTGCATTCAAGTCACAGAGTTGAACATTCGCTTTCTTAGAGCACGTTTGAAACACTCTTTTTGTAGTGTCTGGAAGTGGACATTTGGAGCGCTTTGATTCCTTTGGTGAAAAAGGGAATGTCCACCCATAAAAACTAGACAGAAGCATTCTCAGAAACTTGTTTGTGATGTGTGTACCCAGCCAAAGGAGTTGAACATTTCTATTGATAGAGCAGTTTTGAAACACTCTTTTTGTGGAAAATGCAGGTGGATATTTGGATAGCTTTGAGGATTTCGTTGGAAGCGGGAATTCAAATAAAAGGTAGACAGCAGCATTCTCAGAAATTTCTTTCTGATGTCTGCATTCAACTCATAGAGTTGAAGATTCCCTTTCATAGAGCAGGTTTGAAACACTCGTTCTGGAGTATCTGGATGTGGACATTTGGAGCGCTTTGATGCCTACGGTGGAAAAGTAAATATCTTCCCATAAAAACGAGACAGAAGGATTCTCAGAAACAAGTTTGTGATGTGTGTACTCAGCTAACAGAGTGGAACCTTTCTTTTTACAGAGCAGCTTTGAAACTCTATTTTTGTGGATTCTGCAAATTGATATTTAGATTGCTTTAACGATATCGTTGGAAAAGGGAATATCGTCATACAAAATGTAGACAGAAGCATTCTCACAAACTTCTTTGTGATGTGTGTCCTCAACTAACAGAGTTGAACCTTTCTTTTGATGCAGCAATTTGGAAACACCCTTTTGGTAGAAACTGTAACTGGATATTTGGATAGCTCTAGCGATTTCGTTGGAAACGGGAATATCATCATCTAAAATGTAGACAGAAGCACTATTAGAAACTACTTGGTGATATCTGCATTCAAGTCACAGAGTAGAACATTCCCTTACTTCGAGCACGTTTGAAACACTCTTTTGGAAGAATCTGGAAGTGGACATTTGGAGCGCTTTGATGCCTTTGGTGAAAAGGAAACGTCTTCCAATAAAAGCCAGACAGAAGCATTCTCAGAAACTTGTTTGTGATGTGTGTACTCAACTAAAAGAGTTGAACCTTTCTATTGATAGAGCAGTTTTGAAACACTCTTTTTGTGGATTCTGCAAGTGGATATTTGGATTGCTTTGAGGATTTCGTTGGAAGCGGGAATTCGTATAAAAACTAGACAGCAGCATTCCCAGAAATTTCTTTCGGATATTTCCATTCAACTCATAGAGATGAACATGGCCTTTCATATTGAAACACGCTTTTTGTAGTTTGTGGAAGTGGACATTTCGATCGCCTTGACGCCTACGGTGAAAAAGGAAATATCTTCCCATAAAAAATAGACAGAAGCATTCTCAGAAACTTGTTGGTGATATGTGTCCTCAACTAACAGAGTTGAACTTTGCCATTGATAGAGAGCAGTTTTGAAACACTCTTTTTGTGGAATCTGCAAGTGGATATCTGGATAGCTTGGAGGATTTCGTTGGAAGCGGGAATTCAAATAAAAGGTAGACAGCAGGATTCTGAGAAACAAGTTTGTGATGTGTGTACTCAGCTAACAGAGTGGAACCTCTCTTTTGATGCAGCAGTTTGGAAACACTCTTTTTGTAGAAACTGTAAGTGGATATTTGGATAGCTCTAATGATTTCGTTGGAAACGGGAATATCATCATCTAAAATCTGGACAGAAGCCCTCTCAGAAACTACTTTGTGATATCTGCTTTCAAGTCACAGAGTTGAACATTCGCTTTCTTAGAGCACGTTGGAAACACTCTTTTTGTAGTGTCTGGAAGTGGACATTTGGAGCGCTTTGATGCCTTTGGTGAAAAAGGGAATGTCTTCCCATAAAAACTAGACAGAAGCATTCTCAGAAACTTGTTTGTGATGTGTGTACCCAGCCAAAGGAGTTGAACATTTCTATTGATAGAGCAGTTTTGAAACGCTCTTTTTGTGGAAAATGCAGGTGGATATTTGGATAGCTTGGAGGATTTCGTTGGAAGCGGGAATTCAAATAAAAGGTAGACAGCAGCATTCTCAGAAATTTCTTTCTGATGTCTGCATTCAACTCATAGAGTTGAAGATTCCCTTTCATAGAGCAGGTTTGAAACACTCGTTCTGGAGTATCCGGATGTGGACATTTGGAGCGCTTTGATGCCTACGGTGGAAAAGTAAATATCTTCCCATAAAAACGAGACAGAAGGATTCTGAGAAACAAGTTTGTGATGTGTGTACTCAGCTAACAGAGTGGAACCTTTCTTTTTACAGAGCAGCTTTGAAACTCTATTTTTGTGGATTCTGCAAATGGATATTTAGATTGCTTTAACGATATCGTTGGAAAAGGGAATATCGTCATACAAAATCTAGACAGAAGCATTCTCACAAACTTCTTTGTGATGTGTGTCCTCAACTAACAGAGTTGAACCTTTCTTTTGATGCAACAATTTGGAAACACCCTTTTGGTAGAAACTGTAACTGGATATTTGGATAGCTCAAACGATTTCGTTGGAAACGGGAATATCATCATCTAAAACCTAGACAGAAGCACTATTAGAAACTACTTGGTGATATCTGCATTCAAGTCACAGAGTTGAACATTCCCTTACTTTGAGCACGTTTGAAACACTCTTTTGGAAGAATCTGGAAGTGGACATTTGGAGCGCTTTGATGCCTTTGGTGAAAAGGAAACGTCTTCCAATAAAAGCCAGAGAGAAGCATTCTCAGAAACTTGTTCGTGATGTGTGTACTCAACTAAAAGAGTTGAACCTTTCTATTGATAGAGCAGTTTTGAAACACTCTTTTTGTGGATTCTGCAAGTGGATATTTGGATTGCTTTGAGGATTTCGTTGGAAGCGGGAATTCGTATAAACACTAGACAGCAGCATTCCCAGAAATTTCTTTCGGATATTTCCATTCAACTCATAGAGATGAACATGGCCTTTCATATTGAAACACTCTTTTTGTAGTTTGTGGAAGTGGACATTTCGATCGCCTTGACGCCTGCGGTGAAAAAGGAAATATCTTCCCATAAAAAATAGACAGAAGCATTCTCAGAAACTTGTTGGTGATATGTGCCCTCAACTAACAGAGTTGAACTTTGCCATTGATAGAGAGCAGTTTTGAAACACTCTTTTTGTGGAATCTGCAAGTGGATATTTTGATAGCTTGGAGGATTTCGTTGGAAGCGGGAATTCAAATAAAAGGTAGACAGCAGCATTCTCAGAAATTTCTTTCTGATGTCTGCATTCAACTCATAGAGTTGAACATTCCCTTTCATAGAGCAGGTTTGAAACACTCTTTCTGGAGTATCTGGATGTGGACATTTGGAGCGCTTTGATGCCTACGGTGAAAAAGTAAATATCTTCCCATAAAAACGAGACAGAAGGATTCTGAGAAACAAGTTTGTGATGTGTGTACTCAGCTAACAGAGTGGAACCTCTCTTTTGATGCAGCAGTTTGGAAACACTCTTTTTGTAGAAACTGTAAGTGGATATTTGGATAGCTCTAATGATTTCGTTGGAAACGGGAATATCATCATCTAAAATGCTAGACAGAAGCCCTCTCAGAAACTACTTTGTGATATCTGCATTCAAGTCACAGAGTTGAACATTCGCTTTCTTAGAGCACGTTGGAAACACTCTTTTTGTAGTGTCCGGAAGTGGACATTTGGAGCGCTTTGATGCCTTTGGTGAAAAAGGGAATGTCTTCCCATAAAAACTAGACAGAAGCATTCTCAGAAACTTGTTTGTGATGTGTGTACCCAGCTAAAGGAGTTGAACATTTCCATTGATAGAGCAGTTTTGAAACACTCTTTTTGTGGAAAATGCAAGTGGATATTTGGATAGCTTGGAGGATTTCGTTGGAAGCGGGAATTCAAATAAAAGGTAGACAGGAGGATTCTGAGAAACAAGTTTGTGATGTGTGTACTCAGCTAACAGAGTGGAACCTTTCTTTTTACAGAGCAGCTTTGAAACTCTAATTTTGTGGATTCTGCAAATGGATATTTAGATTGCTTTAATGATATCGCTGGAAAAGGGAATATGGTCATACAAAATCTAGACAGAAGCATTCTCACAAACTTCTTTGTGACGTGTGTCCTCAACTAACAGAGTTGAACCTTTCTTTTGATGCAGCAGTTTGGAAACACTGTTTTTGTAGCAACTGTAAGTGGATATTTGGATAGCTCTAACGATTTCGTTGGAAACGGGAATATCATCATGCTAAAATCTAGACAGAAGCATTCTCAGAAATTTCTTTCTGATGTCTGCATTCAACTCATAGAGTTGAACATTCCCTTACTTTGAGCACGTTTGAAACACTCTTTTGGAAGAATCTGGAAGTGGACATTTGGAGCGCTTTGATGCCTTTGGTGAAAAGGAAACGTCTTCCAATAAAAGCCAGACAGAAGCATTCTCAGAAACTTGTTCGTGATGTGTGTACTCAACTAAAAGAGTTGAACCTTTCTATTGATAGAGCAGTTTTGAAACACTCTTTTTGTGGATTCTGCAAGTGGATATTTGGATTGTTTTGAGGATTTCGTTGGAAGCGGGAATTCGTATAAACACTAGACAGCAGCATTCCCAGAAATTTCTTTCGGATATTTCCATTCAACTCATAGAGATGAACATGGCCTTTCATAGAGCAGGTTTGAAACACTCTTTTTGTAGTTTGTGGAAGTGGACATTTCGATCGCCTTGACGCCTACGGTGAAAAAGGAAATATCTTCCCATAAAAAATAGACAGAAGCATTCTCAGAAACTTGTTGGTGATATGTGTCCTGAACTAACAGAGTTGAACTTTGCCATTGATAGAGAGCAGTTTTGAAACACTCTTTGTGTGGAATCTGCAAGTGGATATTTGGATAGTTTGGAGGATTTCGTTGGAAGCGGGAATTCAAATAAAAGGTAGACAGCAGCATTCTCAGTAAATTTCTTTCTGATGTCTGCATTCAACTCATAGAGTTGAAGATTCCCTTTCATAGAGCAGGTTTGAAACACTCTTTCTGGAGTATCTGGATGTGGACATTTGGAGCGCTTTGATGCCTACGGTGAAAAAGTAAATATCTTGCCATAAAAACGACACAGAAGGATTCTGAGAAACAAGTTTGTGATGTGTGAACTCAGCTAACAGAGTGGAACCTCTCTTTTGATGCAGCAGTTTGGAAACACTCTTTTTGTAGAAACTGTAAGTGGATATTTGGATAGCTCTAATGATTTCGTTGGAAACGGGAATATCATCATCTAAAATCTAGACAGAAGCCCTCTCAGAAACTACTTTGTGATATCTGCATTCAAGTCAGAGAGTTGAACATTGGGTTTCTTAGAGCACGTTTGAAACACTCTTTTTGTAGTGTCTGGAAGTGGACATTTGGAGCGCTTTGATGCCTTTGGTGAAAAAGGGAATGTCTTCCCATAAAAACTAGACAGAAGCATTCTCAGAAACTTGTTTGTGATGTGTGTACCCAGCCAAAGGAGTTGAACATTTCTATTGATAGAGCAGTTTTGAAACACTCTTGTTGTGGAAAATGCAGGTGGATATTTGGATAGCTTGGAGGATTTCGTTGGAAGCGGGAATTCAAATAAAAGGTAGACAGCAGCATTCTCAGAAATTTCTTTCTGATGTCTGCATTCAACTCATAGAGTTGAAGATTCCCTTTCATAGAGCAGGTTTGAAACACTCGTTCTGGAGTATCTGGATGTGGACATTTGGAGCGCTTTGATGCCTACGGTGGAAAAGTAAATATCTTCCCATAAAAACGAGACAGAGGATTCTCAGAAACAAGTTTGTGATGTGTGTACTCAGCTAACAGAGTGGAACCTTTCTTTTTACAGAGCAGCTTTGAAACTCTATTTTTGTGGATTCTGCAAATGGATATTTAGATTGCTTTAATGATATCGCTGGAAAAGGGAATATGGTCATACAAAATACTAGACAGAAGCATTCTCACAAACTTCTTTGTGACGTGTGACCTCAACTAACAGAGTTGAACCTTTCTTTTGATGCAGCAGTTTGGAAACACTGTTTTTGTAGCAACTGTAAGTGGATATTTGGATAGCTCTAACGATTTCGTTGGAAACGGGAATATCATCATCTAAAATCTAGACAGAAGCACTATTAGAAACTACTTGGTGATATCTGCATTCAAGTCACAGAGTAGAACATTCCCTTACTTCGAGCACGTTTGAAACACTCTTTTGGAAGAATCTGGAAGTGGACATTTGGAGCGCTTTGATGCCTTTGGTGAAAAGGAAACGTCTTCCAATAAAAGCCAGACAGAAGCATTCTCAGAAACTTGTTTGTGATGTGTGTACTCAACTAAAAGAGTTGAACCTTTCTATTGATAGAGCAGTTTTGAAACACTCTTTTTGTGGATTCTGCAAGTGGATATTTGGATTGCTTTGAGGATTTCGTTGGAAGCTGGGAATTCGTATAAAAACTAGACAGCAGCATTCCCAGAAATTTCTTTCGGATATTTCCATTCAACTCATAGAGATGAACATGGCCTTTCATAGAGCAGGTGTGAAACACTCTTTTTGTAGTTTGTGGAAGTGGACATTTCGATCGCCTTGACGCCTACGGTGAAAAAGGAAATATCTTCCCATAAAAAATAGACAGAAGCATTCTCAGAAACTTGTTGGTGATATGTGTCCTCAACTAACAGAGTTGAACTTTGCCATTGATAGAGAGCAGTTTTGAAACACTCTTTTTGTGGAATCTGCAAGTGGATATTTGGATAGCTTGGAGGATTTCGTTGGAAGCGGGAATTCAAATTAAAGGTAGACAGCAGGATTCTCAGAAACAAGTTTGTGATGTGTGTACTCAGCTAACAGAGTGGAACCTCTCTTTTGATGCAGTAGTTTGGAAACACACTTTTTGTAGAAACTGTAAGTGGATATTTGGATAGCTCTAATGATTTCGTTGGAAACGGGAATATCATCATCTAAAATCTAGACAGAAGCCCTCTCAGAAACTACTTTGTGATATCTGCATTCAAGTCACAGAGTTGAACATTCGCTTTCTTAGAGCACGTTTGAAACACTCTTTTTGTAGTGTCTGGAAGTGGACATTTGGAGCGCTTTGATGCCTTTGGTGAAAAAGGGAACGTCTTCCCATAAAAACTAGACAGAAGTATTCTCAGAAACTTGTTTGTGATGTGTGTACCCAGCCAAAGGAGTTGAACATTTCTATTGATAGAGCAGTTTTGAAACACTCTTTTTGTGGAAAATGCAGGTGGATATTTGGATAGCTTGGAGGATTTCGTTGGAAGCGGGAATTCAAATAAAAGGTAGACAGCAGCATTCTCAGAAATTTCTTTCTGATGTCTGCATTCAACTCATAGAGTTGAAGATTCCCTTTCATAGAGCAGGTTTGAAACACTCGTTCTGGAGTATCTGGATGTGGACATTTGGAGCGCTTTGATGCCTACGGTGGAAAAGTAAATATCTTCCCATAAAAACGAGACAGAAGGATTCTGAGAAACAAGTTTGTGATGTGTGTACTCAGCTAACAGAGTGGAACCTTTCTTTTTACAGAGCAGCTTTGAAACTCTATTTTTGTGGATTCTGCAAATGGATATTTAGATTGCTTTAATGATATCGCTGGAAAAGGGAATATGGTCATACAAAATTCTAGACAGATAAGCATTCTCACAAACTTCTTTGTGATGTGTGTCCTCAACTAACAGAGTTGAACCTTTCTTTTGATGCAGCAGTTTGGAAACACTGTTTTTGTAGCAACTGTAAGTGGATATTTGGATAGCTCTAACGATTTCGTTGGAAACGGGAATATCATCATCTAAAATCTAGACAGAAGCACTATTAGAAACTACTTGGTGATATCTGCATTCAAGTCACAGAGTTGAACATTCCCTTACTTTGAGCACGTTTCAAACACTCTTTTGGAAGAATCTGGAAGTGGACATTTGGAGCGCTTTGATGCCTTTGGTGAAAAGGAAACGTCTTCCAATAAAAGCCAGACAGAAGCATTCTGAGAAACTTGTTCGTGATGTGTGTACTCAACTAAAAGAGTTGAACCTTTCTATTGATAGAGCAGTTTTGAAACACTCTTTTTGTGGATTCTGCAAGTGGATATTTGGATTGCTTTGAGGATTTCGTTGGAAGCGGGAATTCGTATAAACACTAGACAGCAGCATTCGCAGAAATTTCTTTCGGATATTTCCATTCAACTCATAGAGATGAACATGGCCTTTCATAGAGCAGGTTTGAAACACTCTTTTTGTAGTTTGTGGAAGTGGACATTTCGATCGCCTTGACGCCTACGGTGAAAAAGGAAATATCTTCCCATAAAAAATAGACAGAAGCATTCTCAGAAACTTGTTGGTGATATGTGTCCTCAACTAACAGAGTTGAACTTTGCCATTGATAGAGAGCAGTTTTGAAACACTCTTTTTGTGGAATCTGCAAGTGGATATTTGGATAGCTTGGAGGATTTCGTTGGAAGCGGGAATTCAAATAAAAGGTAGACAGCAGCATTCTCAGAAATTTCTTTCTGATGTCTGCATTCAACTCATAGAGTTGAAGATTCCCTTTCATAGTGGAGGTTTGAAACACGCTTTCTGGAGTATCTGGACGTGGACATTTGGAGCGCTTTGATACCTACGGTGAAAAAGTAAATATCTTCCCATAAAAACGAGACAGAAGGATTCTCAGAAACAAGTTTGTGATGTGTGTACTCAGATAACAGAGTGGAACCTCTCTTCTCATGCAGCAGTTTGGAAACACACTTTTTGTAGAAACTGTAAGTGGATATTTGGATAGCTCTAATGATTTCGTTGGAAATGGGAATACCATCATCTAAAATCTAGACAGAAGCACTCTCAGAAACTACTTTGTGATATCTGCATTCAAGTCACAGAGTTGAACATTCGCTTTCTTAGAGCACTTTTGAAACACTCTTTTTGTATATCTGGAAGTGGACATTTGGAGCTCTTTGATGCCTTTGGTGAAAAAGGAAATGTCTTCCCATAAAAACTAGACAGAAGCATTCTCAGAAACTTGTTTGTGATCTGTGTACCCAGCGAAAGGAGTTGAACATTTCTATTGATAGAGCAGTTTTGAAACACTCTTTTTGTGGAATCTGCAAGTGGATATTTGGATAGCTTGGAGTTTTTCGTTGGAAGCGGGAATTCACATAAA
Source organism: Homo sapiens (assembly GCF_000001405.40). Taxonomy (NCBI): domain Eukaryota; kingdom Metazoa; phylum Chordata; class Mammalia; order Primates; family Hominidae; genus Homo; species Homo sapiens. Next base: position 12,910,354 of record NC_000021.9, read on the forward strand.
AGCTAGACAGCAGCATTCTCAGAAATTTCTTTCTGATGTCTGCATTCAACTCATAGAGTTGAAGATTCCCTTTCATAGAGCAGGTTTGAAACACTCGTTCTGGAGTATCTGGATGTGGACATTTTGGAGCGCTTTGATGCCTACGGTGGAAAAGTAAATATCTTCCCATAAAAACGAGACAGAAGGATTCTCAGAAACAAGTTTGTGATGTGTGTACTCAGCTAACAGAGTGGAACCTCTCTTTTGATGCAGCAGTTTGGAAACACTCTTTTTGTAGAAACTGTAAGTGGATATTTGGATAGCTCTAATGATTTCGTTGGAAACGGGAATATCATCATCTAAAGTCTAGACAGAAGCATTCTCACAAACTTCTTTGTGATGTGTGTCCTCAACTAACAGAGTTGAACCTTTCTTTTGATGCAGCAATTTGGAAACACCCTTTTGGTAGAAACTGTAACTGGATATTTGGATAGCTCTAACGATTTCATTGGAAACGGGAATATCATCATCTAAAATGTAGACAGAAGCACTATTAGAAACTACTTGGTGATATCTGCATTCAAGTCTCAGAGTTGAACATTCCCTTACTTTGAGCACGTTTGAAACACTCTTTTGGAAGAATCTGGAAGTGGACATTTGGAGCGCTTTGATGCCTTTGGTGAAAAGGAAACGTCTTCCAATAAAAGCCAGACAGAAGCATTCTCAGAAACTTGTTTGTGATGTGTGTACTCAACTAAAAGAGTTGAACCTTTCTATTGATAGAGCAGTTTTGAAACACTCTTTTTGTGGATTCTGCAAGTGGATATTTGGATTGCTTTGAGGATTTCGTTGGAAGCGGGAATTCATATAAAAACTAGACAGCAGCATTCCCAGCAAATTTCTTTCGGATATTTCCATTCAACTCATAGAGATGAACATGGCCTTTCATAGAGCAGGTTTGAAACACTCTTTTTGTAGTTTGTGGAAGTGGACATTTCGATCGCCTTGACGCCTACGCTGAAAAAGGAAATATCTTCCCATAAAAAATAGACAGAAGCATTCTCAGAAACTTGTTGGTGATATGTGTCCTCAACTAACAGAGTTGAACTTTGCCATTGATAGAGAGCAGTTTTGAAACACTCTTTTTCTGGAATCTGCAAGTGGATATTTGGATAGCTTGGAGGATTTCGTTGGAAGCGGGAATTCAAATAAAAGGTAGACAGCAGCATTCTCAGAAATTTCTTTCTGATGTCTGCATTCAACTCATAGAGTTGAACATTCCCTTTCATAGAGCAGGTTTGAAACACTCTTTCTGGAGTATCTGGATGTGGACATTTGGAGCGCTTTGATGCCTACGGTGAAAAAGTAAATATCTTCCCATAAAAGCGAGACAGAAGGATTCTGAGAAACAAGTTTGTGATGTGTGTACTCAGCTAACAGAGTGGAACCTCTCTTTTGATGCAGCAGTTTGGAAACACTCTTTTTGTAGAAACTGTAAGTGGATATTTGGATAGCTCTAATGATTTCGTTGGAAACGGGAATATCATCATCTAAAATCTAGACAGAAGCACTCTCAGAAACTACTGTGTGATATCTGCATTCAAGTCACAGAGTTGAACATTCGCTTTCTTAGAGCACGTTTGAAACACTCTTTTTGTAGTGTCTGGAAGTGGACTTTTGGAGCGCTTTGATTCCTTTGGTGAAAAAGGGAATGTCTACCCATAAAAACTAGACAGAAGCATTCTCAGAAACTTGTTTGTGATGTGTGTACCCAGCCAAAGAGTTGAACATTTCTATTGATAGAGCAGTTTTGAAACACTCTTGTTGTGGAAAATGCAGGTGGATATTTGGTTAGCTTGGAGGATTTCGTTGGAAGCGGGAATTCAAATAAAAGGTAGACAGCAGCATTCTCAGAAATTTCTTTCTGATGTCTGCATTCAACTCATAGAGTTGAAGATTCCCTTTCATAGAGCAGGTTTGAAACACTCGTTCTGGAGTATCTGGATGTGGACATTTGGAGCGCTTTGATGCCTACGGTGGAAAAGTAAATATCTTCCCATAAAAACGAGACAGAAGGATTCTGAGAAACAAGTTTGTGATGTGTGTACTCAGCTAACAGAGTGGAACCTTTCTTTTTACAGAGCAGCTTTGAAACTCTATTTTTGTGGATTCTGCAAATGGATATTTAGATTGCTTTAATGATATCGCTGGAAAAGGGAATATGGTCATACAAAATATAGACAGAAGCATTCTCACAAACTTGTTTGTGATGTGTGTCCTCAACTAACAGAGTTGAACCTTTCTTTTGATGCAGCAATTTGGAAACACCCTTTTGGTAGAAACTGTAACTGGATATTTGGATAGCTCTAACGATTTCGTTGGAAACGGGAATATCATCATCTAAAATCTAGACAGAAGCACTATTAGAAACTACTTGGTGATATCTGCATTCAAGTCACAGAGTTGAACATTCCCTTACTTTGAGCACGTTTGAAACACTCTTTTGGAAGAATCTGGAAGTGGACATTTGGAGCGCTTTGATGCCTTTGGTGAAAAGGAAACGTCTTCCAATAAAAGCCAGACAGAAGCATTCTCAGAAACTTGTTCGTGATGTGTGTACTCAACTAAAAGGGTTGAACCTTTCTATTGATAGAGCAGTTTTGAAACACTCTTTTTGTGGATTCTGCAAGTGGATATTTGGATTGCTTTGAGGATTTCGTAGGAAGCGGGAATTCGTATAAAAACTAGACAGCAGCATTCCCAGAAATTTCTTTCGGATATTTCCATTCAACTCATAGAGATGATCATGGCCTTTCATAGAGCAGGTTTGAAACACTCTTTTTGTAGTTTGTGGAAGTGGACATTTCGATCGCCTTGACGCCTACGGTGAAAAAGGAAATATCTTCCCATAAAAAATAGACAGAAGCATTCTCAGAAACTTGTTGGTGATATGTGTCCTCAACTAATAGAGTTGAACTTTGCCATTGATAGAGAGCAGTTTTGAAACACTCTTTTTGTGGAATCTGCAAGTGGATATTTGGATAGCTTGGAGGATTTCGTTGGAAGCAGGAATTCAAATAAAAGGTAGACAGCAGCATTCTCAGAAATTTCTTTGTGATGTTTGCATTCAACTCATAGAGTTGAACATTCCCTTTCATAGAGCAGGTTTGAAACACTCTTTCTGTACTATCTGGATGTGGACATTTGGAACGCTTTGATGCCTACGGTGAAAAAGTAAATATCTTCCCATAAAAACTAGACAGACGGATTCTGAGAAACAAGTTTGTGATGTGTGTACTCAGCTAACAGAGTGGAACCTCTCTTTTGATGCAGCAGTTTGGAAACACTCTTTTTGTAGAAACTGTAAGTGGATATTTGGATAGCTGTAATGATTTCGTTGGAAACGGGAATATCATCATCTAAAATCTAGACAGAAGCACTCTCAGAAACTACTTTGTGATATCTGCATTCAAGTCACAGAGTTGAACATTCGCTTTCTTAGAGCACGTTTGAAACACTCTTTTTGTAGTGTCTGGAAGTGGACATTTGGAGCGCTTTGATGCCTTTGGTGAAAAAGGGAATGTCTACCCATAAAAACTAGACAGAAGCATTCTCAGAAACTTGTTTGTGATGTGTGTACCCAGCCAAAGGATTTGAACATTTCTATTGATAGAGCAGTTTTGAAACACTCTTGTTGTGGAAAATGCAGGTGGATATTTGGATAGCTTGGAGGATTTCGTTGGAAGCGGGAATTCAAATAAAAGGTAGACAGCAGCATTCTCAGAAATTTCTTTCTGATGTCTGCATTCAACTCATAGAGTTGAAGATTCCCTTTCATAGAGCAGGTTTGAAACACTCGTTCTGGAGTATCTGGATGTGGACATTTGGAGCGCTTTGATGCCTACGGTGGAAAAGTAAATATCTTCCCATAAAAACGAGACAGAAAGGATTCTCAGTAAACAAGTTTGTGATGTGTGTACTCAGCTAACAGAGTGGAACCTTTCTTTTTACAGAGCAGCTTTGAAACTCTATTTTTGTGGATTCTGCAAATTGATATTTAGATTGCTTTAACGATATCGTTGGAAAAGGGAATATGGTCATACAAAATCTAGACAGAAGCATTCTCACAAACTTCTTTGTGATGTGTGTCCTCAACTAACAGAGTTGAACCTTTCTTTTGATGCAGCAATTTGGAAACACCCTTTTGGTAGAAACTGTAACTGGATATTTGGATAGCTCTAACGATTTCGTTGGAAACGGGAATATAATCATCTAAAATCTAGACAGAAGAACTATTAGAAACTACTTGGTGATATCTGCATTCAAGTCACAGAGTAGAAGATTCCCTTACTTCGAGCACGTTTGAAACACTCTTTTGGAAGAATCTGGAAGTGGACATTTGGAGCGCTTTGATGCCTTTGGTGAAAAGGAAACGTCTTCCAATAAAAGCCAGACAGAAGCATTCTCAGAAACTTGTTTGTGATGTGTGTACTCAACTAAAAGAGTTGAACCTTTCTATTGATAGAGCAGTTTTGAAACACTCTTTTTGTGGATTCTGCAAGTGGATATTTGGATTGCTTTGAGGATTTCGTTGGAAGCGGGAATTCGTATAAACACTAGACAGCAGCATTCCCAGAAATTTCTTTCGGATATTTCCATTCAACTCATAGAGATGAACATGGCCTTTCATAGAGCAGGTTTGAAACACTCTTTTTTTAGATTGTAGAAGTGGACATTTCGATCGCCTTGAGGCCTACCGTGAAAAAGGAAATATCTTCCTATAAAAAATAGACAGAAGCATTCTCAGAAACTTGTTTGTGCTGTGTGTACCCAGCCAAAGGAGTTGAACATTTCTATTGATAGAGCAGTTTTGAAACTCTCTTTTTGTGGAAAATGCAGGTGGATATTTGGATAGCTTGGAGGATTTCGTTGGAAGCGGGAATTCAAATAAAAGGTAGACAGCAGCATTCTCAGAAATTTCTTTCTGATGTCTGCATTCAACTCATAGAGTTGAAGATTCCCTTTCATAGAGCAGGTTTGAAACACTCTTTCCGGAGTATCTGGATGTGGACATTTGGAGCGCTTTGATGCCTACGGTGAAAAAGTAAATATCTTCCCATAAAAACGAGACAGAAGGATTCTGAGAAACAAGTTTGAGATGTGTGTACTCAGCTAACAGAGTGGAACCTCTCTTTTGATGCAGCAGTTTGGAAACACTCTTTTTGTAGAAACTGTAAGTGGATATTTGGATAGCTCTAATGATTTCGTTGGAAACGGGAATATCATCATCTAAAATCTAGACAGAAGCCCTCTCAGAAACTACTTTGTGATATCTGCATTCAAGTCACAGAGTTGAACATTCGCTTTCTTAGAGCACGTTGGAAACACTCTTTTTGTAGTGTCTGGAAGTGGACATTTGGAGCGCTTTGATGCCTTTGGTGAAAAAGGGAATGTCTTCCCATAAAAACTAGACAGA